>NC_000013.11:112453300-112758230 GCF_000001405.40 Homo sapiens
CAGGATGTGGCATCAGAGAAGGACCGCCCAGATGCCCGGACCCCTGAACTTCTCCCCAGCACTGACAGCTGCAAGCCTGGCCACACTCACAGCACGGAGCCCCGCCTGACGCCGCGGTCGCTTGACTTCACAATCACAGGAGCGTGACGCCTACAGCCTAATGTTGCCGTGTAGGGCACAGACTTCTTAAAAAGAATCTTCAGGGGATGTCGCCAGGTGATGGCGGGAATCCTCAGTGAGAGGGTGAGGCCACCGGGGCTGCTGTGTCCGCAGATGTGGTGCCACCTCCGAGGGCCTCCAAGGGTGCATGTGAGCCACAGTCACCACCACAGTGCGCCGACGACCGCCACAGAAACAGCCACGGCACCGCGAGGACCGTCCTGCACCACAATCAGGACACAGCGATAAAGATGTCGCATCCATCCACCGCTTAATTCCGTGCCAGCTTTTATTCACCACCTGAATCATGGTTCACATTTTTAAAGGTTGGGGGAGAAGACACAGCTTGTCCCAGAAGTCATGCTCGGGTGTCCAGAGGCCTGAGTGCCGATCTAATCGCAAGTGATTAGAATGTGGTACCGGGAGGGATAACAGCAGGAAGCAGCAGGCACAAGCGGGGTCGCCAGAGGGACAGGGATAGTCTGTAAAGGTGGGGACAAAGGAGTCAGTGGGGACAAAGGAGTTGGGTCGCGAGTGCAGGAACTGGGGGCTCTGGGCAGGGCAGGGAGGGGACTAGGCCTTGTGCTGTGGGAGGGAGGGACAGTGTAGAGCCAGACATCCCTGGGGCGCCTGATTCCCGACCCACTGTGGTTCCCAAGGGCAACCACACAGCTAAGCTGGGCACGTCTACCTGGAGCTTGGGCCCCTGGAGTGAGGGTTCAGGCCACCACCCCCAGCAGAGGCCGTGCTGAGGGACAACGGGAGCCCCATTAGGGCCGGACCCCCTTCCACCACCCACCCCCACGAACTTCCTTCAGGAAGACAGTCCTGGAGCCATGGAAGCTTCCTCCTCTCCCACAGCATGAGCTGGGTCCTCAGCCAATGTGGAGGGTGCGACTCAGACCCTCCCTGGAGGACGCCTGTCACTGCCAGAAACCTGAGGGCTGCAGCCTCCAGCGGCCGAGGGGAGGGCCCGGCCGCACTGTCCCTGCTGGACGTGCCTGGAGAGCAGTCCTTGCCGTCCGACCACCTCTGGTCATGACCTGCTGAGGAAGGGCTTACCCTCCACCCACAATGAACCCGCATTTCTGAGCCCCCGAGATCCTGACACCAAAGTGAAGCCTTGCGTGAGGACACGGGCGATAAGGCATCAGTGCAGCCAGGCGCGGCCCCAGCCTCTCGGAAGCGAGGCGAGCCTCCATCCCCGCTCCAGAGGAAATTAGTAAAGCTACCTGCAGATTATTATGGAAAATAGATTATCTCCTGCAGTGATGATTTAAAATAAATCCTGTTTGAGGACCCCACTGACACAGGACAGATGGAGCTGGCCCTGACACGGTGGATCGGGGGGGCCTGGCATCCGCAAGCCCAGCCCAGACCGGATCCTAGGGGGACTAAAGGAGACGCGTTCGGAATGGCACAGCTCAAAGGCAAGGAAGAGGAATTTAACTTTGGGGACTAACCTCATCTCATCTTGATTCCTAATATATCTATTTTTAAACTAAACAAAAGCAAACAAAAGATGCTCTCCCAGGGATCCAGTGTTGGAACTCGCCGTTGTGCTAAGGGGACAGCCAGGCCCACTGAGGCAGGGGGAGCAGGGGCCGCCTGACAGCCCCAGGAAGCCTCCTCGCCAGGCCCACTGAGCTGGGGGTGCAGGGGCCGCCTGAGGACCCCAGGAAGCCTCCTCGCCTGCAGCCCAGACCCCCCTCTGGAGCTTAGCCGCTTGACCCCCACTGGCTCAACCCACTTCAGCACCACTCCCCTCCATCCAGCTTCTCTCCCTGTCTAAACCACACACAGATGCTTCCCAGAGGTCAGCCTGATCTGTCCAGATGGGTTTCATGGCCCAAAGCTGAGGCCACACCCAGACCTTCCTCAGGTCCTGAATCCCAGGAAGAAAATTTCCAGGAAGAAAAAGCAGACAGAGGCACAAACAGGACCTCTGAATCTCCTTGTGTCTGCGAGGAGAAGAAATCAACACCATGAGCAGCTCACCTCCTGTCCCCATCCCAACCCCACCACCTCCTGTCCCCATCCCAACCCCACCACTGATCAAAAGGTCCTCGATGGGGTCCATGGATGCCACACGACGCTGGTCTCCATCACGCATTAGGAAAAGGAGACCACGGTGAGGTGAGGCAGACAGGAGCTGACCTGGGGGAGCACAGCGAGCTTCTGGAAATGGGCACTTGGCTCCCAGCACCCCAGGCAGGCAGCCCAGACAGTGAAGTCAGCTCGGCAAGCTCAGCCCGGAGTGCGGCTTACATGCAACTAAAACGCCCAGTGGGTTCAGTCCATCTCCATTCCAAATGCTTGAGCCAGAAAGATTAACTGTCTGAAGTCAGATTGTCACACACGAGCAGGGAGCAGGGGTTTTGGGGGGTGCAGACACTCAGGGCTATACCCTTACCGAGGCACGCCTTCCCGGCTTCTGTGTGAAGAGGGGGCCTTCCTATAAAGCCCGCCATGGGGAGAACTAGCACAGTGGCCCCGCCAGGGAATGCCACAGCTTTAAAACTGACCAGTTAGATTCCGTCTGAAGGAGAAAGTCTCCATGTCTGATTCTGTAAACAACTTCCAGCTGTCCCTCAAAGGAGATCCATAAGTTTGAATGATCACAGCGGGAACCTTGGAGCCTGTAGGTACATGGGATTCGGCTCAGTAAACATCTGCTGAGCACCCACTTTATGCCAACCTGGTTTAGC
Source organism: Homo sapiens (assembly GCF_000001405.40). NCBI lineage: Eukaryota > Metazoa > Chordata > Mammalia > Primates > Hominidae > Homo > Homo sapiens. The sequence goes on from NC_000013.11 coordinate 112,456,168, forward strand.
AACAGGAAACATGGAAGCAACTCCAAGTTCTTGTCCTCAAGGAGCCGGCAGTCTCACATAAGGACAGGTGTGTAAGCAGACAAATGACAAGATGCGACAGTGCGGGCATCTCAGAGATGTGGGTGGAGCCCCGGCTGCCACAGCTGCAGGCGAGTCACTGCATGGAGTGACTGTGGACACCTTCCCTGCAAGAACCCAGACCAAGAGGGGCAAAAAAGTCAAGGCTGAGTTGGCCGCGTAGAACAGGGCTACCCAAGAAAGCAGTCCGTTTCTCAATTGTGTGAAAGAAACCAGAGGCAGGCAGGTAATGCCCACATGAGGGCTCCTCCCATTACGGTGCCTCCCCTCTCTGGGAGTGGCCTCCTGTGGTCAAGAAGGCTGCCTAAGCTCCAGCCTCATGACCACATTCCCAGCAGCTGGAAGGATGAAGATGGAGAGAAGAGCATGAGACTAGAGATCCACTAGAGGAATTCCTTCACACAGTGTCTAGTTACCGCTCATTGCGAGTCATGCGGCAATACCTAGAGGTGAAACAGATTAGAAAACCAGGCTTTCACTGGGGCTCGTTGCTGCCCCAAATCAATGCAGGGTTCTGCTACAGAAAGAGGAAGGAGGACAGCGAATGGGGTAGGAAACAGCCCCCTCGACTGCAGATCCGCGAGGGCCAGGGGTCCCAGGCTTCTCCCTGACACCCTGAACTTCATCCACAAGGAAGGCAAGGAAAAGACAAAGAGGGGAGGGGCCTGGGAAGGCACGGGGACAGGACGGGGAGCAGGAGAGGAGGGGACATTCCTCGAAGTCCACGCATCTTGTCTGCTTCAGAGGGAATGAGTGCTGTGCAAGGAACTGTGCGAGCCACAGACACAAGCCACACAGAACTGCAAATGTTCTGGGAGTCGCATTTTTACAAAGTGAAAATAAATAGGAGAAATTTGTTTTACTATTTTATTTAACCCAATATATCTAAAACATTGCCATTTCAATAAGTAATCAGTAGAAAAAACGCATTAATAAGATATTTACTTTTACACCCACGGCACATCTCTACCTGGAGCGGCCGTGGCCACGTGGTGAGCACCGGCTTCACTGGGCCACGCAGCCTGAAGCCACCGGAAAACCCCTGTCTGGGGCACCCAGGAGCAGGCACCAAGACAGTCAGGAGGGCATTTTTAAGACAGAGTTCCCCAAACCACACCCATAAGTACACAACTGTGCCACCTACACATTAATACCACTCTGGTTATAGGGACATTGTCCCTATAACCAGAAAATAAATTTGGGAATGAAAACACAGGTGGCCTTGGTCGGGCAGGGCCGGCCAGCAGCTGGTCCTCAGCAGCCTGTGCCTGCGCCAGGCCAGCCCTCCCAGGTAAGGGCCACAGCAGGGCCCCGAGGCTGTGCAGAGAGTGCTCCCTTTCCTGTCCCTTATGGTCAACACGGGCTCTTCAGCCGCTGGCCGGCAGGTGCGGGTTTGAACAGTCCATGCAACCATTCTTGCTGAAGTCCGGCTGCATGGCTTCAAAGCTCCAGAGGGATGACGGCACCACATCCCTTTCAGAGGCACCTTTCGGAAATGCAGACTCTCCAACTCCACCCAGACCTGCTGGGCCGGAAGCTCTGGGCGGGGCCGGGGCACCTGAGTTTCATAAGCCTCCCCAGGTCCTGGGCCTGACTCAGGCTTCAAAGGATGGTCTTCGGCTTTGGTGTTTACTTTTTATTTTTCAGCAGTGACACATGATGGATGCTGCTCTTCTCAACTTCCTGCTGTCTTCCTGCCGACCCTCGACTCTCTCCACTCGAGGAGCTTCCGGGATGGATGCGAAGGAAAGAGGGGCTCCCCAGGGACACCTCCAAGCCAGCTCTAATACATATTAGACAACGCATTATTAGAAATGCTGCCTTTGGGACTTATTCATGAATGATGTGCAGCCTCCCCCAAAAGCATCTCTACAACAGTGCTTTTGCCAGCACATCCAAGAATGGATCTTCCAAAAGAGTAACCTCTGAACTTCCTGAAACAAGAACTACGTTTTGAAATTCGGAACGTGAATCCCAATGAGCATGCACACGTATTTAAAAGTTGTGTACAAGAACTGTTACTATGTTATACACATCACATAACAAAAAGACATTTTTGAAGGATGAGATAAGAATTATATAAAAGAAAAGTTTCTGTGTAATTTTGGAATCGTCAATCATTTCCTGCTCTCACTAAAATATGGTATAAATAATAATGATTTTAGAGAGTTCCATGCTTTGATTTGCTTAATTATTTCTGAAACATTTGATTTCCTTTTTTTTACTATTTTAACTTTTAAGTATTAAAAGTCAATATTCAGGGGTACATGTGCAGGTTAATGTCCAAGGGTACATGTCAGGTTTGATATATAAGTAAACTCATGACTCAGGGGTTTGGTGTACAGATTATTTTGTCATCCACATACTAAGCATACTACCCAATAGCTGTTTTTTGTTTGTTTTCGTTCTGCTCCTCTCCTTCCTCCACCGTCAAGTAGGCCCCAGAGCCTTTTGTTCCCCTCTTTCTGTTCATGTGTTCTTATCATTTAGCTCCCACTTATAAGTGAGAACATGCAGTATTTGGTTTTCTGTTCCTGTGTTAGTTTGCTAAGGATAATGCCCTCCAGTTCCACCCATGTTCCTGCAAAGGACATGATCTCACTCCTTTTTATGGCTGCATAGTATTTCATGGTTTATATGTACCACATTTTCTTTATCCAGTCTCTCATTGATGGGTATTTAAGTTGATTGCATGTCTTTGCTATTGTGAGTAGTACTACAATGCACATACGTGTGCATGTGTCTTTATGTTAGAGCGATTTATATTCCTTTGGGTATACACCCAGTAATGGGATTGCTGGGTCGAATGGTAGTTCTTTTTTTAGTTCTTTGAGGAATCACCACACTGCATTCCACAATGGCCAAACTAATTTACACTCTCACCAACAATGTATAAGTGTCCCCTTTTCTCCACACCCACGCCAGCATGCATGCTATTTTTTTGCCTTTTTAATAATAGCCATTCTGACTGGTATGAGATGGCATCTCATTGTGGTTTTGATTTGCATTTCTCTGATGATTTTTCATATGCTTGTTGACCAAGTATATGTCTTCTTTTGAAAAGTGTCTGTTCATGTCCTTTGCCCACTTTTTAATGGAGTTATTTGGTTTTTGCTTGTACTTTAGTTTAAGTCCCTTGTATAATTTAGATATTAGATGTTTATCAGATGTATAGTTTGTAAATATGTTCTCCCATTCCATAGGTTTTCTGCTTACTCTGTTGGTAGTTTCTTTTCACTTTAGTTTAATTAGGTCCCATTTGTTTACTTTTGCTTTTGTGCAATTGCTTTTGGCTTTTTTGTTATGAAATCCTTGCCAGTTTCTATGTCCAAAATGGTATATCCTAGGTTATCTTCAGGGTTTTTATAGTTTTAGGTTTTACATTTAGGTCTTTAATCCATCTTGAGTTGATTTTTGTATATGGTGTAATGAAGGGGTCCAACTTTGATCTTCTGCATATGGTTAGCCAGTTCTCCCAACACCATATATTGAAGAGGGATTCCTTTCCTCCTTGCTTGTTTTTGCTGACTTTTTCAAAGATCAGATTGTTGCTGGTGTGTGGTTTTCTTTCTGGGCTCTCTATTCTGTTCCATTGGTCTACGTGTCTGTTTTTGTGCCAGTTCCATGCTGTTTTGGTTACTGTAACCTTGTAGTATAGTTTGAAGTCAGGTAATGTGGTTCCTCCAGCTTGATTCTTTTTGCTTAGGATTGCCTTGGCTGTTTAGGCTCTTTTTTGGCTCCAATATGAACTTTAGGATAGATTTTCTAGTTCTGTGAGGAATGTCATTGGTAGTTTGATGGGAATAGCACTGACTCTGTACATTGCTTTGAGCAGTATGGCCACTTCAATGATATTGATTCTTCCTATCCAAGAGCATGGGATGTTTTTTCATTTGTTTGTATCCTCTCCGATTTCTTGGAGCAGTGTTTCGTAGTTCTTCTTGTAGGGATCTTTCACCTCCCTGGTTAGCTAAAGTCTTCCTAGGTATTTTATTCTTTCTGTGGCAATTGTGAATGGGATTATGCCCCTGATTTGGTTCTTGGCTTGGATGCTGTTAGGAAACCCTTGGCTTAACACTTTGCAGTGCAACTATCTGAAGTGACATTTAAGTTTAATTAATTTTGATACTCAGTTTTAATGACTATGACATCTGAAAAATGATTCTTCAAAATGATTCCTCACAAGGATACATTCATCACAGTGGAGAAGCACATCATTGCTATACTTCTAAACAGTGCTGTGTATTATTCAATCCCAGTGACCAACTCTGCCCAGGATTTTGTTAAAATTTGGGCTGTACGTTTCTATACTCCATGATGACAATCAGCTGTTCGTCCAGGCTAATTAGGATGTATTGAATTTCAATAATATTAACAAATAGGGCCAATCAACTGGAATCCCTTTCTTGGTATATTTTTAAACAAGTTTGAAAACTATTTTTTCAAGTTTCTTAAGGATTTAAATCAAACTTAAAAAAAGGTGACACATCACTCTTAGCCACAAAACCACATAATAAAACCACATTTTTGAACATTCATTTCAAAAATGTTTTCTCCACAGATGCATTTCTTTTGAAAGGTAGCTGCTTCATTCATTGTCAAAACATTATTAGCGAGGTTCTACCTTGAAGGGGTTGAGCATTTTAATATTTTTGAAAATATTTGATCAGTAGCATACTATGGATAGCCATTTATCATCACAGGGAATACTGGCAAATTTGGAGCCTTTGTTCTTTTGTAAAATGAAATGTGTAACTGTTGGCAACTCTTTACAGTGCTTGGCCATGAGCTGACCTTCAAAACTCTGTGCTTCACAGAGGAGAGTCAGGACACCGTCCCATCTCCTCACGAGATCCTCTGAGGATCCTGCCAGCTGAAAGAAGACACTGATGCTCTGTTCCCACTCAGGTTGCAGATGGCACAGGAAATGTGGCTCCCTCCATAAAGCGAGAAAAACTTAGATAATCTAAAAATTGTCATCTTTTAAAAGCTCATCGGAGACCTGAAACTGGACAGAAGCCCAGTGAGCTGAATCCACGGATCAGCAGCCTCCCAAGAAGTGCCCACAGCTGCCATCAGCCACGGACCAGCCATGGGGGAGGTGGAAGCTTCCAGGGACACAAAGAAGAAGACAACAGATAAGCTTCTGACAAATGTGTAAAGGCTGAATGTGGGGTGGCATTAGCGTTAGAGTGCCTGTGAGTCTGGACGCAGGAGAACCCACCCCCACCTCCAGGGATTTTTCATGGTCCTTCTCCAGGTGCCCTTAAGAAGGATGGGGTATATGGCGGAAGGCTGAGAGATGCCCTCCAAAACATGGGGATGAAAGGCCTACTGAGGAGCAAGGGTGCAGCAGAAGGGGGACGAGCCCTTCATACACCCCATGCCTTCTTCTGAGGCCTGCAGAGAGACAGGGAAGCAGAGGGCCCCACCTCTCAGGCGCAGGCGCATGAAGCCTGCAGAGAGTCAGGGAAGCAGTGGACCTCACCTCTCGGGGGCAGGCGCATGAAGCCTGCAGAGAGACAGGGAAGCAGAGGGCCCCACCTCTCGGGCGCAGGCACACGAAGCCTGCTGCAGTCTAAGGGCAGGGACCAAGGCCGAGCGAAGCCCCAGAGGCACCCCAGGGCTTGCACTGAGTACAAAGCAGGGGGCGTTTACCACAGGGAGGGGGAGGGGGTGGAGGGTTCCCCCAGGTGCAGATGTCAGGAGCCAGACGACACCCAAGGAAAGGCAGGGGAGCTAAGATGGAGCCCACAGGCACCTGAGCCCAAGAAAAGGAGAGTTCTGATTTGGCCTTCAAATCACATGAAGTCTGTGGTGAACAGAATCTTACTAAATTAACAGTAAAGCCCAAACCCAGCTCAGCTACAGAATAGGCTGACCAAACCCACTGCAGTACAGACTGGCAAGAAGAGGCCGCAGCCTGGGTGTGGGCGGCATACGCATGCCAACAAACAGGCTTCCAGCAGTCAACCAAACACGACAGGACACATCAGAAAACAGGAAAATGCCACCCACCATCAAGAGAGGAAACAGCCAACAGAACCAAACCTAGAAATCACTCAGATACTGGAATTTCAGACAAAAACCTTAAAACAACAATGCTAAATATGTTACAAAATCAAGGGGAAAAAAGGTGACAGCAGACACATGCAAATACTAGAAGTGAAAACGCTGTATCAGGTCAGAGCTCTCTTTACGGGTGCCTCTGCAGACTGTGGATAGCACGGGAAAGAATCAGTGACCTTGAAGACATGAATAGAAATTACCCAAGCTGATGAAAAGGGACAAACAGAGTGAGGGAGGGAAAAAAACAGAGCATTGGAGGCCTGTGGGTGAAGAATAATAGCAAGTGTACATGTTACTGGAGTTCCAGAAGGAGAGGAGAAAGAGAATGGGGCATAGAACTCTCTGAAAAAATAATGGGCAAGGACATTGAAAAAATAAGAGAACCACAAATGCAAGAAGCTTGGCAACTCCAAGTAGGAAACTACAAAGAAAGCACTCCAAGGCACATCATGGTCAGATTGCCGAAGGCAACCCAGAAAGCGCAAGTCTTGAAAACAGCCAGAGGCAAAAAGACATGGCACACACAGCGAGACAAGATGAGAACACCACCAACTTCCCATCAGAAACAAAGGAGGCCAGAAGATGAGAAAACATCATCTTTAATGTGACGAAAGCATCAACCTAGATTTCCAGATCTAGTAAAAATATTCTTTAGAACAAAGACATCCTCAGATAGGTGAAGGCTGAATGACTTTATCTCCAGAATAGCATTATCCAAAATGCTAAGAGAAGTCCTTTAGTCTGATGAGAAATTATACCTGATAGACATGATAAACACTAACAAAATTTTGTATCATGTTAAATACAAAATACCTTAAAAATATTTGTACGTATATGTATATGTATATATATGTTCTCTATTTCTCTGCATTTACATTTTCTCCCAAACATATATACGTGTGTTGAATAGGCTATTGATTGTTTAAAGTAAAAATAATTAAAAAGTAATTTGCTGTTTACAATATCTGTAGAAATAAAGACAAAATGTACAAAGGGATTATGCTATTGAAAAATTGCTTACACTATTTATGAAGTAGTAGATTTTTTTTAAGATGGAGGTTGACAAAGATGTACATTTTAATATCTGGAGCAAGCACTAAAAAAAAAGGATGATGCAAAAACACCAGATCAATGGAGGAAATAAGATTCAATACCAACCAAAATTACAGAATTCACCTTGGCAGGGGAAAAGGCACAGATCAAGAAAGGGCAGAAGAGATGATTTATATGTAGAAAATGTGGAGAAATATGGTAGAATCAAACCCAAATATATTGATATTGTATGTAAGTAGACTAAATACACAAGTTTAAAGGTAGATATTATAAAACTAATAAAAATGAAAGACCAACTATATATTGTTTATAGAAAACACAGTTTAATCCTAAGGACACAAAGAAGTTAAAAGTAAAATGTTGGAAAAAGATATACCCTGTATACACTAAGTGAAAGAAAGCTGCCGTAGCTTTATTAATACTAAAGCAGACCTTAAATGCAATGGTTTAAGAGAAAGGGAGGGGCAGCTTCTAATGATAAAAGGGTCGATTCATCAAGAAGACATAAGAATCTTAAATGTGTGCATCCCATAAGAAAGCTCTCTAACACTTGAAGCAAAAACCGTCCCAGGTCTTGGGTGCCATTCTCCACTCACAGGACCCAGGGCTCTTTGGAGAGAAATGGTGGATCCCAGGGCAGGGGCAGGGAAGGCACCAGAGAAGCCTGGAATATTGTGTTTCGTCAGAAGTTAGGCAGGACTCAAGCAGCCACAGCATCATGGGGAGAGGGCATGGAAGCCAGCTGGAGGGGCTCCTGCGGGCCAAATATGGGAGAATTTCAGCATGAAAAAAAACTAGTGAAGGTAACAGATTATATCCCATTGAATAAAATGGAAAACCATGAATCTACCCTGATAAAAATAATTACATAGGCCAGGCGTGGTGGCTCATGCCTGTAATCCCAACACTTTGAGAGGCCAAGGTGGGTGGATCACTTGAGCCCAGGAGTTTGAGACCAGCCTGGCCAACAAGGTGAAACCTCATCTCTACTAAAAATACAAGAATTAGCTGGGCATGATGGCATACCCCTGTAATCCCAGCTACTTGGGAGGCTGAGGCAGGAGAATTGCTTGAACCCAGGAGGCAGAGGTTGCTGTGAGCCAAGATCGTGCCACTGCACTCCAGCCTGGGCAACAGAGCGAGACTCTGTCTCCATAAATAAATAAATAAATAAATGATCTGAAGGGTTGATGAGGAATGGAATATTTACGTATTCTCATAATCCACCCCCCAAAGGCTGTTAGTTTCAAAGAGGGAAAGACTGAGCTCACAGTGGACACATCTGGCAGGCGCCTCACTGGGTAGTTGTAGTTGAGCTCAGGCACCACCCAACAGCAGGGCACAGGAAGGACACCACATGACTTCGGCAATTTTGCTGCCACAGGTGCATAATTTGAATGTCACGGTGAAGAGACATTGGACAAATCCAAACTGAGGGAAAAGTTACAACATAACTGTCTATCTTCTTCAAAAGTTTCAGGGCCAGAAAAGCCAAGGCAAGACCGCTAACCTCCAGACTGAGCGAGAACCAGGCGCCTGCCGACTCGTGGGGGTGTGATCTGGACTGAGCCACTCGCCATCTAATTGCAGTCTAAGACCTTGCTGGGGACAGAGGGCAGAAGCAGAGTGAGGTCTGGCTGTCAGGGAAGCAGTCGATCCGTGTTCAACTCCGGGTTCTGCTGGCTGTGACGTGGTTACGTAGGAGAACATCGTTGTTTGTAGGAAAAACAAACTGAAAAACATGGGGGTGATGGGGTGACAGGTCTGCAACTTATCACTAAATCCTTCAAGAAAAAGTTATTTTACTGTACTTGCCACTTTTCTGTAAGTTTGAGATTGTTTCAAAGTGAGGAAGCTTTTAAAAATTAAACTGGCAAGCCATAAATAGGGAGGAAGTATTTGCAATTCATATCTGACAGAAGGCTTGCAGCCGGAATCTACAACGATCACCTACGATCCAATGAAGACGAAAAACAGCCCAATAACAGAGGGCGACACACTTGAGAGGCACTTCACGAAGCAGACAAGCAAACGGCCAGCAAGCCCAGGAAAGGCGTTTGGAGCCACAGCCACCAGGTGGGCGTGGGGGACGCGAGACACCGCCTCACGTCCCTGAAATGGCCAGAATGAAAAAGGCTGGTAACTCCAAATGTTGGTAAGGACGTGCAGCCGCCAGAACCCACGAGCGGCTGGTGAGAATGCAGAAAGGTGTGAGCTCTTTCCACACCCACTTGCCAGTGGCTTATAAAGTTAAATATAACGCTTAGCACACAATCCAGAAATTCCACTTCAAGCATTTATCCAAGAGATGTTCAAACATGTGCACACACAACTTGCACACAAACGTTCATGGCATGTTTATTAATAACACATTAAAAAATAGCCAGAGGCTGGAAACAGCCTTGGTGTCTGGCGAGAGGAGTGGATAAGCTGTAGTACCTTCACACATGGGATGCACCTCACCCGCCCACAAGAACCCGCGAGCGGAGACACGGGGCACCAGGAGGACTCTGAAGAGCAGAGCGCCAGGCACGGAGGGCACGTGTGGCAGGCGGGAAGTTCAGGGATAGGCAGAGCTCACCTGTGCTGCTAGACACCAGCTCCACTGTGGCTCTGGCCGGGGGACAAAGGGAGCTTCCTGGGGCTCAGGGAAGTGGGTGGCGGGGAGCCTGCATCTGTCAGAGCAGCCGAATCGCGCATTTCTCATACCTCAGTTTTCACAAGCGTAAATGTCAGAGCAGGCTGGCACACAGGCATGCACACAGGCACAGACAGTGCCCCATCCATGTGCACACACATGTGAACATGCACACACACACCGAAGGAAGCCTGGTGAGTCAGGCACAGAGAAAGGGCCACACTGAAGTGTGCAGAAAGCACGGTGGAGTGAGGCCCTGCTAACTCGGAGGCCAGGGGACCCCACCCTCCCTCGGGACCCTTCCTGGCATGTGCGCCTCTTGTCCCTCTGACACACGGGCTGCACCAGAGATCACTGGGCTGAAGACAGGCAGCCCTGAGTCTCCCCGTCCGGAATCTCTGGACTGCACCTTGTGGGTGCTGAGGCACCCAGAGGCCTCCTGGCCCCCCTAAAGCACGGGCTTTGACATTAGGCACTTTCTCTTAGGGGCCACATCAGGACCCAAGGTGAAATGGCTCCAAGGACAACATTGCACCACTGTTCAGAGCTGCTTCCACCCGGGTGTCCAACTCAACTCAGCCCTTAGACACCCAGGCGTGGGATGCAGACTTCACCCCAGGAACACCGGACACCCCACTTGGTCCCAGAAGCGGCGCCTCCTCCCAGCTTCTCCATGCACAGCCCCACGTGGAAGCGGGAGCTCCTCTCCCCAGGACCCCAGCGACAGGGTGCACGGGAAGCGCTTTTTCTCTCCAGCCTGCGGATGGGGCGGCCCACACCAGGAGGGCGCAGAAACTGAAACAGGCGCCCGCTTGGCCTAGAGGCCTCCAGGGTGCCCAGGCCTCCTCCCCCAGGACACCAGCCCAGCGCCACCCACACGCCGCGGGTGGATGGGACTCCGGACACGCGGTCTACATCCCCCATCCCGGGCTCCCCGGGGTCTCTCGGTGTGGGGGGAGCCGGCCCCCCTGTGCCAGAGGAATGCGGCCTGAGGCTCTGTCGGAAACAATGATCTCAGTTCCAGGCAAGCTGCTGCGCGACATCCCCTCGCTGCATTCTTATTAAAACCTTAAGCCCAGCGTAAAGGCAGAGAAATAAAAATTTATTTCTCTTCTTTATGAGACACCTGGCAACACGTCCACAGAACAATATCCATAATCACTTAGCCAAATTTCCATCCCATTTTACTCAATTTTCTAGATAGCAGAGGTATATTTTTGGAGCGCAGAGATCTTTGTGCAATTTTCACTTCCCTTCCTCTTCCCCTTCCCGCACCTCCTCCCCCAGGAGCCCCAGGTGGGGATTGGGTTCGCGCCAACCTCGCTTCCGGAACAGGGTTCATGCTTAGGCAACCCAACTCCTCTCGGGCGCTGGCTGGGGAGGGGCCGAGACCTCCAGCAGAGGAGGAAGGGGCGCTGGAAGCTGCCAGGCCCTACGTGGGCCACCTCGGTGGGGTCCAGACAGCTCCGTGCAGGACACCATGCCGGCAAGAGGAGCTGGACCGCAGCCCTCCCCTGTTCGCGGCTGGGCGCCCCAAGCAGGTCGCAGCCCCACCTGGGTGGCCTCTCTGGCTGGACCGGGAGAGGAGCTTTGGTGCCTGGTGTCTTACACTGCATCTGAAGGAGGGTGACTCAGGTCCGCTTCACCTCCTGAACCTTGGTCTCCTCAGATGAAAAAAGAACGATATCTTAAAAACGCTGTAGGGTGGCTGTCAGAGCTAGAGGTAACCCGCAGGAAGTGCCTGGTGCGTATTAGGTGTTGATAACGATTTTGGAAATTGTCCCCTACTGCAGAGAGGCCACAATAACCAAACGCACCTCAGAGGTAATGACACCTCTGTATTCTTGGGAAACCCCTACAGGCAGGAGATCTCCATTCCAGGTGAGGCTGTTGACCCCTCGGGACCCCCAGACAGTTGACACTGTGGGTGCCTTCAGGATGTGCAGGTGTCTGGCCGTTGATCCAACAAATGCTCAGATCCCACACCGGCGTCTGTGCCAGACTCCACAGAGAGCAGGGGACATGGCTAGGGGCGAGGGTCTAAGTCAGGACGCCGGGCTCCTTGCAAATCTCCAATTTAATGCACCTGGTGACTTGTGAACAGGCTCTCCAAGGATTCAAATGTGTCCTTAAAGATCCCAAAACTGTGCAACACAGGGGACAATTAGGGAAGAGCTTGTGGTGTTTTTCAACACAGGGGAGGTGAAAGGCTGAAAACGCGCAGGGATGAAAGCACGTGGCTGGTTCTTCGGCGCAGCTCGGGGGACACCACATGGCCCGAGGCACACCCGCCACTCTCAGGCGTGGTGGCTCAGGGCTCCCGCCAGTGACACTCCCCCAACACCTGCAGTAAAGCCCTCTAAAGCAGCTGCTTTCACTCCTAGCTTTTCTGAACCTATATATTAGTTCTCTAATTTTTATTTGGCTTACAAAAGCAATTCATCATAAACAATAAAATTTTTAAAGTACAAAGAAGAAAACAAAAATCCTGACTAATTCTATAATCAGAGAGAACTCTCGCTATTTTGGGGCATATTTTCTAGTCTTTCTATCTTGATTGGTCAATTCAAAGGTAAATATACTTACATATAATAAAATTCATATATTTTGTATGTAACTTTACATATATAAAGTTTATATACTTTTAAGAGTCCCTCTTTACTGAAAGAGGTATGTAGCACACTTCCTGTATGAGGTCTGTTTATTTAGCCATTTTATATTGCCCCCATCACACTGCATATCACTATAGAGAAGGTCCCTGAGGTCGGATTTTTGACCTCACCACAATGCAAAGGGATGAGCAGGCAGTAGGAGCTGTCCTCTCACAATATTGGGCAGCCCCCAGGCAGCCATGCATTTTTTCTGTGGTGATGAGGTCTCACTGTGTTGTCCAGGCTGGTCTCAAACTCTTGGACTCAAGCCGTCCTCCCACTTCAGCCTCCCAAAGTGCTGAGATTACAGGCGTGAGCCACTGTGTCTGATTAGGCCACACGTTTTCAACTTAGGCACGTTTATTGGACGAAGCCCCATGGTAAGTCAAGAAGCAATTGTATTCTTCCACAGCTTTGGATTTACTAATTCCCTTTGATTTCTATATGGTGGTGCAGGTGTTTATTAAGCAAACCTCAGTTGCTGGACATGGGAAATTTCTGGCTTGACCCCTGAGGATCCTGAACATTCAGTCCATGTGGTCAAGGCCTTGGATGGGCACAGGAGCTGCACGGCTGGGAGGCAAGTGACCCTTGAGGACGCAGGGGCCGGTCCCTCCAGGCTGGGTCGCACATGGGCCACCCAGAACACGGGTCAAGTGACTCAAGGTACAGCTGAAGCATCTCTCCAGCGCCTCCTGCAAGGACAGTGCCACTCCTCAGGTCTCTGTGCACCAGTTAAGAAAGGCTTCTCCATAGCACTGCGTCCCCCAACTCAAACCTCCCCTACCAGGGCAAGGTTCCCTCTGAACCACGGGTTACAGCTGTGCCAGGGAACCCATACGTCTTGTGCCCAGGAGCCACCACCCTGGCAGGAGCACGGGAAGAGGCAGGGTGGCAGACATGCTGGGACAGGAAGTAGCACACGTGGGACCCAGACAATCCCAGCTGGTGCCTCCTGGAACTTCCTTGTCTCATTTTTGTGCAGCAAGCCTGGCCTGAAAGGGGTGAATTACCAAAGATTCAGACTCTCGCACCCTAAGAGTGAAAGTTCGGGTTACACCACGAGGTAAGCCACCAACACCAGTCAAAAGATTCCCCAAGGGTGAGGAGAATTTAACATGAACAGAGCAGGAGGGGAACACCAGTTCCAGCCCCATAAACAGTGGCCAGGGCTGCCAGCCATCCCACACACCCTCTTTAGAGCCTCGCCTCGGGAAGAGAGACCCACGGGAACATTAAAGAGCTGCTCCCCAGATGTGTCTGGAGAAATAGGTCTGTGTGGCCATGAAAATGGCTGAGACCTTCATCTGTGGGAATGAGATCTGAGGCCACAGCTGTTATGCCCAGGAACATGCAGAGGTCTCCCAGCCCCTATGCAGACAGAGGCCATGCTCTCCACGGGCTGCCCCCAGTTCATGCCCATCCTGGAAGACATGAGACTCCTCTGACAGACAACTTTAGCTCAAGGATCCCCACTGGCTTTGCCAAACATCCTCAGAACTGCACTGCAGTCTCAGATCCTTGTGCCAATCTTCCTCCTCCTCTCCCTTCTTCATGAGGATATGAGCTCAGTCATGGTCTGCTGGGTTACCCAACCCCCACTGAACCCCTCCCCATTTCCCCTGCAGGTGTGTTCCCTAATAAATCTAATTCCATCTTGCTACCTCCTTCTTGGGAGAGCCAGACTAGGTACACAGAAAATCCAATGAACAAAACAGATAAGCTCCTAGAATTAATAGATAATTGCAAAGATAATTTAGCAAGAATTTTGGATATAAAATCAATATATAAAAAATTAATTGGCCAGACATGGTGGATTACACCTGTAATCCAAGCACTTTGGGAGGCTGATATGGGCAGATCACTTGAGCTCAGGAGTTTGAGACCAGTCTGGGTAACATGGTGAAACCCCGTCTCTGCAAAAAATACAAAAAATTAGCTGGGCATGGTGACATGCCTATGGTCCCAGCTACTGGGAAGCTGAGGTGGGAGGACTGCCTGAGCCTGGGAGGCAGAGGTTGCAGTGAGCCAAGATCATATCACAGCACTCCAGCTTGGGTGACAGAGTGAGACACCATCTCAAAAAAAATACAGGATAAAATGTAATTGCATTTCTGTGCATCAGCAACAAGTAGAAAATTATACCTTAAAGATACCATTTATAATGGTGTTAAGAAAATAAAGTCCCTAAGAATAAATTTAACAAAAATTGTGCAAACCCATCATGTAGAAATTTATAGAATCTTGAGAGACATTAAGAAAGACCTAGGCAAACATGGAGAGATATACTATGTTCATAGATCAGTAGAATAAGTATTATAATGTCATCTTTCTCCAATTCAATTTATATTAGTCTATTCTTGCACTGCTATAAAGAAATACCTGAGACTGGGTAATTTACAAAGAAAAGAGGTTTAATTGGCTCATGGTTCCTTAGGCTGTACAGGAAGCATGGCAGCATCTGCTTCTGGGGAGGCCTCAGGGAGCTGTTACTCATTGTGGAAGGCAAAGCAGGAGCAGGCGTCTCACATGGCAGGCGCAGGACCAAGAGATGGGGGAGGTGCACACACTTTTAAACAACCAGATCTTGTGAGAACTCACTCACTACCAGGAGAATAGTACCAAGGGGATGGTGCTAATCCACTCATGAAGGATCCACCCCCATGATCCAATCATCTCCCACCAGGCCTCACCTCCAACACTGACCGTTACAACTGAACATAAGATTTGAGTGAGGACACAGATCCAAACCATATCAGATGCCTTACAATCCTAACCAAAATACCAATTTTGTTGGTGGGGCGGGGGGGCAGGTAGAACTAGATTCTAGCATTTATATGAAAGAGAAAAAGTCAGATATAGCCATTCTTGAAGAATAAGAACCATAGAAATTAAGACAGTCTTGTAGTGGTGTGGTGGCGTGGGGCAAGACAATTTGATCAATGGGAAAAAACACACATATACAGATTCATGCTTTATGACAGAAACAGTACTTTAGATATAGCTTTTCAATTACTGGTGCTTGGAAACTGGATACACTTATGAAAAATGAATGAAAATGGGTTCCTGCCTCATTCCATATGTTAAAATTAATCCCATGTAGATTAAAAACAAAATTTAAAGATAAAACTATAGGTTGAGCATTTCAAATTGGAAAATCCAAAATCTGAAACTTTTTGAGCACCAACATGATGCTCAAATGCACTGTACATTGAAGCATTTCAGATTTCAGATTTTTGAATTAGGGATGCTGAACAGGTAAATATAATGCTAATATTCCAAAATCTGAAAAAAAAATCCAAAATCTGAAACATTTCTGGCCCCAAGCATATTGGATAACGATACCCAACCTGTACTAACGTTTTAGAATAAAATATAGAAGGCTATCTTCCATGATTTCAGTGATGGGAAGTATATATGTAGGGCATCAAACTACCTGACTTGAAGCTGTACTACGAGGTTACAGTAACCAAAACAGCAGGGTACTGGGTTGAAAGCTAAAACAAAAACATAGACCAATAGAACAGGATAGAGAACCCAGAAATAAGGCTGCACATCTACAGCCATGTGATCTTTGACAAGGTCAACCATAACATGCAATGGATTCCCTATTCAATAAATGGTGCTGGGATAACTGGATAGCCATATGCAGAAGATTGAAGCCAGACCCCTTCCTTTCACCATATACAAAAATCAAATCAAGGTTAATTGAAGACTTACATGTAAGACTTAAAACTATAAAAACTCTAGAAGAAAATCTAGGAAATAACATTGTGGACATGGGCCACGGCAAAGAATTTATAGTTAAGCTCCCAAAAGCAATTGCAACAAACATAAAAGTTGACAAATGGGACCTAATTAAACTAAGTTTCTGCACAGCAAAAGAAACTATCAACAGAGTAAACAGAAAATCTACAAAATGGGTTAAAATATCAGCAGACTATGCATCTGACAAAGTTCTAACATCCAGAATCTATACGGAACTTAAACAACTCAACAAGTTAAAAACAAACAACTACATTAAAAAATGGGCAAAGGACATGAAAAGACACTTCTCAAAAGAAGACATACATGCAGCCAATAAACATACAACTATATGTTCACCATTAATCATCAGAGAAATGCAAATCAAAAACACAATGAGATAATATCTCACACCAGTAATTACAGCTATTATTAAAAAGTCAAAAAACAACAGATGTTGGTGAGGGTTCAGAGAAAAGGGAACACTGATACATTGTTGATGGGAATGTAAATTAGTTCAGCCACTGTGGAAAGCAGTTTGGAGATTTCTCAAAGAACTTAAAACACAACTACCATTCAACCCAGTGATCTCACTACTGGGTATATGCCCAAAGGAAAATAAATCGTCCCACCAAAAAAGCAAAACAAACAAAAACACACGCACTCATGTGTTTACTGCAGCACGATCATAATAGCAAAGACACAGAATCAACCTGGATGCCCATCGACAGTGGACTGGATACAGAAAATATGGTATGTGTAGACAATGGAATATTACGCAGCCAAAAAAAGAATAAAATCATGTCCTTTACAGCAACATGGATGTAGCTGAAGACCATTATCCTAAGCAAATTAACAAAAGAAACTGAAAACCAAATACCGTCTGTTCTCACTTATAAGCAGGAGCTTATAACACACAGGGACACAAAGACGGGAATAATAGACACGGGGGGCTACTTGAGGTGGGAGGGTAGGAGGTGGGGGTGGGCTGATAAACTACCTATTGGCTACTATGCTCACTTACCACCTGGGTGATGGGATCATTTGTATCTAAAACTTCTGCAGCACACAATCTACCCATGTAACAAACCTGAACATGCACCCCCTGAACTAAAATAAAAGTCAAAAATAAACTAAAAAGCAAAAATACACGTTTGCTAACCATAACATTTTTAAAAAAACATAAATATAGATAGATCTATATTGAAACTTAAAATGTCTGTTCAAGAAAGGACAACACAAAGAAAGTTAAAATCTTGCTAGAAATTGAAAGATATGTGGAATATATGTAACCAACAAAAGACCGGTATATAAAATACATAAGTAACCCCTACAAATCAATAACAACCCTCCAAAAAGTGGAAAACACTTGAACCAGAAATTCAAAAATAAAAAGTTCAAGTGGCCAGTGAATATATAAAAACATGTCCAACCGCATTAGTATTTAATAAGTAAAAATTAAAGCCACAATGAGATACCATCATGCAGTAGCCAGATTAGCAAAACTTTTAAAGCCTGGCAATGCCGAATGTTCCAGGATGCTGCGCACTGGTAACTTTCAGGAACTGGTGGTAGGAATGTAACTTGGCACTTTGTAAAATAGCTTGGCACTGTGCAGTAAAGTTGACGATATCCTATGACCTAGCAATTCTACCCATGGGTATTTACCCTAGAAAAACTCTTGCGTATATGCCCAAGAAATGTTCACACTGCAACACTTGTAACAGGCAAACATTGCCAATAATCCAAATATCCATTAACAGTAGAATGGCTGAAGAAGTTATGGTATGATAAAAAAAAAAACAGAATAGTACATATCAATGAGTGAATGTCAGTTATAGCTGACATGATATCAATGTGATACCTTCAAATTATAGGTATCAGTATGACCTCACTTATAAAATATGAAGGATGGCACTAACATAAAATTCAAGTGTAGGCAAAATGAATCCATTATTGTGAGGAGTATACGCACAGGTGGTAAAATTATAAGGAAAAGCAAGAGAGTGATTGCCACAAAAGATAAGATGATTAACCTGCACAGAGAGCAGGAAATATCATCAGAAAGAGCCAAGAGGCTTTCAGGTTACTAGAAATGTCCTGTATTTTAAACTAGGAGGTTGTAACGTGGCTGCTGGCTTTATGATTAAACTTTAAACTATATATGTGTGTGGAGAAATTATATAAAGTCCATATAATCAAAAGCTGCTTCTTTTAAAAAACCAATAAATCTGAAAAACCAGCACTCCAATAAAATAACTCTTGTCAAAATTATCTTTCCAAACACAATGACCAATTTTCTATCATCATCTAATTCTGTCTTTCCACAGTATTCAAAAGAGCTGACGACGTGTTCCTTGCAACTCCGTTCTCTTGGCTCCTGAGACTCTCCAACTCTCCTGCAACTCTCCAAGTCTCCTGCTCAACCTCTAAAAATTCAGGGTTAGTCCTGAACTCTCTTGTCTGTACTTTCTTTCAAGGAAATCTCATACCATCAAGTACTATTTCTATGCTGACGATTCCCACACACGGAGCTCTAGCCCTGGCCTCTCCTCTGCTTAGTTAGTGTCTCTTAGGACATTCTGTGCTGTAAACTCCAGCCACCTCAGCTTCCCAGGACAACCGGCTCCATCTCACCTCAGAGAAATTGCCGCGCCTGCCCGGGCCCTGCTCCCTGTTGTGCAGACTGTCAGCTTCATCCAGATGGTAAGTCAGGGCAACTGCAGGACTCACCTTGGTTTCTCCAGTCTCTTAGGTCTCTGTCCTCCGCTGTCAGGTGTATATGAGACTCACTGTTATATTTTGTCTTGTTTCTTCGGGACTTTTGTTTGTACCAGGCAGGAGGGTAAATCTGGTCACTATTATTCCATTTGAGCCAGAAGTCAAAGTCTTCCTTCTCTACTAATTTTAAAAGTGCAAATTAACAACGGTACATCATAGATATAATATTTGTTGAATTAACTACCTAATTTTAAAATGAGAACTAAGAAGGGTCTTGTCTCAGCAGTTAAGAAAAACAAATACAAGATAGTAGATTTAAACCCAACCAAGTGAATAATCACACTAAATGTAAAGTCTACAAACTCCAATTAAAAGGTAGAGATTGCCAGATTAGATAAAACACACACACACACACACACACACACACCCCAACTGTATGCTGTCTACAAGATGCCCATTTTAAATATAAAATCATAAATAAGACTAAAAGTAAAAGAATGAAAAACCTATGTATCATGCTAATATAAATCAAAAGAAAGCTGGAGTGGCTATAACAAAGTATATTTTAAAGCAAAGCATATTACCAGGAATAGAAAGCCTCTTTATAATGACAAACAGGACAGTTCATCAAGGGAACATAACAATTCTAAATACCTAAGAGCCTAATAATAACAGAGATTCAAAATGCATGAAGTAAAAATGAGAGAAGTGCAAAGAGAAATAGGCAAATTCCTAATTATAGTCAGAGATTTCAACAACACTCTCCCAATAATTGACAGTAAAAGTAGACACAAGTCAGTAAGGGTGCAGAAGACCTCAATGGTTAATATGATTAATATCAACCAACTTACACTGATTGACTTCACAGGACACTCCACCACCAAACAGCAGAATAAGATTCTTTTATTCTGCGCTCACAGAACATTTACCAAGACAAACCTTCCTCAGGGTCATAAAACAAATCTCAATAAATGTGAACTCTGACCACCATGAGATTACATCATAAGTCAGTAACAGAAAGATATCTGGAAAATCCATAAATATTTGAAAGCCAAATAACAAACTTTTAAACAACCCACAGGTCAAAGAACAAAACAGAAGAGAAATTAGCAAGTATTCTGAAATGAATACAAATGAAAGCACAGCATATTAAAATTTGTGAGCCAGACGCGGTGGCTCATACCTGTAATCCTAACACTTTGGGAGGCCAAGGCAGGTGGATCACCTGAGGTCAGGAGTTTGACACCAGCCTGGCCAACAGGGCAAAACCCCATCTCTACTAAAAATCCAAAAATTAGTCAGGCATGGTGGCAGGTGCCTGTTATCCCAGCTATTCAAGAGGCTAAGGCAGGAGACTTGCTTGAACCCGGGAAGTGGAGATTGCAGTGAGCCGAGATCACGCCACATCACTCCAGCCTGGGTGAAAGAATGAGACTGCGTCTCAAAAAAAACTAACTGTGGAATGCAGCAGAAAGATTTCAGTCACCTTACCCTCCATCTCAAGAAAAACAGAAAAACTCGGAGTTATAAGAAAGGAAATAATAAAGATGAGAGCAGAAATCCATGAGATATAAAGCAGAAAACAATACAGAAAAATCAATGACAACAAGAGCCACTGCTTTGAGATGAGGAAAAGTGATTAATCTGTATCCAGGCCAATCAAGGAGAAAAGTCACAATTTACTAATACCAGAAATGAGGTTACAGTAATGCCATTACAGTTTCTATAGATATTAAATGAATAAGAAAATACCACAAACAACACTCTGCCCATTGATTTGACAACTTAGATGAAATGGACCAATTCCCTGAAAGATACAGCTACCATAATTCACGAACAATTCAGAACCATTTGAGCAACAAAATAAAGGATTGGACTATAACGCAAAATAGACAATAAATCTCCATACGTCCACAATGAGATAACAAATGCTTGAATCAATACACGGGGGAAAGACACCGTCTCCCATGTAGAATTTCAAATAATGTATGTAGATATTCTACTCTCAAGAAGCTCCTGGCCCTTCAAGTTGGGGCTGCGCAATGGTCCCCTCCTAAAGAGAACAATAGGAAAAGGAGGAGAAAAGCAGCGAGTCTGCAGTGGAGAAAACACGACCTCAGCCAGGCAGGGGTCAAGGTCAACACCAACAGTGAAGTCATGCTTTACAACATGTGATGAGAATGGCACTTTGCCCTGGTCTTTCTCCCAAAAACCTATACTCTCCAGTCTAATCATGAGAAAAATATCAGACAAAACCCAACTGAAGGATATTCTATAGAATATCCTCAAAATTGTTGGTGTCATCAAAAACAAAAATCTGAGAAATGTCAAAACTTAAAGGGGCCTAAGGAGATAAAACAACCAAATGTAATGTGGTGTCCTGGATGGAATCTGGGAAGGGAGAAAGGTCATGTTGAAAAAGCACCATCTGGCCGGGTGCGGTGGCTCACGCCTGGAGTCCCAACAGTTTAGGTGGCCGAGGCGGGCAGATCACCTCAGGTCAGGAGTTTGAGACCAGCCTGGCCAACATGGTGAAACCCTGTCTACTAAAAATACAAAAATTAGCTACGCATGGTGGTGCACGCCTGTAATCCCAGCTACTCGGGAAGCTGAGGCAGAAGAATTGCTTGAACCTGGGAGGCGGAGGTTGCAGTGAGCTGAGATCGTGCCACTGCATTCCAGCCTGGGTGACAGAGCAAAGCGAAAGAAAGGAAGAAAGGAAGGGAGGGCGGAGGAAGGAAGGGAGGGAGGGAGGGAGGGAGGGAGGGAGGGAGGGAGGGAGGGGAAAGCACAATCTGACAGAAATATAACATGAGCAACCTATGTAGCTTAAATTTTCTAGCAGCTATGTTAAAAAAGTAAAAACAGGTAAAACTAATCTTAATAATTATTTTATTTTACCAAATATATACAAATAGTATCACTTCAACATGAAATCAGTATAAAAAATATTGAAACAGTTTACATTTTTTCCATATTAAATATGTGAAATTTAGGGTGCATTTTACACTTACCCCATATCCCAGCTGAGACTAGCCACATTTCAAGTGCCTGGCAGCCACCTGTTATGAACAGGGCAGAGCTAAATAAATAGCCTTGATCTAAAGCCGGCAATTGAAATTACGATCATCACAGTGAGGACTCTGCATTAACTGTAGGATAATACATAGACATTGCTTCCTCTGAAGAGTTCCATTTCATGGTTAAATGACAGCAAAGGCTGGGCGCAGTGGCTCACGCCTGTAATCCTAGCAATTTGGGAGGTCAAGGCGGGTGGATCACCTGAGGTCAGGAGTTCGAGACCAGCCTGGCCAACATAGTGAAACCCGGTCTCTACTAAAAATACAAAAATTAGACAGACATGGTGATGGGAGCCTGTAGTCCCAGCTACTCAGGAGGCTAAGGCACAAGAATCTCTTGAACCCAGGAGGCAGAGGTTGCAATGAGCTGAGATCTGGCCACTGCACTCCAGCCTAGAAGACAGAGTGGGACTCCATCAAAAAAAAAAAAAAAAAAAAAAAATGACAGCAAAAAAGCGGCAGCAGCTTCCCTGTGCATGTTGGCGTTTGTCTATATTTTAATCCTATAAACTTTACCCCAGGAGACTCTGTCCACACCATGGACTTAGATGAAAATCCCTATACTGATGAGCATAGAACCTAGTAAATGCTCAGTTAAAAAAAAAAGATGAGCCATAGACTGGAAGGAAACATTTGCAAGTCACCTATCTAATAAAACACTTTTATCCAGACATATTTTTAAAACTCTCAAAACTCAGTAACAATAAAAATGGGCAAAACATTTTGACAGGTAAGGTTTCATAGCAAATAAGCACATGAAATGATGCTCAATAATCTCAGACATTAGGAACACTGACGCCATTTACAAATCAGATCGATTAAAGCCACAGTGAAATGCCACTACACACCTATAAGAAGGCCTAAAATTAAGAGTGCTGACCACGCTAAGAATGGACAAGGACTGGAGACCCTGGAATCTCACACACTTATGCTGAGAATTCAAATGGTTTGACCATTTTGGCAGTCTCTTAAAAAATTAAATGTAAACCTATCACATGATCTAGCCATTCCTCTCCTAAGAATTTACTCAAGAAAAATGAAAGCATTTATCCATATAGCTTGTGCACAAATGTTCACAGCAGCTTTGTTTATAATGTACTAGTAAACACTGGGAACAACCCAAAGAGGCCCACACAGGAGAACGGATGAGCCCACTGTGATGCAGCCACAGCAGGGGCTACTCGGAAAGAAAGCAGAGCTAACTTCTGATGCAGGAACAACATGAAATGCACCTGTACATAATTAGCTTTACTGAAAACACCCGACACAGACAAACCAAATGTAACAGAATTCTACAAAATGCGAGCCATCTATGACAGAAAGCAGGGCGGTGGCTGCCTGGAGATGGGACCATGACGCGAGGGGTGGGGAAGGGGCTACGCAAGAACACTTCCTCCAGGGCTGTAGTGTTGGACTCCTGCTGCCCACGCCCATCAACACACATCAGATTACAGTCTTGAATTGTGTTAATAGTAACATAATAATATATTCTGTGTCACAACAACCTAACCAGTGAGGCTACAACTGAGCATATTTCTTTGTGTTTTATATGTTTTAGTGTGTTTTGTATTTCTTTCCTAAATTCCTCATTGATGTGCTTGGAATTATTAGTAGACGTTATATTCATTTACAAGGGCCTGCTATAATTAAGAATGTAGATTTTGTGGTCAATGTTGTAATTAGATTTTCTAAGTCTGTCATGTGTCTTGACTATTGTAATGTTGACTTTCACTGGGAAACAGTTTTTCATTTTATGTAGTTAAATCTTTCATCATCTTCCTTTATAGTTTTCATCCTTGGTGTCATGTTAAAAGCCAGAAACCCTGGGACTATAAAAATATTGCATTTTTTTCTAGTAATTATGCTTTTAATCATTCATATTTACCCCATCTGAATTTAATCTATCTGAATTTTTCTTCTGAGTTAAAGTCCTTAATTTAAATTTTCTCCAACTGGTTTGTGCCTGAAACAATTTACCCCAAAGCATTTGTTCAATAATCAGACACTTGACATATTTCTGTAGTGAACCTACTAATGACCTGCAAACACTGGCAATTCGTCATTTTATTCCGCTCCATGGATGTTTCTTTCTGTTCCTATACCACACTGCTTTATACACTGTAGCTTTATAATATATTTTGATACATGTTTGGCAAATTTCCCTTTTTCTTTTTCTAAAAGAAAAAAAATTAAAGGAAAAAAACCAAACTTCCTGGAAATTTTGAAATGTTAACTATATCCAGAATTAAGAAAATTAACAGAAATTACATACTAGTTAGGTATTAATAACATTGAAAATAAACCATATATGTAAAAACCTGTGACAGTAACTAAAGTTATATGCAGAGGATAACTCACAGTTGGAAATGCTTATTAAACAATGACACAATAAATTCTATACACATTCAATTCATGAAACATTAAACCAAATTTAGATATTAAATATAAAATAGTAATTTATGGCCAGGCACAGTGGCTCACACCTGTAAACCCAGGACTTTGGGAGGCCCAGGCAAGCGGATCACCTGAGGTCAGGAGTTCGAAACCAGCCTGGCCAGTATGGTGAAACCCCATCTCTACTAAAAATGCAAAAATTAGCCAGGCGTGGTGACACGCACCTGTAGTCCCAGCTACTTGAGGAGGCTGAGGCAGAAGAAACGCTTGAACCTGGGAGGCAGAGATTGCAGTGAGCCGAGATCACGCCACTGCACTCCAGTCTGCGCAACAAGAGCAAAACTCCGTCTCAGGGGGAAAAAAAAAAAGTAATTTATAAATAAAGCAAAAGAAAAAAAGTGTATCTATAGTAAAATAAGTAACACCCACCCCCCCAAAAAAGATAATTCTTGAAAGACATAAACTATAAACAAAATTTGGTAAATGTGACCAGCAAGGAAAAAGAGAGCCATGAATAGAAAATATTAAGAAAGGACTATAACTCAACAATGAATATTTGAAAAATTATCAAGGAATCTGTGTAAAAATGAATGCCAACGAATTTGAAAACCTAAATGAAAATGCATACATTGCCTCAGAATTAGGATATCTGAATGGTGTGGTAACCATAGTAGAAAGTGGAGACATTCTTTATAATCTGCCCACCAAAGATGCCGAGCAATTCATATGCTGCTAAAACTACAAGTCATTAGTACAAATACTTGTCCAAGACGGTGATTTTTCTGACAGTTGGCAAAATTTTAAGAACCACATCATGAGCTCATCTGACCCGCCATTCTTCCTTTCTTTCCACCAAGTCATATTCCAATAGACCCTTGCACAGTCCAGTCCAGGTTCACCAAATACAGAAAGAACCTGGCCCCATCTACCATTTACACACTGAATTGCATTCTTTTGATCATTATTTCCATACCAAAGAATATGGCAGGCCTCAGAGGTATCATGGGTCTGGTTGCAGACCACAAGAAAGTGAGTATCACAATAAAATGAGTCACACACATTTTTTGGTTTCCAAGTGAGTGCATCCAAAAATTATGTTTACACTATAGTCTATTAAGTGTGCAACAGACAATGTCTAAAAAACCAATGTGCATACTTAAACAATACTTTATTGCTGAAGTATGCTAATGGCCATCTGAGCCTTCAGCAAGTTGTCATCTTTTTGCTGGTGGAAGGTCTTGCCTAGATGTGGATGCCTCCTGGCTGATCAGGGTGGTGGTTGCTGAAGGTTAGAGTGGCGGTGGCAGTTTTTTAAAAAAGACAGCAATGAAGTTTGCCACATCAATCCACTCTTCCTTTTGCAAAAGATTTCTCTGTAGCATGTGATACTGTTGGATAGCATTTTACCCACACAGAACTTCTTTCAACATTGGAGACAATCCTCTCAAACCCTGCCACTGCTTTATCAACTGCGTTTATGGAATATTCTAAATCTTTTGTTGTCATTTCAGCAATCTCCACAGCATCTTCACCACGAGTGGATTCCATCTCAAGAAACCACTTTCTTTGCTCATCCATAAGCAAAGATGATGGATAGATGTATGTTGCAACTAGATGGCTAGATGAATGAGCAACTCCTCATCCATTTAAGTTGGATCCTAAGATTGCAGTAGTTCAGTCACATCTTCAGGCTCCGCTTCTAATTCTACGTCTCTTACTAGCCCCACAACATCTGCAGTTCCTTCCTCCCTGATGTCTTGACCCCTCAAAGTCATCCATGATGACTGGAATCATCGTCTTCCAAATTCCTGTTTTGCTGACATTTTTACCTCCTCCCACGAATCGTGTTCATAATGGCATCTAGAATGGTGAATCCTTTCCAGAAGGTTTTCAGTTTACTTTTCCAAGATCCATCAGAGGAAGCACTATTTATGGCAGCTATAGCCTTACAAACCGTATTTCCTAAATCATAAGACTTGAAAGTTGAAATTACTCCTGATCCTGTGGAACGGATGTTGTCTTAGCACGCATGAAAACAACATGTATCTCCTTGTACAACTCCGTCAGAGTTCGTGGGCAACCAGGTACACTATCAATGAGCAGTAATATTTTGAAAATAACCTTTTTTTCTGAGCAATCGATCTCGAGGGGGATTTAAAATATTCAGTAAACCAGGCTGTAAATAGATGTGTTGTCATCCAGGCTTTGTTGTTTCATTTATGGAGCACAGGCAGAGTAGATTTAGCATCCCTCTTCAGTGCCCTAGGATTTTCAGAATGGCCAGTGAGCATTGGCTTTAACTTAACATCACCAGCTGCATTAACTAGCCCCTAGCAAGACAATCAACCCCTCCTTTGAAGCTAGGCACTGACTTCTAACTATGAAAGTCCTAGATAGCATCTTCTTCCCATAGAAAGCCCTTTCATCTACAGTGAAAATGTGTTAGTGTGGCCACCTTCATGAATGATCTGTTATCTCAGCTAGATCTTCTGGATGACTTGCTGCAGCTTCTCCATCAGCACTTGCTGCTTCACCTTGCACTTGTGTTACGGAGATGGCTTCTTTCCTTCAACCTCATGAATCAACCTCTGCTAGCTTCCAACTTTTCTTCTGCAACCTCCTCACCTCTCTCAGCCTTCACAGAATTGAAGTTAGGGCCTTGCTCTGGATTAGGCTTTAGCTTAAGTGAATGTTGTGCTGGTTTGATCTTCTAACCAGACCACTACAACTTTCTCCGTATCAGCAATAAGGTTGTTTTGCTTTCCTATCTTTCTGTGTTCACTGGAGTAGCACTTTTAATTTCCTTCAAGAACTTCTCCTTTGCATTCACATGACCAGCTGTTTGGCGGAAGAGGCCTTTCGACCTGTCAGCTTTCAACATGCCTTCCTCGCTGAGCTTAGTCATTTCTAGCATTTGATTTAGAGTGGGAGACGTGTGACTCTACCTTTCACTTGAACACTTAGAAGCCACCGTAGGGTTAACTGGCCTTATTTCTATATTGCTGTGTCTGGGAATAGGGAGGGCTGAGAAGAGGGAGAGAGGCTGGGGAATGGTCACACAGTGGGGCGCTCAGAACACATGCATCATTTATGGATGAAGGCTGCCCCTTATATATGCCTCAGCTGCACCACACATCTCTTCCACATATGCCTCATAACACGATTCAAGCATGCCTGTGGCTATTTGATAAAAGTACTCTTTTCCTTCAACAAAGCTGTGTCCTTCTGTCCTACATTTTAATGTCTGGAGGCACATTTTTCCAGAGGGACTTGAGAATCATGATGCCATGAACACTGCAGTCGACAACCAGGCAAGAAAGGCAAGAATATTCCCCTCTCCAGTCGAACCTGCCCATGCAACAGGATATGAGGGCGGCCAGCCCTTCTAACAAAGGATATCTGTGCCCTCGGCCGCAGTCACCAAACTTCCTGGTGGGTAAGAGGTGTCCTCGCAGACGGAGCCAGGTGGCCTGCTTGAGCTGCCCAGGACCCTATAGATACAGCATCACTAATATTTACCACAAGCGTGACAGGTAAGAGTGGTTAGCATTTTCTGGATAAAGACGTGACCCTCCCAGAGCTTGGTGCGGTCGCCCACACTGTGGGTTTTCCTTTCCGCACAACCCCAGTGTGGAGCCCCCAAGTCATCTATGCTTGGCTGATGCTGGGTTTTGGGGTCCTGGCTCCCTAAGGGGCCTGACTGTGCATCCACAATGATGGAGAGTGGGTCTCACGCAGCTCCTCAGAGGCCTCACCCCATCCCAGCTCCCACCCTCCAGACCCGCAGGCACCCCCCAGGGCCGCACCTCCCGGAAGCCCTCCATAGCCCACAAATCTGACCTAAGTCCTGGTGACTCCTACACTCCAATGGAATCGTAATCCCTAAAATCGAGGTGGGCCTTTGCTAGGGTGGTTTCTACTGAGGATTAATCCCTGGAACAACTCTCTGAATAAAATAAAATAAAAGCTGGCTGCATGGTCAATTACCTTGGTAAACCTCTCGTGGAGATAAACAATATGCAATAATTTCTAAAAAACCTTGCAGTAGAAAAACCTGTTTCAAATTTCTGATTTTATGAACTTCAAAACTAAAATTACATTGAATTTCTGGCCTTTGCCATGAATTCATTTCTGCATGGCCAGGATTCCTGACAGCCCCTTTAGTTTTAAAGGTAATCCACACCTAAAGGAGTCAGAGGTGGATTCAGATAACTAAAGCACCGCTCCTGAGACCTGAGCGGTGACATTGCCTTTGCTTCTATACCAAAAGTCACACAAAGTCTACTTTCCTGGTTTCACTGATTAAATAATTCATATGCTGTACTATATTAAATCAAATTCTACCAACCCTCAACCCCCAAATCCAGCAAGTAAACTGTCCCTTCATAAACTACTCAAGAAATAACGAATGCATCTGAAAGATAATTGCTTTTAATTTTCTAAATTTTCACTTATGCAACATAAAGGCAGATTTATGTGACCTGATAATGACATTTTTACAAAAAACAATCCCCCCCACCCCAACATCTTGGTCAGTAGTATATAAATATTTACAATGAAAAAATAGGCAAGGAAAAAGGAAATCTTCATTATCCATGTCGATTTCTTTCCAATGCTTATCAGGAACTTTGAAAATAAAATACTCCATTAACTTTCTCGTCACTCCTATTTACACGCTGCTTTAGCTGATGCATTCGCGGTATTTGGGTTGCACTGTATAAGAGTATTTTTGTTCTCTATCACTCCTACTTTTTTCTATACTATTTTAAAAATCTGAAATAGTAAATTAAATATAAAAATGTAAACTCTGAAAGGAGAGAAAATAAGAATAAATATGTGTAAAGGTAATGCATTAAGATACAAAGGATCTCACAGAGGTTAATATTTTACAACACTAAAAAAAAATAAAATGCTCTATATATTTTCTTAGTTGGGACATTTTGTTTCAATTTAATTTTTGGTTATGTTAACAAAAATTACCTCTAAAGAGGATGTTAAAAAAATAGCAATGACGTTACCATCTTAACTAATGAATATCCTATCACCCTAATTTTTTCTAAAAGAAATGGATTTTTTAAAGTGACAAATATAAATTATAACATAGAAAGCTTAAGAAGCCTCAGCAAATTATGGTATCTTTTAGCGATGAAGACTTTTAGAGACAAATGTGAACAGTGCAGCCAGCCTACTTGACTTAGGGATTTACAAATGCATTCGACTCCGACATGTGAAACACGACGTGGCTTCTCCCACACGCCGCTCCGCTGAAACATGGCGCACTCGTGGGCGGAAGGGCAGGACACCTGCAGCATGCAGTTCCTGCAGGACGTCAATGGGAATTTCGTGTCTAGCAGTGCAACGAACATCACCCGCAGCTCCCTGGGAGGACCGCGAGCTTCACGTGTGGGAGCTGCGCCGCCCCCTGGTACCCAGAGACACACGGAGCCTGGGCTCCCTGGCTTTGTAATGCTCGTTGAAGTCCAGCCTGAAGCTAAGAAACCGAAGACTCTCGTCAGAGCTGGTCGTCAGTAACACCAAAAACTGCTGCACGATACCCTAAAAAGAAGCAAAAGGAGTAAAATATTGTTTCAGAAAAGAACAACCCACAAACGTATTCCCCGGACCTTAATCTCCTTTGGGTTGGGTCTGTTTTTCCTTCCAGATCAACAGGCCCTTAGTAAATGCCCACCAGGGCAGGTGTCCAGGGAGCAAGAGCTGCTGGGACCCTGGAGTGCACACGGCCAGTGCACCTGCATTAGGAATGGGCGCCCTTTTACAAGGACAAATTAGTGAAGAATACATTTGATTTGAAAACAACTAACCAACAGGTTTTTTCACTTTGTTCTTAAGTTCCACAAGAATAAGCAAAACAGCAAAGTAACAGATGTTAGAACATTCTATTTTGAATACAAAACTCAGTGCCACATATTTCATCTTTCATATGACTCATGAAAGAGGATTTCATCCTAGAGCCCTTGCTGGAGAACAAATTGAGAGCATCAGTCGGGTCTTTGGGTCTAGCTGCTGGACGTGAGGCTGCAGCCGCCCTCTTCATGGGCACTGGCATCGCCATCATCCTGTTACTGAGGGCGTTTTTAAAGATGTGACAGAAGTTTCCCCTAACTCTGATAAGACGAAAGGACTGGCTGCTTCTATTTCAGGCTGAAAGACTTGCATACTGAGTACAGGCCCATCCCCGCCCAGTGCTGGAGCCTGCTGCATGCCACGGGGTGCTGATCTGTTCACAGAACTGCTGGCCTGGAAAGGCCTCATCTGCAGAGAAAACTCACTGAGGCACTGCGTCCTCACCAAGCCCCGCCCAAGTCTTCACCAGCTGTCACTGCCCCTTCCCAGCTTCTGGTCAGAAACACGAATGCTGAAGCTCACAGGCAGGCCTGGGCACAGGCTCTGCTGTGTTGATAAAGTAACTTCACCTCTGAGCAGGCAAACACTGTGTATGTGTGTGTGTGTGTGTGTGTGTGTGTGTCTGTGTGTGTGTGTGTGTGTATCACTGCCTTTTTAGGTGAGGGAAGAAGAACACGCCTAAGAAGTTATATTGCCAAAATATAGACAGTGACTTCCTATTATGTGATGATGTGATGAAACTGAAATACAACGGTCTGTGGAACTACTAAAAGGAAATCTAAGAATATTTCTTCCACAGGTTGAGACTGGATGTTCTTTCACAGTCAATGGCGATAACAGCCTGCCGTCGCTGGCACCGCCACAGAGAGCAGAGACGGATTTCTGCTGTTACAGAAAAGAATCTTCTTTGTAAATCATTACCATTCAGATTTAAGACTGTAATTTGAGTAAAATTGGGATTACAGTGATTACTTTTTAAAAATGTATTAACTCCCTCAGGGAAATGTGTAACCATAAACAAGAACATCGTTGTCTCAGAAATAAGCACACAGACAAATCTTTAAAATTACACATTGCTCCTTTGTAGCTATACAAAGGATTTGTAAGTCTGATTTTAGTGAATCATATGGATCTAACCATTAGGTGTCCATTTTTAAGAAACAGGAATACATACTGTACAAATAACATGAGTTCAAGAAGGCATCGTGTCAAAACACCATCCAACAGGGATGCCTGTTCACGGAACATGACTGGCCAGTCACTACCCCCTTTTATGAAACTTCAACAAAAATGCAAAAGTAGGCCAAGGTCAGACTAAGACCACTTGTAAAAGGGACAACGTTCCTCCTTAGTTATCGTGAAGAAAAATAAATATTTAAAAAGTATGAGGGCCGGGCATGGTGGCTCATGCCTGTAATCCCAGCACTTTGGGAAGCTGAGGCGGGTGGATCACTTGAGGTCAGGAGTTCAAGACCAGCCTGGCCAACATGGTGAAACCCTGTCTCTACTAAAAATACAACAATTAGCCGGGTGTGGTGGCGCGTGCCTGTAATCCCAGCTACTCGGGAGGCTGAGGCAGTAGCATCGTTTGAACCCAGGAGACGGGGATTGCAGTGAGCCAAGATCACACCACTGCACTGCAGCCTGGGTGACAGAGCAAGACTTGGTCTCAAAAAAAAAAAAAAAAAAAAAGTTTGAGGACCTGGGAAGCAAACTAGATGCCCACAGAAAGAGCGAGTGCGGTCTCACTTTCAATTTTGAACCACATGAAGGCACCAGCACACAAACCCACGATGTTGGAGGGCTGGAGGCTTGATGCTCCATGATTAGTGATCAGCGACTGAACAGAAATATTTTTCATGAAATCTTTTCATCTCTACTATCACTAAGATCACATTGAGAAATGGAGGAAATGAGAAACTGGACCCATACATGGAGGCAAAAGCAGAGGGACAGACATGCAGAGCAGCCGTCCCCAGCCTTCCGGGGTCTACACCATGTCTGCTGGCTGCCGGCCCCTCACCCAGGCTGGGCAGCTGTCTCAGGGACAGTCCCCATCGGGAGTCACTGAAAAACCCAAATGAAGGCTACAGAGACGCCTGCAGGTCCCCACAATCCCACCACGGGGGAGCGCAGGGGCCACCCCCAGGTCCCCACACCCACCACAGGGGAGCACAGGGGTCACCCCCAGGTCCCCACATCCCACCACAGGGGAGCACAGGGGTCACCCCCAGGTCCCCACACCCACCACAGGGGAGCACAGGAGCCACCCCCAGGTCTCCACACCCACCACAGGGGAGCACAGGGGTCACCCCCAGGTCCCCACACCCACCACAGGGGAGCAAAGGGGTCACCCCCAGGTCCCCACACCCACCACAGGGGAGCACAGGAGCCACCCCCAGGTCCCCACACCCACCACAGGGGAGCACAGGGGCCACCCCCAGGTCCCCACACCCACCACAGGGGAGCACAGGGGTCACCCCCAGGTCCCCACACCCACCACAGGGGAGCAAAGGGGTCACCCCCAGGTCCCCACACCCACCACAGTGGAGCACAGGGGCCACCCCCAGGTCCCCACATCCCACCACAGTGGAGCACAGGGGCCACCCCCAGGTCCCCACACCCACCACAGTGGAGCACAGGGGCCACCCCCAGGTCCCCACATCCCACCACAGTGGAGCACAGGGGCCACCCCCAGGTCCCCACACCCACCACAGGGGAGCACAGGGGCCACCCCCGGGTCCCCACACCCACCACAGGGGAGCACAGGGGCCACGCCCAGGTCCCCACACCCCAACACAGGGGAGCACAGGGGCCACGCCCAGGTCCCCACACCCCAACACAGGGGAGCACTGGGGCCACCCCCGGGTGCCCGCATCCCACCACAGGGGCCACCCTTTGGCCAGGGTTCTCACTGATGGCACACTGGCACTGCCCGGAGCCCAGGCATACCCGAGTCCCCCAGAGGGTCACAGGGTCCACCATGGGTGCTACTCACACCTACACAAATAAGTGTCAGACTGACAGGGCTGACTCTGCTCTCATCACTGTGAAAGCAACTGTCAGGTACAGAACATGGGCAGAGTGGTGTGAAGAGCCACTCTGTATCCTCATACACACCTGGTAGAAATGGGTCAATATTCGCAACTGTGAGCACATTTTTGGTATAGATTCTTTAAATTCTCCAATCCTCTTATTTTCCTCCTCTTCCTCTGCTGCCGTCACTCCCCACTGGCCCTGAACAATCAAAAGTACCAAATGTCAGTAAAATCACGATGGAAAACAGATTACAGAGTAGGGCTGAAAACAGGTATGTGAGGAGCAGGAGGTGTCTGCTTTTTATGCCTCTCTGTACTGTTCAACACTTTCACAATAATTTTCTGATGCCAGACTGCTCTCCAGCTTACTTTTTCCAGTTAACAATGTGTGTTGAAAATATTTCATATGAACACATTTGAGACTGCCTCTGTTGTTTTTAATATCACATTGTATAACATGTAACAAGGTATATAATTCATCTCATTTCATGGGATGAACAGCCTTCTATCCTTCCCTCGTGCTGTACACGTTTTTATATAACAAAGACAGTATGTGTGAAAGTGGAACCAGCTGGCCCAAGGCGTCAGCACCCTTTAAACTATTATCTTGACTTTAGTGAGAATGCTTCTAGTTCCCTAACCATGATGTACTTTTTGGTACTGGAGATATACCCGTTTATTTCTATTTTTAAGATCATTTTCAATCAATGATGAATTTGATTAAATGTCTTCTCAGATAGCATATATAGGAATTATGTTTGTTTGTTTGTTTGTTTTTTGAGATGGAGTTTCGCTCTCCCATGCTGGAGTACAATGGCATGATCTCAGCTCACTGCAACCTCGGCCTCCTGGGTTCAAGTGATTCTTCTGCCTCAGCCTCCCAGGTAGCCGGGATTACAGGCATGAACCACCACACCTGGCTAATTTTGTATTTTTAGTAGAGACAGGGTTTCACCATGTTGGCCAGGCTTGTCTCGAACTCCTGATCTCAGGTGATCTGCCTGCCTCAGCCTCCCAAAGTGCTGGGATTACAGGCGGGAGCCACCGCTCCTGGCCATGATTTAATTCACTTGTCAAATATGGTGAATTATATTACTGGATTTCCCAAACCTATGCATTCCTGAAATAAATCCTAGTCTTCATAAATTATGCTTTTAAATCTAGCCTTTTTTCAATTATATTTCATGTGAGATTTCTCCATCAATATTTACAACCCAGATTTGTTTTTTCTCAGATAGGGTATCAGCTTCGTGATTCTTCTTACACAATTTAGAAACTTGGAACAGTTCACAGAGCACAAAGCTGACCATCGGTGCGTTTGGGAGTCTTTCTCAGCACAGCTGACCTGACGCTTTTTGGTGGGAGCCCTTCGATGGCTTTGTTTCTTCTTTAGTATTTGCTCTGCTTACAATTTCCTTTCTCTCATGGGGCCAATTTCGGAAACCTATGGAAAATGATTTCCTTCAAGTAGATTTTTTTCCACAGAGCTGAGCGAAAGAGTAAGTTCTTTCTCACTTGTTTTGTATGTTTGTGCCTTCTCCTCCCGCTACCTCTCAGATTCATTCATGGCTTAATTTCCCTCCACTCCTTGGCCCCCCAAAAGGCCCAGCTCTTGGACTTTATTAACTTCTTTGTTTCCGATTCACTGATTTTCGCTCTCATCTTTACTAATTATGTCCTTTGGCTTTTTCTTTAGGTTTCATTCCTGCTTTTCCAACTTTTTGAGTGGGATGTTTATTTACTTTCATTCTCTCCAATTTATTAATATAGGCAGTTATGAATTTTCATATTTCCTTATTTATGTGCATTTTATCTTTCATAGTCTGTAAGAAACTGAAATATTCTTCTAAAATCCATGTGCTTTGACCCATTTCTGCTTGTTTGCTTGTGGTTTTCTAAGTGAGTACTGATATGGCACAAGCTGGGCCTTACAGGAAGCCCACACTGCGTGGTCCTCACTGTGCCCTGCACCTCCCATCACTCCAATGTGCCCTTCCTGCCATGTTTACTGTTTTGTGCTCTGAACTACAACCTGCTTTCCTTTGAAGAATATTTGCTTTATATGCTTTGTTCGTGTCCACTGTTTTCTTTATAAACTATCTACATCACTCGTTCTACACCAGAACTTCCCAATTTGTCTTCTTTTCTCCCCACCAACAACCCTTTTGTGGAGAACGGGGTCTTGCTATATTGCCCAGGCAGCTCTCCAACTCCTGGGCTCAAGCTATGCTCCCACCTCTGCCTCCCTAAGAGCTGGGATTACAGGCATGAGCCACCACGCCCGGCCAGAACTTCCCAATTTGTAGGTCTGCCCGGATAATGACCTTCAGCCCTCAGCTACAAGCCATCCAGCACCCCCACCCAGGGGCATCAAGCAAACACCATCCTCTACTGAGGAGCTTTTTCTTTCATTATGTGGGTTTAACCCAAGTCCCCTGATTGATGTGATGTACATCTGCTCTTAGTTCTGTCTTCATATTTATACCATGCTTTCCGGTTTGAGGGTGATAATCTTCTACTATATCACCTGTATTTCTTCTAACAGCCAGGCAGTGACACTGTGTCCCAGTGGTTACCTTTATACCTTCACTTCATAAAACATATCATCTTCTTCTTTGGATGGTATCAATACTCTAATCTGGGCAATAATAATTATTGTCCTCCTTCCTTTTGCCATCTGATTTTAGAAACATTCTATTCATATCTCTAACATCTTTCAACCTATGTATACCTGTTTTACTTCATTTATGAGCTTTAAACAATATCTTTTGATGCTTGGTTACAAAAGATAAATAACAATATTTACACTACTTCCCATCTTTTCCCCACCAACTTTTGTCTTTTATTTCTTTACACAAATTTTTAAAATATACTATTTTACTGTCGTGTAACACATATAAAAAAGTATAAAAACTCATACATGAACAGCTTAATAAGTTATCACAAGATGAATATGCGCATGTCACCCCCATGCAGATGCAAGCGAGGGCATCTCAGCACCCAGATGTTCCTGTGGCCCCTTCCAATGACCACCTCTCCCCCCAGAGGAGCCCTGGCTATGGGAACAGGGCCTGGTGTGTCTGAGACACCCTGGCTATGGGAACGGGGCCTGGTGTGCCTGAGACGCTCTGGCTATGGGAACGGGGCCTGGTGTCCCTGAGATGCTCTGGCTATGGGAACGGGGCCTGGTATGCCTGAGACACCCTGGCTATGGGAATGGGGCCTGGTATCCCTAAGACGCTCTAGCTATGGGAACATGGCCTGGTGTCCCTGAGACGCTCTAGCTATGGGAACATGGCCTGGTGTGCCTGAGACGCTCTGGCTATGGGAACATGGCCTGGTGTGCCTGAAACACTCTAGCTTTGGGAACAGGCCTGGTGTCCCTGAGACACTCTAGCTTTGGGAACGGGGCCTGATGTCCCTGAGACACTCTAGCTATGGGAACGGGGCCTGGTGTGCCTGAGACACTCTAGCTTTGGGAACGGGGCCTGGTGTCCTTGAGACTCTCTAGCTATGGGAACGGGGCCTGGTGTGCCTGAGACACTCTAGCTTTGGGAACAGGGCCTGGTATCCCTGAGACGCTCTGGCTTTGGGAACGGGGCCTGGTGTGCCTGAGACACTCTGGCTTTGGGAACGGGGCCTGGTGTGCCTGAGACACTCTAGCTTTGGGAACGGGGCCTGGTGTCCCTGAGACGCTCTAGCTCTGGGAACGGGGGCTGGTGGCCTGAGACACTCTAGCTTTGGGAACAGGGCCTGGTGTGCCTGAGACGCTCTAGCTATGGGAACGAGGCCTGGTGTCCCTGAAACGCTCTAGCTATAGGAACATGGCCTGGTATGCCTGAG
The DNA here is from genome assembly GCF_000001405.40 of Homo sapiens. Lineage (NCBI taxonomy): Eukaryota > Metazoa > Chordata > Mammalia > Primates > Hominidae > Homo > Homo sapiens. The sequence continues at coordinate 112,493,342 of NC_000013.11, forward strand.
ACGCTCTGGCTATGGGAACAGGGCCTGGTGTCCCTGAGACGCTCTGGCTATGGGAACGTGGCCTGGTGTCCCTGAGACACTCTGGCTATGGGAACATGGCCTGGTGTGCCTGAGACACTCTAGCTTTGGGAACAGGGCCTGGTGTCCCTGAGACGCTCTAGCTATGGGAATGGGACCTGGTGTGCCTGAGACACTCTACCTTTGGGAACAGGGCCTGGTGTCCCTGAAACGCTCTAGCTATAGGAACATGGCCTGGTGTGCCTGAGATGCTCTGGCTATGGGAACAGGGCCTGGTGTCCCTGAGATGCTCTGGCTATGGGAACGTGGCCTGGTGTCCCTGAGACACTCTGGCTATGGGAACGTGGCCTGGTGTCCCTGAGACACTCTGGCTATGGGAACATGGCCTGGTGTGCCTGAGACACTCTAGCTTTGGGAACAGGGCCTGGTGTGCCTGAGATGCTCTAGCTATGGGAACAGGGCCTGGTATCCCTCAGACGCTCTAGCTATAGGAACATGGCCTGGTGTGCCTGAGACACTCTGGCTATAGGAATGGGGCCTGGTGTCCCTGAGACGTTCTGGCTATGGGAACATGGCCTGGTGTCCCTGAGATGCTCTGGCTATGGAAACATGGCCTGGTGTGCCTGAGACACTCTAGCTTTGGGAACAGGGCCTGGTGTCCCTGAGACACTCTAGCTTTGGGAATGGGGCCTGGTGTCCCTGAGACACTCTAGCTATGGGAACGGGGCCTGGTGTGCCTGAGACACTCTAGCTTTGGGAACAGGGCCTGGTGTGCCTGAGACGCTCTAGGTATGGGAACGGGGCCTGGTGTGCCTGAGACGCTCTAGCTATGGGAACGAGGCCTGGTGTGCCTGAGACACACTTCCATTGGGCACTACACCTAGGAGAGAGAATGCTGGGTCAGAGTAGTCCTGAGTTCGGCACTGGTTCCTGCCTAACAGTATTCCAAAGTGGTTATTCCAGTTTATCCAGAACCAGCAGCGTAAGAGTCTTCTCACATCCTCACCAGCATTTGTTGGTGTATGCCTTTAAAATTTTAACATTAAACATCTAAACTTAGTATAGTAAAATAGTATATTTTGAGCTGTTTAAAATTAGCCAGTGCTGCCTACTTAGGCCCAGGCCCCACGGCTCTCAGCACCACAGGCCACGGAGCAACAGTCTCTACCTGTGGGCTTCTGGACCTTACCCTGTTCCAATTACTTGTCTTTCCTTGAGCCACACCACTCTTTTAACTACTATGATCTTATTCGATAACTTAAGGACATACATGTACTCGACTATAAACTTATATCCATGGTGGCTGGACTAATCCATGTTCCCTCCGCAGTGTGTGAGGGTTCCCTTTTCTTCACATCCTCGCCAGCATTTGTTCTTGCCTGACTTTTGGATAAAAGCCATTTTAACTGGGGTGGGATGATAGCTCACTGTAGTTTTGATCTGCATTTCTTTGATAACCCATGATGTTGAGCACCTTTTCATAAGCCTTTTTGCCATTTGCATTGTCTTCTTTCGAGAAATGTCGATTCAGATCCTTTTCCTTTCTTAACTGAATTACTAGAGTTTTTTCCTGTTGAGCTGTTTGGGCTCCTTATATATTCTGGTTATCAATCCCTCGCCAATGGGTAGTTTGCAGATATTTTCTCCCGTTCTCTGGGCTGCCTCTTCACTTTGTTGATTGTTTCCTTTGGGTGCTTGTTAAACTTGATTTGACCCCATTTGTCCATTTTTGCTTTGGCTGCCAGTGCTTGCAGAGTATTACTCAAGACATTTTGCCCAGACCAATGTCCTAGAGTTTCCCCCCAGTGTTTTCCATTAGTATTTCCATAATGTGAGGTCTTAGATTTAAGTCTTTAATCCATTTTGATTTGATTTTTGTACATGGCAAGAGACAGGGGTCTAGTTTCTACACAACCAGACTTTTGTAACAACAACAAAATGCCAGCTTTCCTTCCTTCTCTCTGTACTTCCTCTCAGCTCGTAGCCCTGGCTGGGACCATCAGTGCAGGAGCGTGTATGTCTCACTCTGTCTCAGGGATGTGCTTCCAATATTTCACCCCCAAGAATGATGTCTTATTATAAAATTATTCATGCAAACCTTTTTAATGGGTTTTACTTGGTATTAAATGATATTTTCCATCTATTGAGATGATCATATAATTTTTCCCCTTCAGTTTATAAACATGAATTACAATATCTTTATTAGAATGATAACAGGGAGGGTTCTATTCTTGGAATAAGCTGAAACTTGTTTGTAACACATTATCATGTTGATCTATCAGTGTGATAATACTGTGGATTTCCCAATCCACGTTTACAAGGGAGACTAGGACACAGAGAGCAACAAAAGCTAAACTACCCAAATGCTTTGTTTTGGCATCAGGTTACTATCTTAGATAACTATATTCAATTCTGTTTTATAAGTAAAAGCAATCCCTAAAAATTAAAAGCCAAAATGAAACCACTTAACCTAACTGTGCAGTGAGTTGGTGGGAGAGCCTTACGGGAGCACTTATTTCAAGGACATTACCACATAGAATTTGAATGCATCTATTTAGTGGAAAAATTTTTGGCAAAAAATTTTTAAAAATTATTAGAATAAAAGAAGAAATATTTTTTCCCTCAAAAAAAACTGCAAAAAAAGTAAAACTATTTTCAAAACTATACTGTTCCCATATCAGCAGCAGCATTGAGATTCTTATTCTGAGACAGTCACGTGTATGGGTGCATGCATGGATGCATTATCGTAAGATGGCAAATAATTAAGTACGATCATGTTAGAAACCAATGTTTTCAACACTGGAGATATATTGATAAAAAATGAAACAAGTAAAAGTCCTTTAATCCTACATTTGAATTGGAAATATCACTATAAATTGATATTTATAGCGTGTGAGAAGAAAAGTGGAAAGAAACAGAAGAGCCATGAGGAGGAAGAGAAGGGCCCTTTGGAGTCCCCCACACAATGGCAGCATAAGAACATGGTGGCACCAGGGGGTGCAGCAGGCGGGCGCCGCTTCGGTCCCAGCACACACCCAGGGCTCTGTCATCTTTCCAGGAGGCGACTTGCATGATCTCTTCAGAACTTTCAGGGGACCTCAGGTCGAAATGATGGCTTTGAAGATTATCTTGCCTTTTAAACTTAAATAACTTCTCAGATATGGTTTTAGCTTTTGTGTCTCTTCCTGCATCCTTAAGCAAGTCTGAATGGAATATCCTGAATCAGCGTGGACTTGGCCTATGCATCTGTCCCACTCACTGTGACGGCTAACTGCCCAAGAGAACCTTCCACTCCCACACGGCCAGCGGACACGCCATTAGCACAGGCTTAAAATCCGAAGGAGTGGCCGGGCGCGGTGGCTCATGCTTGTAATCCCAGCACTTTGGGAGGCCGAGGCGGGCGGATCATGAGGTCAGGAGATCGAGACCATCCTGGCTAACACAGTGAAACCCTGTCTATACTAAAAATACAAAAAATTAGCCGGGCATGGTGGCAGGCACCTGTAGTCCCAGCTACTTGGGAGGCTGAGGCAGGAGAATGGCGTGAACCCAGGAGGCGGAGCCTGCAGTGAGCCGAGATCGCGCCACTGCACTCCAGCCTGGGCGACAAAGTGAGACTCCCTCTCAAAAAAAAAAAAAAAAAATCGGAGTGATTTTGGTCGATTTTGAGACAGTTTAGTAATTCTCTAGAAGGGAAGCTTCTTGGGGCACGTGGGCAGTTTTACAAATGGCAGTGGCCAGCATGCACTTGAATGCCTACTAAATAAGCGTCATATATCATCACACATAGATAAGTGACTCTGTGAGGTCATATTCCTTATCACCCATTTTACAAATAAGGAAACGACATCTTGGAGGGGTGAGCCACCCAAAGGCGCAAAGCCAGTAAGTTATAGAGTTAGGTAGAATCGTGAGTATATCCGACTTTAAGTTATCCATAGGGTTGCCTGGACAAGGCCCAGGAGCTTCTGTGTGCCAACTCTACAACACTTCAGAATTACCAAAATTCGCTTTGAATGATGAGAGCCCTTAGCGATACAAATGTTTCCAAAAAATACCAAAGAAATAACTTGTGCACCCAGTGGTTGAGGACTCTCTAAGCTACATATGGTCCTCTAACACAGGTTTTAAGAGAAACAATACTCAAAAGTAAAACTAACCAAACTGTATTGACTGAATAATGTCTTTGACAATCCCAAGAGTTAGTACCATCATATGACATTAAAGACAGACACATGCTGAGAAACGCATCGTTAGGTGATTTTGTCCCTATGTGAACATCGCTGAGTGCCTTACAGAAACCTCAGTGGTACAGCTGACTACACCCTGGCTATATGGCACAGCCTATGCTCCTAGGCTACAAATCTGGGCAGCGTGTGACTGTATTAAATGCTGTAGGCAACTGTAACACAATGGTAAGTATTGTGTATCTAACATATCTAACATAGAAAAGGTACAGTGAAAATATGGCATTATAATTTTATGGGACTACTGTCATATATGCAGTCTGTCATTGACCAAAACATCATGTGGTACATGACTGTATCCTGAAAAAGTAAAAGATTAAACAGATTATAGTAAATAAAAGAAATCCCATAAACAGCCAAACTTGCTTAATAAATCTGAAAATAACCGTTAAGTACAGAAATTTGGTTCATGTACATATACATGTACACACACACACACATGCATGTACCTGTAAACACACATATATGCAAAGCACACACACAAACACATACACATGCATATATACCTATACATATTATATATACATATATACTTGCATTACAGGTATATAAACATACATATAAGGTCTCCAACTTAAGATCGTTTGACTTAAGATTTTTTCTACTTTAACGATGGGTTTATTGGGGTACAGGTTGAGTATCCTTTATCTGAAATGCTTGGGACCAGAAGTATTTTGAATTTCAGATTTTGCAGTATTTGCATATACATAACGAGGTATCTCGGAGAGGGGATGCAAGTCTACACATGAAATTCATTTATGCTTCATACACACCTTAAATACATAGTAGCCTGAAGGTAATTTTATATATTTTTTATAATTTTCTGCAGGAAACAAAGTTTGTGTACAATAAGCCATCAGAAAGCAAAGGAGTCAGGTGTGGAATTTCCCACTTGTGACGTCATGTCAGTGATGAAAAAGTTTCGGGTTTAGGAGCATTTCGTATTTTGTATTTCAGATTAGGGATGCTCCATCTATATTATATTAAATGCACTTTCAGTGTAGAATGTGCTCATTGGGACATAAGACTGCTCTAAGTTGAGGAGCACCTGTAGATGCACACGTTTGCAAAATGCAGCATGGTGCACGATCCACAAGCTTCAAACACAGAGTGATGCAGAGCGGAGGCAGCTGTGGAGATTCCGACGGGTGACATCGGCATTGTGGCACTCAGTAATGAAAACGGGCAGGAGATTTGTAATTCTCATGAATGCTGCTGTTTTTATTTATTTTGTGAAACAGGATGATGATGCCAGTGAGGGTGGCCCCTCCCTCTTTACAACTGTCAGTGATTTCTCGGGACTTCAAACGCAGTATAGGCACATCTCAACCTGTCTGACAATTTTGGCAAGAAAGTTATTTGTTGGCATTTGAGATTATCGTGTGTGGCAAGGAGTTCATTATTCAAATAGATAAATTCACAAGTGTAAAGACCATACCTCAATTTCACGCTGTTTCTTTTTCTCTTCAAACTGTAATCGTCTCTGCAATTCTTCCAGAGCAGCTCTGTATATTGCATCTTGAGCATTCTGAAGTTCAATAATTTGATCAAACACAGCTCTAAGTTGATTTAAAAGTGCCTGAAAGAGATGACAATGTTTTATGAATAGAGCCTCAACCAGCTAAGTTTCTTAAACAAAACATTGATATTTAGTGAAAAGATATTAGAAAACAAGATATCAACTGAAATTCCCAAAGTGTTCATTAGCTGTTCATTCATTCCCTCACCACACATTTCCTGAACCCTCCTGCTGAGCAGCGCTGTGCTGGGCACCAGCAAAACGTGACCATCCTGCACCTGCACCCGTAACAAGAGCAATCGTGACTGCCCAAGTCCCACGGCGGGCCAGGAGCTCTCTGCAAATCACCTCCAATCCTCACAAGTTTACAAAAATGAAGTTCTGCCCAAATTTCAAAGCTAGATAGCAGGTAGTAATGAGTAGAACTATTCCAAGATTGAAAAAAGAATAGGAAAGCATCTCCATTTTTTTTTTTAGATATAGCAAAAGCAGGTAATCAAAAATATGAGAAAGGAAATACTTAGTAAAATATAAAAAGCAAATTCAGCAAGGTTTTTAAAAAATGTATCATAGTTTATACCAGAAATAAAAGGATACCTTAACATGAGGAAAAAACTCCTAATGTTTTAAACAAATATCAGTGTCACAGCAGGTATCTTCCGTTCATTGCTTATAACTACTGCCCAGTAATCTTCAGTAAACAACTACTGTACCTCATTAATCTTTCTCCTATTGTGGCATGGAAGGACACAATGAAATCTACAGCACAAAATCATTTACATAAATTAAAAATGTATACACAGAAAATACCATCTATATACCCAAGGCCATAGAGCAAATACATTAAAGCTGATGCAAACAGCAGGGAAGGGGGTACAGGCAGAGGAGGGTGGAATTGGGGTATTGGCAGGGAAGGGGATAAAATTAAACCCAACAAAATATGAGAGGCTTTTCACGGACCACTGATGGCAGTGTGCTATGACTGAAGAGAAAGGTTAACTCTACCCTCTGCCATCTTAGGTTTGAAAAAACACACTAACAGTCTGAGGGCTGAGCGGGGGTTAATTTCAATAGTGCAGAAGAAAATTGTGATAAAATTCAACACCCACTCATAATTTAAATAAGGCATCTAAGCAAACTAGGACTAGGGCAGAACCCTCTTAGCTTGACAAGGGTCCTATCAGATGTCTTTGCAAACAAAACAGCCAACAATGAAGCAACAAAGCATCATTTTAACGTCAGGAATAAGACTGGGATTCCCTTTGTGCTTAGAGTCAGCCTAGCTAACACTCCGAAGCGTGAAAAAGAAGCAAAGGCAGACTGTGTGAAATGAAAGAAACAAAACTGGTTTTACTGATAAAAAATATGCGCCAAGAAAATATTAGACTAGAAAAATTAGAGATCGAAATAACAAAATCAATACCATTTCAGACCAGCCAAATTTCTCAAATGTAGCAATAATGTAACAAAAGATTTGCAAGTTTATAGGAGAAAAATGACACAACTGTACTTGAGAAGCATAAAAGAAACCGAGATAACAGGAGAGGTTCCAAGCCTGTGGTTGGGAAGACACAATACAGTTGATTTGGGGAGAAACTAAGATGTTGAGTTAACTCTATTTTTAACACAACTTTACAGTTAATGAAGACATTTGCAAAGCCACTTCTCATCACCCATTGTCTAATGGACTAATACTATTCTGCAAAAATATTTTCCGTTATGAAAGCATGGCGATGCTTCGGTTCAAAATTCATTTGCTAAGTCACAGCAGCACCGTTCAGAGTTGAACTGATGTCTGATCTCAAGTGAGACAAAGCTGAAATGAGTATTTGCTGAATGGGTTTTGGAACAAACTGATGCAGGAGAACTTGGTATTCGGCAGTGAACAGCCCATGCTCTCTTTCACTTACTACAATGCACTTATGCAACCAGGTCTTCAGATTACATGGCAACAAAAACAATGTGGACTGATTTGGCAAATGATAGAAGGATGTGATCAGGGGATGCTGTTCCTAACATAAAACCACCACGTGATTAATGCGGCAAACACATCTTCCATCTTACAAGTTCTCATCTTAGAGCTGTTCTGTCCTTTTGACAGGGTCTTAAATAAGCAACATAAAAGATACAGACGGTTTAATCTGTTGTTTTTAGTAAAGATTTATCTAATTTGTTTCTTTATGTAGTCTAATAAAGAATAATTTATTATGTTTGGAAGAGTTAATCCATCTACAAGGTGACCCACTGACATTGACTTCAAGCTCAGGCTGCCAGGCAGGGCTCTGCTGGCAATCTGTCCACACAGGGCACCTGCAGGAGGCCATTCTTTGGCAACATCAGTGGTACCAATTCACTCTGCAATTCACAATTTCTCTCAACAATGTGCAAACAAAAAAACACAAAAACATGCACAGCCTCCAGCTTCAAGATTATATGTATCAGAACCGCCTTGGTTTTCTTAGTGAGTGACATAATAAAAATGTTATACTTAAAATTGCTTATGTCAATAATAGATTGTTTTAATCTGCTTTACATACTGGGTTTATTTATTTTTTTTTAAAGCTCATTTTAAACAAATCATCAAATTAAAGAGTAAAGCCATCAGCAAAGGCAAGTTCAGAAATGACCATGAAGCCTCCGGCATGACACCTTCAACGACGTCAGGTGGGACCAACGCACACGTGAAGACCCCGCTTCCCACTTTCACAAGGGCACTGTGCTACAGGTGGGAAGATTTTCTCCCCCGGATAGGGTTCTTACCAGTGGAAATCATCTAGGGGCAAAAGCTATGACAATTTATCTCGTACAGAAGGTTCACATCTGTAAGTGGACTAAGTCTCCTACATTCTCCGTAAGCTGTGTGGAGTGTTACTTATTTGCCACAACTGGACTGATATCAGTATGGGTATAGTCCTCAGTAGTTCAAACATTTTCTGAAATGCATGAAATCTAATGACTGTAAACACCTCTGTAAAACACACACACCGGCACAAAATAGCAACTAACACCTATCTGCCAGCCACTATGGTCAACATTATACTTGAATTATACAATTCTTACAAATCTGTTGAAGAGACTAGGACCATGCCCTTTTAAAACAGAACACTGGAGTCAAAAGCTATGAAGTGAAACTCCACCCTCGGTCTACCTGGCTGCAGAGCCTGTGTCTGTCTTGCCATGCGACTGCACCGTGAGACAGGCCGTGCTGGCCAACAGCACACGGGTCTAGGAACAGAGAGCTATTTGTTACACTGACTTCCTAAACGTGTGCGGACAATGCTTGTCGGCATCTGCTGAATACAGAGAGGCAACGGCTGGCAGGCAGCATGAAACCGTCTGTGGTTTTACTCCGATAACAAGACCAGGGTTAGTAATAGAGGTTTCAAGGGCCTCAAACCTCAAGAAGTACATTTCTTCTTTTTTTTTTTTTTTTTTTTTGAGACAGAGTCTCGCTCTGTTGCCCAGGCTGGAGTGCAATGGCGCAATCTTGGCTCACTGCAAGCTCCGCCTCCCGGGTTCACGCCATTCTCCTGCCTCAGCCTCCCCAGTAGCTGGGAGTACAGGTGTCCACCACCACACCTGGCTAATTTTTTGTATTTTTAGTAGAGACGGGGTTTCACAGTCTTACCCAGGATGGTCTCAAGCTCCTAACCTCGTGATCCACCCACCTCAGCCTCCCAAAGTGCTGGGATTACAGGCATGAGCCACTGCCCCCGGCCTGTATATTTCTTTAATTATTAATTATCCTCAAAGTATTTTAAACTATTTTTCTGACATAATTTCCACATATTTATAAAAACATGTAAAACACTCCATATAGAAGCAGCTTTGATCTTAACCATTTTTTGACATGATTGATAGTTCTTTAATAATGAAATTCATGGCTGGCTAACCTACATATACTAAAATTTAGATGAAGTAAAGGCCCTGAAGTGGCGTGTTTTCCACTGACAGGCCCTGAGGAGAGTGCAGGCCCAGCTGGAGGCAGCCCCTGCCAGTCGGAAACATCCGTGAAGTCTCGGAGTTCAGGTGAAAAATGCATTTGAAATTTGCCCCCTACTTCACAATATATTTGCTTCAAGTGAAAGCAATGTGGTTCCTTCTTGTCCCAGACCTCAGAATAAAAGGAGAACTCCAGGAAGATTTGCCACATGGAACGTGCAACTTTCAGAACATGGACCCTAAGGGAAAAGAATGTTCGCGAAAAATGTCATACATGTCACCATGGTTTTTTGTTGTTGTTGTTGTTGTTTTGTTGTTTTGAGACAGTGTCTCGATCTGTTGCCCAGGCTGCAGTGCAGTGGCGTGATCTCGGCTCACTGCAACCTCTGCCACCCGGGTTGAAGTGATTCTCCTGTCTCTGCCTCCCAAGTAGCTGGGATTACAGGCACACACCACCACGACCGGCTAGTGTGTATTTTTAGTAGAGACAGGGTTTCACCATGTTGGTCAGGCTAGTCTCGAACTCCCGACCTCAGGTGATCCACCCGCCTCGGCCTCCCAAAGTGCTGGGATTACAAGCATGAGCCACTGCGCCCGGCCTGTTTTGTTCTTATATCGTGTTGCTTATTTTGCTCAGATATTAACCTCAACAACTCAAAAGTCATGGTTTTCTCTTTTGAATACCACAATAGGATACCATTATATCTAGAAAATGAAAAGGTATTATTATTTTCTACCATTTTTACATCCAGTTTAGAGTATATTCTTGTTTCAGCACTACTGCACTACTGTTCCAATTCTCTTCAGAAACTGTACCTTCAACAGTAAACTTTTAATAAAATTATCTGAATTATTACCAATGTGGCTGCATCAGGGCATTTCTAAGATTCCCCCATTTGACAGGAACCCAAGAAAAGAAGATGATTCTTTTGGTTTCTTGTTTCTAAGCAGGTCGGAGTCTTACCCTGGAGTCACTGTCCAGCAGGCAGCGGGAGATGATGGTGTCTAAGAACACCTCGTGTGCAGCAATGATGTGATCCAAATCCTGGGCCTGCTGGACTTTGTTCCAAAGCTCATCCCAAGAACATTCAAGCACCTGGGAAACAACAATTTAAAGACGCTAGATAAGCTCATGTCCTTCCTAGTGTAGCATCACTCATAAAATATATACCACCTATGGGAGGCCGAGGCGGGCAGATCACCTGAGATCAGGAGTTAGAAACCAGCCTGGCCAACATGGCAAAACCCCGTCTCTACTAAAAATACAAAAATCAGCTGGGAGTGATGGTGGGCCCCTGTAATCCCAGCTACTCAGGAGTCTGAGGCAGGAGAATCGCTTGAACCCAGGAGGCAGAGGTTGCAGTGAGGTGAGATCACACCATTGCACTCCAGCCTAGGCGACAGCAAGACTCCATCTCAAAAAAAAAAAAAAAGAAAAAATTATGTATATATACACATATATATACACACATACATACACATATATATATATATATACCATGTAAAAGCCAAGACATGACTTATTTAAACTAAAATCAACACAATGACTGAAGTGTACCTCAAATGTGATGTAATACTGCATCTGATGAATGAAATGGACCATCTCAGAGGCCAAAATGTGACACTGGTGCAGCACCCCGGAGAACTCTGCAAGGGAAGAGTTGACGTCAGAGGTGCAATGCAAGTACACTTACCGACAACGCGCTGTTCTCCCTTACCCACCTGCAAGCTATCTTAAAACAAAAAATCAGTCATTTAAATTCTTGACCCCTTAACAGGAAACAACCTCTCCAGAACCAATTTCTGTGCAGGTCAAGCTAAACAAGAACTTAGCTATCTAACCAAGTAGTACTATACTACTTTACCTAATAAGGGCCTAACAACAAATATATGAAACAAAATATAATTGTATTTAAAAATTAAATACAAAACATTTATTTTATAATAACGCAGTGCACTGAATAAATAGAAGCTCTACTTCATGGCTTTACAATTAGTTTGCCTGCTGTGCATGAAACATTTACTATTCCCTGGCTCTCTGGAGATAAAGGTGACATTTCTTTAAGGAACCGACTGTGGCCTTACCGCCTGTGAGAAAGAGGAGCCTCGAGGGAGGTCAGCGACGAGCTCAGACTCTCCTTTTATCCTTTAGGAGATCACACAGCCATCACCAGGCTGGAAGGTCACCACAGAGCACAGTTCTCTGCTCGCACTTTTAATTTTTTTGTTCAAAGACTATGGCAGCATATTGTTACACTAATGTATGTGATGGCTAAATCAGAGCTAGGCCCATCAGTGAGGTGATTACAAAAAGGCTTTATAACACGGGTCAGCTTGGACATGTTTTGTTACTGCTTCAAACGCCCTCAATGAGTTACCTCGATAACGAGATCAAGACTTGCTACGCATGCAGTTGTGTGAGACATCAGTCTTGCCTCCTCTCAAGACAGTAAAGAAGTGGAACTTAAGCCTCTTTATAGAGGTGTGTAAAAATAACAGTGGCAATGCATACTTTTTAAAAAATACTCTTTCTGTAAGTTAAAGATCAACTGACACCTTGCAGTTTTGCTCTCTTGGTTTAACACATGACAGCTTCGTCAGTAAAGAAAAGTGGGAGAGGAGGAGATAGAATTCTAAGCCTTATAAAAATGTAAATTCTTAAACAGACGATCAACTTATACAAGCATGAAATACATATGTGAATTGTATGAACGCTGTCTGAAGGCACAGATTCCACTAACAGGCAGCATCGCCATCCGACCCTGGCACCCGGTCTCCAGGGACGCGCCGTGCACTTGGGAAAGGAGGAGGACGTACTACAGAGAAGGACACCCTCACCTGCCCGGTGCCTGGGTCTCGGGAAGGGGCTAGAATTCTCGAACACAGAGGCTCAGGTGAGGGAGAGCCAGAGAGTTGTAAAGCAGACAGTGATATACATTATATACCAGCACTCACCTAAATGAAATATATGGCAGCCAGTAACAAACGATGTTTAAAAAAATAAATTTCAAAAGACAAAAAAAGAACTTGCTTTCAAGGAGGCAGAAGAATTTTTAGTTAGGGATCATTGATGGCAGACTTAGACAATGCACCTTTCAGATGGAGAAAATTCATTTGTTAAAGAGAGGGATGACACACTGTCCCTCAGGCAATAAACAGGCAGGAGGTGGCAACCTAACCAACCAGAGCTCCAAAGGGCCCTCGTCCACATCCATGCACCGCCCAGCGACTCGCAAGGGAGCACACCCACTCAAGGGCTCAAGCGCCTCCCCTGCCAATGGCTATGACTGATGTATCAGAGGCATATCTAAGATTTACTTACAAAGTTTACAACTCTGCAAAGAATCCTCAGCGCTCCTTACATGGCTCCGCAGACAGTTAAACACAGTGAACTATAGCGTCCACAGTCATGAGATGCACTCTCAGCTCTAAGACCCTCAGAAGAGACCCAGCTGCCCTCAGACCTGTGACATCTGCCGAGCATCTGTCTCATGGGGCTCCTGTAGCACAGCGTGCACTCCACATACCCCAAGTATCTTTCTTGCCATTAGGAATCTACAACACACAGATATGGTCAATGTGCATCCGAAGAATGGGTTCAGCTTTGAGGTTCATCTGAAATCCTAGAATTATGAGTGTACTTTTCCCTACTAAAACTATAAATACGGTCTAAGATTTCAAATCAAATAATACTCAAAACCCCTCAAACTACAATTCCTTTTCAATGTAAAGGGGCATAATAAAGTGTTGTTTTAAGTGATGTTCAGCCGTGTTATGGTTTCGGTGAGATTCTAAGGACAGTAACCACCACTTGCACTCAACTTTAGGTTTTAACGCAGAGCTCAAATGAGAGGACTGTGTCTTACCCCACTGAAGTCACTGGACTGTAATGGAAAATCTATAGCCAGTCTTCCCTGGAGAATGGTGAGTATTTAAAACATTCTACAGGTGCACAGAGTGTACATATATTTGTCCTCAAGCTATTTCTCAGATGTGATTTGATTTCTTTCCAGTGCAGCAAAGTTATATGAAATAGTTTAGAAACCACTTGTGGAAGGTTTTTGTATTTTTATGTTAATATTATCACAGAACTCTGGTGGATCTTTTCATGGGAAAACAAATGGACAAATTCTACAAGTCACATGCCACGACTCGCGGGTCTCACCCTGACATCCGATGTCTCCATCGACCCTTCCCCAGGTACATGCTCAGTGTGATCCTAAAATTTAGCACTGCTGTGCACTTGTGCACAGTGAGCACAATCTGTTTTATTTTCTAGCCTTTTCAAGCAACTACCCAGGTTATACTTATTCATCCTGACCTCCTTCAGAGAAGGTTGAAGCTGAATGACAAAACTAGATTTCATCTAAAAATGAAAGGGGAAACTTCACCTGAAAGTTTACCGTCACCTAAAAATGCGAAGCAGGCTACTATCAGCACTTCCTCTGAGGGACTCTAGATTTGTTACAGAAGCATACAAATTTTTTGTGGCTATTCTCCATTTTCTAGCTCCTGCTGGGTGCTCTGTGGGTGACAGAAGCGGCTCAGTCCCATGAAAGCTCAGGTCTGTGCTGCTCTGCTCCGCCTGCATTTCTGAGGCTTCCTCCAGAATTCTTCTCAGGGTCAGTCAAGCCAGCAGCATCTGAGTAACATGCCGATTTTTCATGGCACGAATATGCTTTTGCTAACGTCTTCTACTTTTCACTGTTGCGCTATTTATGAAACCAGGAATTTTTTTCTCCGGCTTCAAATCAGTCTGAAAGTAGATACACAGTGATTAGTGATTAAATCACTAATTCTATTTCAGAATCTCTTGATTTTCTTGAGTGTACAATTTCTCTGATTAATGTTCTAGATTCTTTAATGTCACACTGGGAAATAAAAATGCTACTGAATGGCCACAAAACAAAACAAACCCATCTACCAAACAACACTGTCATGCAATGCTCAGTGTCAGCCTAAACTCCTGACATCCCACTCCAGCCCATCCCAGTGCTGCCTGGGGCCTTCCCCTTCTCTCCCTCACTCCCAGCCTCAGCATCCCGCAGCCCTGGCCCCACCAGGTTTGCATTGCTTCGCTGTCATGGCTTTGGCTCTGCCTGTATCCCTCGTGCCCCCTAGTCACTCCAAGCCCGCCTCTCCCTCCTAGCACACACTTAAAAGGCCAACCCGTATCCCCTCACTCTGAATCCATCTATTCCTCCTCTGTGATTTTCAGCCTCCCCCTCCTTCTCCATATCGGCATCTCAAACAGCCTTCCAACAAACAAAGCGTCTAACTTCGTTAGAAGTTTTGACTTTGATTTTGCCCAACTCTTCTGTAGTATATCTTTAAATTTTCAGATGCCATATGGCAGCCCAGAAGGGGCCTGTTAGTTGAAAAGGTATCGTGCACCACGACAGACAGGTCTACAGCCCCCACCCCAACCCCATCTTCCTCCTAGCCACGGCACCCTGTGAGACTGCAGTTCCCACGCACTGATGTCCCTTCCACATTCCACTCCACAACTTCAAGTATCATCCAGGCTGATGACATCTAAAATCTTTACCTCTAGTCTAGATCTATCTTAAGTTTAAGATCAGTCTGATTAATGGCCTCACAAGGTATCCTAAAAAATACTCAAATTAGCGTATTTGAATGGAATCACTATCCCCCCCAAAGAAGCTCTTCCTCCAGTGCTCCCTGGGTGGTAAAAGATGCCACCACCCACCAGGTCCTCAAGTCAGAGACCCAGGTGCCACTGAGACTCCAACCACCTCCTGGCCTCCGTACACGCATCACCTGGTCCTGCTGGCGCCACAGCCCAAGCCTCCCTCAAATCCATTCCCTTCCCTCCAGCCCCGCGGCTGCTGTAACCATAAAGGCCAACGTCACCGCACACGGATTATTACAACTGGCTGCCCTGCTAATCACCACGGTCGCGCCCCAGGTTCATTATTCTCAACTACCTGAATCCAGACCTTCAGGACGTGCTCGTGGCTGGGCTCTCCAGCCCCATGTTGCAGCACAGTCCCCCTCCACAGCTTAGCTGAACATGCTGCTCTCCTCCCCACTGACCCGAACAGCTCATCCTCACCTGTCAGGGGCCAGCCTGGACACCATCACCTCTGGAGCCTTCTGGAATCACCCACGTCTGTCAGATGCCTCATTTAAACATTCCCATGCCACTTGGATTTTCCCGTATCGATTGACTGTAAGATCCTGTGTAAACATCTGTTCTGCCCTAATAGGCCATGAGCTGCTTGGCCACAGGGAGCTGGTTTGTCACCTTGTCACTGGGAGCCAGCAACAGGGAGCACTAAGTGGGCCCTCAATGATGATTTCCTGAAAGAATGCGTGATGTTGACACTGGACGTCAGAGCAGGCAGTCTGCATTCCTCCAGATCTTGAGTACTCAAACTCACACCTTTCAAAAGGTTTCTATAAGCAAGGTCAATTTAGCAACAATGTGAATATAGGTGTTCTTTCCTTTTACAGTCTTAAAGTACTACCAGCGAATACAGTTTTCCTTCTAGAAAAATCATCTTTTATTGTGTCTACAATGAGTACGGAGGACAGTATCTTCAATGGTCTTCTTTTGAGACAAAGCCCCTTGACAGTGAGAGACATATGGTTGCTGCTGAGGACGCTGCTACTGAAAAGAAACCTCGTAAAACCATCCACATGACAGAAGTCTGAAATCCCTACAATATCACAATTATTTTTCTTTCCCAAATGAGAAATTAAACACTACAGGCAATAGTATTTCTGAACTTCTAACTACTCTAAGGCTGTAATGACTATGAACTCAATTCACAAGGCACAATTAGTCCTTTAGTTCCTAAAAAATTCCATTTACACCTGCCAACATGCCTAGGATCTCTTTACCCAGCACTCTGAAAATATATTTTAGGCACATGTTTTAAATGTGTTTTTATGGCTGACCCACAAGTAACTATATAATTATAAGAATCCCAAAAGCAAAGCAACATTGGCAATAAGGTCCAATGAATACAGGATGCACATCTCCTGCAGGGCCGACGCCACACTGGACGGCCGATACACAAAACTGGGCAGCCACTATCTCCTCCCGCTTGGGCAGCAGCTAAGTGCCAGGCTCTTCTGTAATTCTCCACTGACCCCTAAAGGCTGTCGAAAGAACTTCAAGTTTGACTCAAACACCGGCTCTTAAGGACTTGTTCAGGCACCTTCCGCCAGAACCCCCTCACATGCGGAGATGCCCCTATAGATAGCATCGAGTACTGCTAAACATGATATTTGTTTTTTTTAGAAAAGACCTTAAAACAATTTGTTCACAATTTCAAAATCACCTCCTCAACCCGTATTTATGTATTTAAAAGTGACCTTACTGTATTTAAAAGTGACCTTATCAAAGTACCCATCTGATCTATTTTTCTCAAGACTAAGGATCCAGATGACATTTGTTAAGACCTAGGATTGTTTTCAAAGTCTCTAACCACCTTTGAGGATCTCATCCTTACATCATCGGCATTCCTGCTCTCCCAGGCAAGTAATCACGGCAACAGTGAACTTGGGGGCACTCACCACAGGCAGGTGCTGTTCCAAGTACTTTCACTCAGACTTAATCCTGCAACACTAGGAAGTAAGTGCCGTCGCCACCTCATCCCCCAGATGAGGAAACTGAGGCAGAAGATCAAGAAATCAGCTGAGGCCACACAGCCTCAGAGACAGGTGATGGGGTGGGGACTCCCCCAGGCAATGTAGCTCTAGCACCAACGGCTCAGCTTAAAGTTTCCATCAATTGGAGCCAGGCACCTCCAATCTGTATTTGTATGTTTCACTAAGGATCCAAAAGACTTTTGTTAAGGATCTTTTGGCTCCTTAGTGAAACATATGAATGATGAGTGAAACATACAATGAAAACAGCAAGCACACCTCCTGCAGGGCCAAGGCCACACTGGACAGTTGATACACATTAAGGATACAAAACACAGGATACAAAAACACAGATAGATACACAAAGAAATTTTTAAAGAGAAAAACTTCAACTCATCCTTTATCATTCACTGAGTCTAAGACACTGTCATTTGTAAGATGAATCGTTATTATATGAATCATCAAGAAAGTAAAACAGTTGCCAGTCACACTGACAGACACCCTGACCACAGTCCTGTGCGGGAAACACCCTCTGAACCCACCGCTCAGATGGGCCCCTCACAGGGCACTGCTGGCCCGCGGGCACCTGCCTTTCCTGGTAAGATAAAATCTGCGGTGCTGCTTTACATGGAAAAGTGGCATTTTGGTTCTTCTCTCAATAATAATTATGTGCTTCATGGATTTCAAATTTATGCTCCACTGCTATTTCTACACCTTTCTGCAAACACAGCAACTTTTCATTTCAAAATAGAGCCAGGGTGGATCCAGGGTGTAATCTTTTTGAAGGCAATGAACCGCAGCTGGGCCGGTACTAAAGGCTGTGCTGCCGGAGCACAGAGCCCAGCTCCAGGATCCAAGAGGAGCTGGGGCCAGGTTTACGCAGCTGCAGGCCACAGGAGCCTGCAGCTCCACAGACTTTAAGACACATTGAGAACATGAAAGCAATGTGTATCTTAGAAGTGATACAATATGGTTAAAAGGAAAACCAAAAAAAAAATGTAGTATGAGCTATTAAACCTTCATTTACCTTATTATTCGATATATTGGGCCAAAACCAAATTTGGGCCAATCCAACCTTTTCAGATTCTGGGTCTCAGGCTGCTCTCCACTATACACTAGGGAGGTTTGACTGTGGTATCTCCGAAGTGCCTTCTACTTGAAAGCTTTCTAATTATAAGGGACCTGCTGGTTCAGATGTGGCCCCACCAAGCTATTTCCACAGCCAGACACTGCTCTCCAATACCTACACAAGGAAGCACTTACTCAGACACTCGTTCTCTCGAAAGCACATTTCATTCAGTGGGATTAGAAAAGATAAAGGAAAACCTGTAACTTATTATCATTACATTTTAGACAAGAAATAATTGAGTGTCTAGTGTACAAGCTCTAATTTTAAAATGTAGTATTATTTACATCTCATTTTAAGCTAGTGGAGTTCCATCATCTTAAACAGTGGCTGAGCACAGTAGCTCACGCCCATAACCCCAATACTTTGGGAGGCCAAGGCGGGCAGATCACTTGAGGCCAGGAGTTCGAGGCCAGTCTGGCCAACATAGTGAAAACCCCATCTCTGCTACAAATATTAACACAAAAAATTAGCTGGGCATGGTGTACATGCCTGTAATCCCAGCTACTCAGGAGGCTGAGGAATGAGAATCGCTTGATCCTGGGAGGCGGAGGTTGCAGTGAGCTGAGATCACACCACTGTACTCCAGCCTGGGCGACAGAGCAAGACTCTGTCTCAAAAAAAAAAAAAAAAAAAAAAAGGCCCAGACACAGTGGCTCACGCCTGTAATCCCAGCACTGGGGGAGGCCAAGGTGGGCAGATCACCTTAGGCCAGGAGCTTGAGACCAGCCTGGCCAACATGGTGAAACCCCACCTCTACTAAAACTACAAAAAATTAGCCAGGCGTTGTGGCGGGCACCTGTAATTCCAGCTACTCATGAGGATGAGGCAGGAGAGTAGCTTGAATCTGGGAAGTGGAGGTTGCAGTGAGCCAAAATCGCACCATTGCACTCCAGCCTGGGTGACGGAGTGAGACTCCATCTCAAAAAAAAGGTAAACGTAAATCTCCACTAACCACTGTTCCCTGAGAACTTCAGGGACCATTTCAGAGAATTAACATTCTCTTAAGAGCCCTCTAAAAGCTGTCTAAACATTAATTTTTAATTTTTGTCTCAGATGAGTAAGTTAATGTCTTAAAAACCAGAGGAAAACTAAGAAAGTGTTACTTCTGAATCAGACTTCTATTAGAACCTGACTACGTAAATTTCATCTTGATTCTTCATGAACGATGAACGCATCCTTGTTTTCCCTCAAGAACATAAGAGATCGATTTTATTTCTAATAAAGACCAAAAGCAAATTATTTCAATGCCACTGTTTTGAAAGAGGAAAGGGAGGGAAGCTGAGGGAGAAAGAAAAAGCCTCCATTCGTTCCCTCCCCACCCCACACAAAGGCTGAGAAAGAATACAGGCTCAGTTACCTGTATTGGTCCATTTCATTTTGTGAAATGTTATCTGAAACATGAATTTAGTTTCCAGTAGTAGAAATGTTTTTTAGATTAATTGACTCTAACAAACCATTTTAGTATTAGCCGCTGTGTTTTGTCCAGCTGACTGGCAAATACATAAAAAGCTGCTACCATCCAGGATTGGTAGAGGCGTGAAAAGCAGATCATCTTACATGAGGAATGGGTGGGATCTGCTTGGTAGATCATGATCAAAAACTCTTGCCCCCAGCAAAGCACTTTCACATGTAACTACTTTCTGCACACCATGAAGCAAGTTACTACTTTGATGAATATTGCTAAAACACTAGGGTGATAACTGTTGATACTTTAAGTAAGACTAAGCTGTCCTCTGCATACCACGCCCATACAAGGCCCCGTGGCAGCTGTTGATGGGAGCTCTCTACAGGGTCTGTCTGTACTCTGCTTCAGATTTATCATTAGCAGGACATTTCTAACGCGCTGGATTAGCAAAATCAGCTAGTTGATTTCTGCTCATGAAGCTGCTTGGCCATGAACTACTTTAAAATACTTCTTTATTAAAGGTAAGAACACTGACACCCCAACAGAAACACAGGTAAAACAATTCCTGAAAAAGGAAATATGGTAGTCCCCCACACAGTTTCTCTTTATGCTGTTTGTCACCTGCTGTCAACGGCAGTCCAGAAATAGCACATGGAAAATCCCAGAAATAAACAATTCATAAGTTTTCAATTGAGCACCGTTCTGAGTAGTGATGAAATCTCACACCATCCTGCTCCAACCTAGCCAGGAAGTTAATCAACCCTTTGTCCAGCAAATTCATGGCGTATCCAACCCCCCGGTTAGTCACTCAGTAGCTGTCTCAGTTATCAGGTCAACAGATCACGAGAAAAACAGGTGAGCACAGTACGGTGAGATCTTTTGAGAGAGACATAACACCCACATAATGTTTGTAATAGTATGATGTTAAAATAATCCTATTTTGCCATTAGTTATTGCTGTTAATCACTTACTGTGCCTAACCTATAAGTTAAACTTTATCATAGGTAGGTACATATGGGGAAAAGCAGTATACGTAAGGTTTGATACTATCTGAGGTTTCAGGCATCCATGGGGTGGGGGGGAGGGTCTTAGAATATATCCCCTGTAGATAAAGGGAATACTATATAATACAGCAAAACAAAGAAAAAAGAGGCCAGGCATGGTGGCTTATGCCTGTAATCCCAGCACTCTGGAAGGCCAAGGTGGGAGGATCACTTGAGCCCAGGAATTTGAGGCTAGCCTGGGCAACAAAGGGGGACCCCATCTTAAAAATAAAAAGTGTTCACCCTCATCAATCATTTTAAAAGCATAACATTTAAAAAGCATAAAAGTTGAAATGAACTTCCATTTTCACCTATGAATTGACAATTTATTTGAATTAATAGCCAATGTTAACAAAAACAGTGATACAGACAACTATCAACAATACAATCTGGGCTTACTGAGATATGAGCTAAATTGGTACACTTTTCCCAAAAAGTGATCTGATAATATCAATAGAGTTAAAATATGAATACTTAGTAAGTAAACAGTCAAACTAAAATTCAAACTGTTAAGCAAGCAGTTCCACTTCTATCTATTCTCAAGAAATATTCAGAGGCATATAAAGTTGTATTTATAAAAACATGCATGGCATTATTTATATCGGCAAAAAATTGGAGGAAAAAACTACATGTCCAGGCAAAGAGAAATGATGAAATCATATGTACATGAGGTAATATCGTGCTATTAAAAATGGTTCAGAAAAAGTTTCAATAGCGAGGGGGAAGGATCAGCAGAAGAAGCTGGAGTCAAACTCTGTGAAGCAGGATCCTAGCGATATAAATAAATTTTATAAATAATAAAATATGCATTTTCCCATACATAGAAAACTGATCAAAAAATTTATTAGTTATCTCCAACTAGAAAACAAAACTCATTATTGATATTCAATACAATAAGAGAAGAGCAAATTGATACAGACGTTGCTAAACTGATAATCAGATCAGAAAACTATATCGCAACCAGCCCATATTTCAAGTTGATAATGGAGCTCAGCCTTCACAGAGGCTTATTTTGACGTGTGACAATGACAGCATCGGTTTGGCCTTGAATTGGTCTAAATCCACTACAAGAAAGATGCTGCCTCGTGAAGGGGGCAGCCAGGAACCGATCTACCTGGTGGTATTCATAAGAACACAGGGGGAAGGAGAAGTGCAGGCAAGTACACATCCAGTTAAAGCAACTGTGAGCAAGGGAATCCGCAACAGTGGCGAGAAGGACGGTGTGAAACCATGGAGAAAGGAGACCCGCAGAGCCCCAGGCGTGCATGCAGCCCTCTCAGCACGGCCCTCCTCCCGCCTCCCGTCCAGTGGCAGCACATTCATAAGAAGGGTACCCTGCCCGCAGCCATCACTGCCTTTAAAAGAAAATCTCCCCTTTGCTTCCCTCTCAGCTAATTCAGAGGATTCCTACCATTCACTTCCCACTATAGTCAAATATCAACACCCAATAAAAACCGACAATTCTACATGTCAGTGTTGGCTCAGACAGGGAACTCCCTGCCCCACAGCCTTCGGCAGGGGTCACTATTCTGGATCTCTGGTAGCTGCTCAGGGACCAGCCTGTGAGCTGGTAAAGAAGCAGAGATCATGAACTGCTTTCTCCAAACAACTGCTCTCTTTTTATTCTTAACAATTACTTTTCACCAAAGGATTAAAGGCATATACCATTTAGTTCTTCCTTAGAGACATACCTACTGAAATACTTTCTCAAAGGTTCTGACCAAATCAATTTTATATAAAGACTTCAAAATTACTTGTAATTTAAGTCATTCAATGTTTATAACATTAAAATAATCTTGACTATCTGATACCTAAGAATTTTTACTATAGTTTTAGATTGTTTTAAATAATATATTCTCATGTTCTGGTTTATGGACAAAACAAAACATTAAAGAAATTCTCAAAAACAATTTAGTTAAAACACTGTATGGATTTTAAATGAGTCAGTGATTTATTAAACTGTTTTCCTTAAAAATAGGCAATTTTTAAAAAGTATATATATGAACATTAGAATAAAAAATAAATGTGATTTTAAAAGAAAGTTCGCCATCTGAAAAAAATATATAGCTGTCACCGTGAGTCTACCTTAACTTCTGCGGAGTTGCTGGAAACCGCACCCAGTGGGGGCTGGAGGCCGCTGGGAGTGTGTGCGGACCCGTGACCGTGCTGGGGGCTCACCTGGCATGTTTCTCAGGAGCTTTGCATTGCACATGTGTCCCTTCCGTATGTCAGTGAGGATGTATTCCATCCGCTTCGCCCTCCAGAGGAAGTTAAATACTCTTAGGTAGTGGCTCATACATTCTCGAGTAAACACCTGGGATAACAGCAGAAGACAAGTTGATAGTATTCCCACGTAAGAATCCTCTCAGTACAGGTCTCAATCTTTTTTTAAAAAGGTACATTTTAGCAAACTATCATAATAGGCAGCATGCTAAGTAAAGTCACAGTAACAGAAGGCAGGCATTTTTATGCCAGTTGTACAGATGGGGAAACAGAGGCCTAATGTTACACAGCTTGCAGTTTATTAGGATTTTCAATCCATTTTAGACTAGTCTAAACCTAGTCTAAAATGTGGACTCTTCACTACAACTCCCCCCAACCCGCCTGAGGGATCCGTGAGGCAGGGGTGCACTTTCTTCTGTAACAGTAGCTCCTAAGGGTGGTGAATCTCATGGAAGGTAGGCCTAGAAGAATCTCCCGTCTGAAAAGAATCCTTCAGGTTATTTTCACCCATTTACTTTTATTTTGTTTTTTTGTTTGTTTGTTTGTTTTGAGATAAGAGTCTCACTCCGTCACCCAGGCTGGAGTGTAGTGGTGAGAACTCAGCTCACTGCAACCTCCGCCTCCTGGGCTGAAGGGATTCTCATGCCTCAGCCTCCTGAGTAGCCATAATTACAGGTGTGTGCCACCATGCCCAGCTAATTTTTATATTTTTTAGGAGAGGTGTGTTTTTGCCATGTTAGCCAGGCTGGTCTCGAACTCCTGGCCTCGAGTGATAGATTTGCCTTTTTTAAATAAATCTATGATATAAACTTTTTTCCTCGAGTCCTTCTACTAAAGTAGAGCTTTACAGACCTAAACATTCAACATTATTGCATTAGCAATTGTTTATGTACATGGCATGACAACTTTGACACTCTTAATGAGATCTGTAATACTACGAAATAATTAATTATCTCTTATCTAGGCAATGTTCAGTTTACCTATTTGTCAAGGCACTCAGACTCTGTGAAATAATCGATGCAATTATCTGTACTATGGTATCTTTTATGCTATGAAAATAATACGTAATGTATGCAAATTAACAAGGCAGGAGATATGAAAGTTGCTAATTTAAATAATTTGTTAAGGCCGGGCACGGTGGCTCATGCCTATAATCCCAGCACTTTGGGAGGGAGGCAGGTGGATCACCTGAGGTCAGGAGTTTGAGACCAGCCTGGCCAATATGGTGAAACCCCATCTCTACTAAAAATACAAAAATTAGCCAGACATGGTGGCTTGTGCCTGTAATCCTAGCTACTTGGGAGGGTGAGGCAGGAGAATCGCTTGAATCTCAGAGGTGAAGGTTGCAGTGACCCAAGATTGTACCACTGCACTCCCAGCCTTGGTGACAGAGTGAGACTCTGTGTCAAAAATAAATTAAATAAATAAATAATTTGTTAAAATATCACACTGCTTTTTGCATTGTAACTATTTTAAATTGTTTAGGATATAAGTCAAAAGAGAAAAAGCTAATTTGAATATGATGAGAAATTAAATTTAAGAGAAGTTATACACTTAAAATATAGTAGCTTTGATCAATAAAGGTTACACACCAGGAATTTATGTGTAAAAAGGAAATTGCACCAGCAGTTCCCATCTCACTGTAGACAGGAGAGACACACTTACCAGTGGCAGGTTTCTTACCCCCAAGAGGAAAGAGGGTGAGTGTGCCCTGATGCAATTATTGCAGCAGCGTGATATGCACCCTGAGAGGCGGGAAAACAGCACGAAGCAGGCTCTACCAGAACCACTGAGAAGAAATTTTAGAGCCCAACTATATTCCTTCTCAACAGAATACTTTTCCCAATACCTCAAAGAAATGCAATGTCCTTCTTCAGTATTTCAGATATAAAAATGACTGAAGTAAGTTTAGAGGGTATCTTGGTCAAGGAAATTTATTCAAGTCTGAATACTTTAAAAATGCGCACTAAAAAGAGGCATTTTAATTGCAGACATGTAAAAAGACAGCTTTCCTGGTCAGCCTTTTATAATGTGGTAACTGTTATGTAGGTAAAAGCACTATGAACAAAGTACAGCTGCTTCCTCATCGGTTTAAATGAATACTAAATACCAAATTTTATCTAAGTAGTAAAAATATGATTCCCCTAAAATACACTTTATAGTTCCTTTCACATTATCCTTAACTAGTTGCCACAGTATAAGAATAATGGAAGAAAATGAACAGTCCATTTATTAAGGAGTTGCTGAAACCTATGATAGAACAAATGATATTTTTAAGAATTTTTAAAATAATAGAGCATTTCAGTACTCATTAATAATCATTTAAAACACACACACAATTTTGGCTTAAGTATTCATTCAATGAGTAGATCTTAGATGTCGAGTGATCACTTGAATTAGAAGTCCCCAGAGAAGAAAGCCAATTTCAAACAAAATGTTTAACAATCTTAATAGTTGTAAATACTATAAAATGATGCAGGATAATCTTACAGTTGCAATTGGTCCGTCAACATGATAATCGAGGCTGAAGACATCCCATCCAGTGTCACCTGGAGAGACCTAACAACAGAAACAAACACATAATTGCAAGACCTTAAGCTTCTTGCTGAAGAACTTGTTAACGCAAAGAAAAAGCAGTAAAATAATGCCCAATTGTTAAAAACTGCTCAACAGTTCTGAGTGCATCTTCTTGTTAACTTCTACAACCTCACCAATTAGGCAATAATGAGCACACAGTAGGTGCTCTGCAAACATCTGGCAATGCATGGTGTATTTCTGAATGAATATTGTGACTATGCGTTTAAAATTCATCACCATTTGCTTACGACGAAAACCCACTGCCTCTAAATATGTTCCAAATCTTTTTATTCCAAGATGACTCTTGCAATATTTTAAGAAAACCAACCGTTCTGCTAATGATCTTCCATCACAACTAAGTAAATAGTGGGTTTATGTTCATAATAACCACACCCTTAAGAAAAGTCATGTCCTACCAAACTGCAACTAAAAGCATCCATTTTCTGATAAATACCATCGTACACCATGTCTTGTGCTCCTGTTGGATTTACTATGAGAAGAAAGCACCATTTTCTAAGCATCTGTGATATGCTGCCCAGCACAGGGCAAGGGTGTCATGCGTTTTCTCCAGCTTAAGCCTAGCAGCCCTGCAAGGCTCCCCGCTGCAAGATGGGCAAACGGAAACCCAGATGGTGGAGAGGGAGCAGATGTGCTGACCAGGCAGTAACAAGCCACAGAGTGGAGTTCCTACTCAGGCTGCCCAGTTTCCAGAAAGATAACGGCTAGCTGTGCCTGAAACAACATGGAAAACACTCGCTAGAACACCCCGGCCCAGTGGGTCCTCGGTGCCGGGGCGGCGTTCCCAACACGCAGAGCCGCAGTACCTCCAGCAGCCGCACGTCCAGCCTTCGCAGGATCTCAGGACTGTCAAACTGTGCGTTGGTGGCTCTGACAGCGGTTTCTAGAATTCCAGTCAAGTTATGCTGATACAAAGTCGTAGCTGGACGGACAAGTTCTGGTCTTAACAAATTTTTTAAAAATTAAAGAAAATATTACTTCAATTCTTAATGAACTTTAAAAAACGTATAAACTATTAAAAGTAAGAGTTCAAATTATAAAAACTCAAAAGACAAATGGGACCAATACAATAATGCGGCAACAAAAGCTTCAGAGCATTAACTGCAAACAGGGCTTACTAATTATTGTGGAGTTACATTTCTTTAAAATCTGAAAAATACTGATTTTGGCCAGGAACATTTGCTCAAGCTTGTAATCCCAGCACTTTGGGAGGCCAAGGTGGGAGGATCACCTGAGGTCAGGAGTTTGAGACCAGCCTGGCCAACATAGTGAAATCCTATCTCTACTAAAAATACAAAAATTAGCCCAGCATGGTGGCGGGCACCTGTAATCCCAGCTACTTTGGAGGCTGAGGCAGGAGAATCGCTTGAACCCAGGAAGCAGAGGTTGCAGTGAGCCAAGATCGTGCCACTACACTGCCTGGGTGACAGACAGAGCGAGACTCCATCTCAAAAAAAAGAAAAAAAAAGAACTGATTTTGATTCAGCTTAAATTGAAAGTACTTAAATGTGCTATACATGTTAACAAAGTTTTCAAACTTCAGACTGGCCTATGAGTAGCATGAGCTGATATAATTTCCTTTTAGACCCAATGGGAAGAGGAGAGGCCTCCATCAAATCAAAGCAATTAGGTACATGGATGTCATGATTCTAAAGGGCCAAGAAACACTACACTTTCAGCAAGCATTTCTTGAGGGTTACTGATATCTGCTTTTATAAATATGAAGCTAACACGTCTCTAATCGGGGGTGACCAAGTTAGGAACACCACTAATCAACTCAGGTAGACGTGTAAGCTCTACAAAACACAGGGCAGAGACAAGGTGAAAAAGACACACAACGTCAAATAAACCTAAAAACTAGGAACTTAAAATACGACATTGAGGAGAAATGAATTTTTCATTTTATAGCACGCATGTGATACTTTCAACATTAAGATTGGGCACAAGGCGAATGCGTTCAGCCGGCTCTATGATGTGACCTATGACACCATCAGTGTCCTCCAAACCTCACTTTGGCTCCTCATCTCCATCTGCACCAACTGACCCACATACACACCCCATGCCCCCATGGCATTAGAGAACATTTCCCCTTTAAAAGCTCATCACCACTCATACTTCAAACAGGTGTTGACCTCATCACAACCAGCATTTACTGTACTAGTGAACTTTCTTTTCTTACAAATGTGTTAGCAGGCATCAGCTATGACTAAGGCATGAGCATGTCACAAGCCAGCTATGGCTGTGTACGCCTCAAAAAGCCACATGAGTTTTCACACGGGAGACTGGCTTCTGGCTAGAAGGTAGGATGTAAGAGCCTGCATGTCTCAAACAGTGCTTCTCAATGTGTAGTCCCCACAAACGCAGCATCACCAGCAGCTGGAACTGGCTGGAAATGCAAATCCTCTACCCCACACCTGAGAATCTCATTCTCTGAAGTGGGCCCACAAGCTACTGCAGCAAGCTTTCTAGTCTGTGATACACTGAAACTTGAGGACCTGAGGCCTAAAACAATTGCTTGGGGAGCACTGGCAGGGTTTAAAGGTAAGTTACTATTTTGTGTCTTAAAGGGAACATTTATCTTACTTTAAGTGTCCTAAAAGGAACACCAGAAAAGAAGTTTCATTCTTCTAAACACTTGGGTGAAAATCTCCAGGCCCAGGCTGTGGACCCCTGGGATGCTCATGCCCAGGCTCACGCTGCCTGGGCCGGGGTCTGCACTGTCTCTAGACCTAGAAGCACAGCAGGCTCTGGTCCAGAACTTGTGGAGAAGGACATACATTTAACTCTGGAAGGGAAGATGCCATGAGAAATGTCAGGGAGCAAAATGAAAAGGTCATAGTTTCATTTTTAGGTGAACATTAACTACAAATATAAAAGTAAAATTCAACTTTAAAATATATATTTTATTTTTCAGCTTTATTTCAAACTCAAGCTAAAGTTAAGTGTGATTTGACCAACTCCTCATACATGAAGACTGTAAGCCCCACAGTTTTGGAAAGAAATGCCAGTTTCTCTTATGAATAAAGCACAGAACATGACAATGATGCTCTGCTGATAACCAGAGAAAAATGAAGGGGCTTTACCTTTTGAAAATTTTACATTCTTTTCAGATTTTATTTTAAAAAGTATGCTCGAAGAATTCAACTCATTTTCTTTTAATATAATTTATTCTTTTAAATACAAGATTCCTTATCATGTCAAATATATTACTTATTTATAGAAATCAAAATAGTGCCTTACTTTAGCAAGTCCATTAAGTGCCTTATAAAGTCTCCTTGACCAAGAAGCAGGTACCGCCTCATTGCCTGCATGTGGTCCAGCAAGCTGTACTTTTTATTGAGAACATCCAACAGGTATTTGCTGGTCTCAAAATAAGCAGCATCAATCTTCCCCTGAAATGCATTTTCCAAGTCTGTGAATAGGTCTGCAGCTGTAAAGAACAACAGGGAAGAGCACACATGCATATGTAATTTGTATTTCCACAGAGGAGAAATGAAGGCACATACATCCAGACTCAGGGCCAACCACTGCCTGTGGCATCAGTAACAGACTGACCGCAGGCACAGACAGCTGGACATTCCACAAAGGAGACCAGAGCCCTAAGACCACACACATGAAAACAATTCTGCCAGCTGGGTTCACAGCAGACACCTACATGTGTGTCTTCATGATTTCCAAATCCCTTAATACACTGTAACTAACCGTAAATCTCACCAAAACACACTGGTAATAGGGCAAGTCAGTGCTGAGTCACCCGTCCATACCCATAAGATGTTTCCATAAATTAGTCTTAAGACCAAAACAGCACATGCAAATAAGCTTTGTGAATTGTACAACTCGCAAAAGTTGAGTAGTAGTATCATGCACCATAGAGTGAACTCTACGGAGATTGGTGGAGATGTCTAGGGGACAAAACCAGATTGTCACCAATAAAGACGCCTGACTCTAAGCAGTAACATAGCGGAAGAAAGCATTTCCATAGCTTTCTATTGAGAAGAAATTGCAGGTGGAGACTATACACATAACAGAGCTTCTTACAGTGCTGATTTACATCTGCAAAGCACAAAACCATTTTTAAAACTTATATGAATACTTCATTTCATTAAACCCACAATAATACTTAAGCTAGACAATAACCCCAGTGGGAGGAACAACCTCAGACTGAGAGAAGGAGGCAAAACGCTAGCTGAAGACTAAGCAAGGACAAGAAAGGCGAGATCTTCTGATTCAGAGTTTAAGTCTCTTTCCACTATCTGAGTTACCCAGTTTAAATATACCAGAAGACTCTTAAGATTTGTTTGTCCTTCCGAATAAGAAAGCAGTTAAGACAGGCCTATTTTAGTGTTGCTATTATTCCAATTTCACACTAGTAGCAAACAACTAAGATGCTCCCAGTGAAGAAACTGTAGTTATCTGAGGATGAGTGAGGTCTGCCTGGAGTCACGACACCACGGAACCCCTTGATGAGCTCACCACAGTCCTGTTTTAAGGGCATGGGGTTCTATTTCCATTGATCTACGTAGTTTTAATGACATAAAGATTTTTCTCTAGAAATGTTTTCATTACACCCTTGTTTGAGTCATTAAAAATTTTCATTCCAAAGAGAAGGTTTGAATCAGTCTTAGCCCAAAGCAGCCTATGAAGACACAGAACCCAGAGCCTCCTCGGAACTCTCTTTGCTCCTTCAGGGTTGAGGCATCTCTCGTGCTCAGTTTTTAAATTTTCACTATTTATTCTTTATTCACACTTTTAAATCTTCATAACTTTTTCACAGATAAAAATGAATTTGACATGTTCTCCTGTTTTTTGACCATTACTAGGAGTCTTTTAGGATTTGCATCTTCTGTCTTCCCAGTTATACTATAAATACTCAACAGCAGAAACTTTGCTCTCCGCAGACCCTGGCAGCCATGGACAGGACGACGGGGACCACAGGAGTCGTCACAGAGAAGCAGCAGCGTCAGCAGCAGCAGCGCCCCGTCACCCTCAGCATCTGCAGGGGACCAATCCCACGACCCCCACAGACACCAAAATTCCCTGATGCTCAAGTCTCTTCTACAAAATGAAGCAATATTTGCACCTAACCTACACACATCTTCCCATATACGGTAAATCATCTCTAAATTACTTATAATATCTAGCGCAATGTACATGCTATGCAAATAGCTGTTAAATTGTCTTGGTTTTTTGTGTATTTTTTTAGTGGCTGCCTTTTTTTAAGTGTTTTTGATCCTCAGTTGATTGAATCTGCAGATGTGGGGCGGTGGGTACAGGGGCCGCCAGCAGCACAGCAGACGCGGTGCTCACACAAGCAGCAGCAACCTTCATGGAGAGCCTCCGGCACAGCAGGCGCATGGGGACGCCCTGTCCCAGGCACAGCCCATGTGTGCGCCGCCTTCTCTAGGAACTATGAAAGGTCACAACTCGAACACAACTGCTCTCCTGGTTCTTCTTCCTTCCACCTCTTCAGTGTAGAAGCATTTCCCCAAAATCTATATTGGATCACATCTATCTCTATTCCAGGAACAATCTGGGGTCTATGTACCCCCCCACAAAAAAATACATGTAAAATTATGTCTGAATGCTTTAGGGTGAGAGGGCCCATGGCTCTCACATGCCTGGAAAGGGTGTCTCCCCTGGACCACACGGGAGCTCTTGCTACACCATCCTGCCTTGTCCTGAGTTACCATGGTGAGATAAGTGCTTCCAAAATCTCTATATTCGGCCCTGACTTTTAACCAGAGTTTCAGTATAGCATTTCCAATACATGCTGGAAGCTTCCACTAGTAAGTCCTCTCAGCTACTGAAAACCAAATTGCCCGAAATGACATTCCTCTCTCAGTGCTATGCTCTCCCGAAATCCCCTGCTGCCCTTCCGACTTGGCCTCACGAGCTCAGAGTTCTAGTGCCATCACTGACTCTTCCTGATCCCCAGCCCTCCTGTCCAGAGAGCCAAGTCCTGTTAAGAGAACATCTGTCATTCCAGTAACACCTGTAGCTAAAACCATACCCAGTAACCTATCCTGCTTCCTACATGAGGTCCTAGTCTGTCTCTCTTTAGTCTGTCACATTATTAAATAATAACTTTTTATTTTCACTACAATCTTTAGATAAGTCTAATTCGTCCTATTTCTCTTCTGCACTTCCATGCACATTATTCCTTTGTCCTGGGCTGCGCAATAACCCACAACCAAATTCTCCTCCTTCTCCATGGCCAGTGCAATTCCTGCCTCTTTCCAAAGCCTTCCTGTTGAGCCTTGCCTGAAAATACCCAAAGCGCTTCACCTGCACATCTCACGTCCCTGATCACTTTCACCTTTATTACTGACTACTGGTTATTTTACTACACATCTCCTCTCCAAGACCAGACTAATAAGCTCATGAAAGGAACAGTCATGGTGAAGTCATTGTCTCTTTCCTGTAGCTACCACAGTGTCCTACGCAAAGTAAATCTTTTGAATGAACCATGACAATATAAATAGCAAATACAGCCAAAACTGGAGAGCTATAAATATAAGTTAGCCATACACAAAACATCATGAAATTACTGAGGGTGGGGCAGGCGGCAAATGGGGAAAAGGAAGAGAACGAGGGAAAGCCTCAGCACTTCCCACAGGCTGAACGCTCATGCGACATTCTGAATGCAATAAACACAATAAGTGCAATAAGTCCTGGCTCTTCTCCAAACAAAGCCTTTGCATCCCAAAGAATAGGCTACCATTAGCAATATTTTTTCTGTTATTTCTTATTTTGGCACACTGCCACTTTATCATTTTAAAACAGCTATACCTATTCCAACACTTACTGTATAACTGTATAAAAAGGAAATTAAAAATTTACACAGTACTATATATATACATACATAATACTATGTATTAAGGTGTATCAGAGAGTAATTCTAATAATCTATAAATCCTATGGTACAAAAAATACTTTTAAGTAATCTGTAATATCAGCACATCATCATCACCTCCACTATCATCACCGCTATCACCATCATCATATCATTACTATCACCATCCATCACAATTATCATTGTCATTACTATCATCACATCACCATCATCATTACCACCATCATCACCATCACTATCATCACCACCATCACTGCCACCACCACGCCATCATCACCACCATCATCACCACCCATCCCCATCATTATCACTATCATTACACCATCACCATCATCACCACCATCATCACCATCAACATCATCAACACCATCACTGCCACCACCATGCCATCATCATCGCTGTCATCACCACCCATCCCCATCATCACTATCATCACACCATCACCATCATTACCACCATCATCACCATCAACATCATCACCACCATCACTGCCGCTACCACGCCATCATCACCGTCGCCACCCATCCCCATCATTATCACTATCATCACACCATCACCATCATCACCATCAACATCACCACCATCACTGCCACCACCATGCCATCATCACCACCCATCCCCAACATCATCACATCACCATAATCACACCATCACCACATCATCACCATCATCATCATCACCATCATCACTACCACCAGCACACCATCATCACATCCCCATCATCCATCCCCAACATCATCACATCACCATCATCACACCACCATCATTACCCCCATCATCATCACCATCAACATCATCACCACCATCACTGCCACCACCACGCATTCATCATCGCCATCATCACCACCCATCCCCAACATCATTATCATCACATCACCATCATCCCCATCATCACACCATCACAATCACTACGTCATCAACATCACTGTTACCATGAGTATCACCATCCTCACATCATCATCAACATCACACCATTGCCATCATCACCACCCCACCAGCATCATCATACCGTCCTGGGGTGACTCTGCAGACTTGGTCACAGCTATCATCTTTGTAGTGGGAGTCTGATCATGACAAACTTGGTGCAAGAAATTTATTGATTTTCCTATCAAAAGGACCTAAAAAGAAAAACATTCTATGATTACTTTTATGTAAATTTAAAACGACTGCCCAAATCTACAAATATTCGTAAGCTACAAATTGGCTATTGATTGAAAACTAACAAGAGCATCTGCTACAGTATGGAGCGAATTCTAGTAACTCAAAGATATATTGAACACATACTATACTGATGTATTCAATTAACATGCACTTACTTCATCTCCAGAACGTTAACAATCTCAAAACGCATGAAATTTTAACTGAAAATTGGTTTTGTCACATAATCTAAGTATACATAGCCATAAAACATCAAAATCACAAAAATCTCTTCTAATCCTACCTTCCTAGACTGATCCATCGTCATAAACGAAGGAATCATCGATTTCCTCAAAGTATACTTGTCGTGCCACAGTCGATCTGTTTTAACTGTTGGATCTGATGCTACAAAAAACTGAAAGCAAAGGGGCATGGAAATGTTCAAGAGTGATATTTATGGCAAAATATTAACCAACAGCAACATCAAAGAGTAAGTTATTCTAGAAAGCCAAGTTCTCCAGACACAGGGAGTCTTACCTATTTATACAATAAAACTTGTATGAAACACAGAAATCTCTCTAAATTGAACTATGTATTTCCTAAACTTTTAAAACTAAAGTATAACAAAAACAAGTTATGTCTTCCTTGGAGATTCAGAATGTCCATTAGTGCCTCTGCAGCATAATACTGAGGCTTCCTGGGCCACACGGAGCTCTTCCTCAGTAACGGTGCAGGCTTTTGGGGTTCCCCTCCCTCACAGGCAGCAGCTGTGTGTCTCCTCCCATCAGTCTGCCTGCCCTTGCAGTCTCTCTTTTGCAAAGCCCCAAAGCCTGGAACACAGAGGTGCCCAGGCCGGCGTCCTCTGTTCACAGACAAGTCCCAAGCTCTATGGGCAGACCTTGCTGTACATGTACCCATGTGTACAAGGGGCCAGCACCAGCCAGGTGGCACTGTAGAAGTGACCCCTGTGTGGCTCCCCCAGGAACCATCTGTGCTCAGGAGCTTTCTTCCTCACTGGCATGCAGCTCCCCTGCCCTGACCCTGACGGGCACCTACATCACTGCCGTTAGAAAGGAAACTGAGCAGTAAGGAGAAAATTCAATTGCTGTTGCTTCCAGTTTATTTGCCACTACAACAATGCAGCCATTCTCATTTTTCAATCATACACCCTAATAGAATTGCACTTTTATTTCTATAAACTTGTTTTATAAAAGCACAACTGCTGAATTAAAGTAGCTTTTAGTTTTTATAGACAATGCCAGGTTTCCTTTCCACACAGCTGTGTAGACTGACGCTCCCACGGGCAAGATGTCCTGTTTTTGCATCCTGGCTCATTTTAGATTTTGCCAGTCAGGTGGAATCATGGTTATCCTATATTGCTGTCATTAACCAAAAATGAAGCCGAGCATATTTTCATAGTTCTAATTGCCATTTGCTTTTCTTCTCCTGTGAATGGTCTTTTCATGCCCTTGACCCATCTTGCTATTCATTTTGTTCTCTCATCAATATACAAAAATTCTTTGTACATTAGGAATAGTGACCATTTGTGAATCATTAAATATTAGAGATTTAATTTTTCCAAGTTAATCATTTGCCATTGTTTATAGTATGGTCCATATTTTAGTTCTGATCTATTTTTTTGTTATATGTAGATAAATGTCAGTCTTCCTTTATGGTTTCTGAGTTTCCTGTCTTCCTAAGATCTTCCCATTCCTAGATTATGAAAATATTGTCCATCATGTTCTTTCAGTATTTCTATTGAGTTATTTTTATTACCTAGATCTGTTTTTTTTTCTTTTTGAGACAGGGTCTCACTCTGTGGCCCAGGCTGGAGTACACTGGCATGATCTTGGCTCACTGCAACGTCTGCCTCCCCAGCTCAAGCCATCCTCCCACCTCAGCCTCCCAAGTAACTGGGACCACAGGAGCACACCACCATGCCTGGCTAATTTTTTGCATTTTTGGTAGAGACAGGGTTTCACCATGTTGCCCAGGCTGGTCTCAAACTCCTGAGCTCAAGCGATCTGCCTGCCTCAGCCTCCCAAAGTGCTGGGATTACAGGTAGGAGCCACCATGCCTGGCCTATTACCTAGATCTTTAATTCCTCTGGAACTTGGTATAATCCTGGCACACAGTATGTTATAAGGGGGAAGTCTACGTCTTCTCCTGGATGGCATTTTTTTCTTTACTGGCCGAGCCGGCCCCATTTAATGAATACACCATCCTTTCCTCTGAGCTAAGGATGCCTCATCAGGAATTGTTAATATCACCAGAATTAATTATATCAACAGATTAAAAGAGGAAATCATTTGACTATATCAAAAAATGCTGAGGAAGCATCTGATAATGCCTCTATTTACATTCTCCAATGATGACCAATTCGTTTTTTATGATCATGAGAGCGTGGATTTAAGCGTGTCCAGTGCTTCCTCCATCACAGTTATGCTCTTCCTGGGGCTCCCCATCTCCTATGTGGGGAGGGGGAGCCTCTTCAAGCCGCTCCTGCGTCCTTCACCCTGGACCCCAGTGGTCTGCCCTACTTTTCTGCTATAGATGGTGCTCTAGGCTTAGCTCTGTCTCTCCCAATACCTAGAATCAGCCACTTCTCCAAGGAGCCCTACTTCCTTTGAGGGAGAAATGGTACCGGGACCATGACCTCAGCACTTGGCAGTATTTTCAATTAAAAGCCAGAAGGCCTAAGACTCAGCACTGCCCTGTGATGCATGGCAGCTGAGTTCTCCAGTCAGACTGTAAAACACATTTCAGTCGTATCACACCCAAAGTGCCTTTTTGGTGATCTTTCCATAAATTCCAAATATCTTTAAAAATTACATAGCAATACAAAATTAACGATCTCTTAGCAAAATGTAATGGTCAAAAGTAACCCAAGAAGCAAGAGAGAGAAGACCCTGAAAACGGTATCTTCAGAAGAAACTGGAAATATAAAATGCTACCACTAAGGCACAGGGTTACTAACACTTTTTAAGACATAATTCTCAGGTTGCTTAACGTATTCTAGGCCACAGAAATACACATAGGATGGCCTCAGTTGATTTCATGAAACTGGCATAACACTAGCACATGTGATTAGAAAAATACCAAAAATATTACAGGACAGTCTCATTTGTGAATATGAATAAACTCTAAATAAAATGTTATACTTGCATTACTGGAATAAAATATTCTTCGTCAGCATATATTATACTTCTAATATGCTATGCTAAATGTCTTAAAAATAAGGGAATATATAAATGAATTACAAAATATTACCATGTAGTCATTAAAAATAGATTGTTCTTAACTACCACAGCCCTTTCCAACAATCTGATGAAAAGTATAGTTCTTCCCAGGAAAAAATCGCATATACAACTGACCCTTGAATCACACCAATTTGAACTGTGCAGGTCCACTTATAGGTGGATGTTTTCCAACCAACGGCGCACACAGAAACTTAGCATCCTCGGGGTGTGAAACGCACTTGTGCGGGAGGCCCGCTTTCTCAACCCACAGCTTCCACCGGCCGACTGCAGGACATGAGTATGTGTGGATTTTGGGATCCACAGGGGTCCTAGAACCAATTCCCCTCGTAATCCATGGGACGATTATATTCACAAAATAGAGTTTCAGAGATCATTTTAATAAGCCTTGGTGTCAAAAAAAAATTTAATGGCATAAAATAATGTTCATTATTTACTTGAACAAGTTGACAATATACTACGCATACGATACACACAAATACACAGAAAAAATCAGTATATACAAATATTAACAGAATGTGTCTGGTCCTGACAGGGTTACTGGAGAATTTTAACTTTATCCTCTGTATGTGCTTATGTGATCAACATTGTTTAAACTGCAAATATTTTTCTATTAGAAAAAAAACACTGTTTAATAAAAGAATCAAGTAATTCTAGCCAAATACTGAACACATGCTACCAGTAAATTGTTGTTTTTTAAATAACGTCATTTTCCCAGGGCAACCAACCAAAAATGAATTTTTTTCTTTCACAGAAATCTACTTCCAAGAGTAAGTATTTCAGGAAACAAAATTTTAATGATGTCAAAATCTTCTATTTGATCCTTTTAAGGGCCAGACACTATCAATTATGTACAGCCAATCTCCTGGTAAGTAGGCACATGAATAAGTGCCAACATTTTTATGACCATAGGGAAGAGGCTGCTACGTTTATTTTCAACTAAAATGTCTTATCTTTAAGTATCAATGTAAATGACTGAAGCATTCACTGATCTATTTTAGCCTTTTGAGATCTATATTGCCCTTCAGGGGTAAACAGCAGTACTATCACGGAGGCGTCATCGACTTAACCTAGACTTCAATTGTCCATGACAGAAATAAGCCCCCGTTGAGTAATCTCGGCAGTGACGAAGTCACCGCGCTCATGCTGGGACTGCTCTGTAGCTTGCCATGCTACAGATTAGATTAACTGCATATAAATTGTATGTCTGTTATTCAGTTAGACAGAAGAGCTCGTTTCTACAGACAACACACTAATTTATCCTAATAGTTGGAGTACAGCCGGATTTTTATCAGTATGAACAATAAAGAAAATGTAAGCCATAAAAAACCTCAGGCAATTCAGGCATGTTTAGAAGTTATGAAAGCACTGCTTCATCTAAGGGCAAAGGAGCATGCAATCACTCCAGCAGCAAACATCTCGTAGCAAGCACACAGCTTGGGTACGCTTTAGAATATAATTAATTCTGTGAAAAATATAGAGTTATAGAGGGAAAAAAACCAAGGTCAGAATATAATTGCGATACGCTTTTATTTTACTAAGGCATTTTCCACTCAAGGTTCTTTAATTTTCACCATTATGTCAAACGCAGAAAGAATTAAGAAAAAAAATAAAACATAATTGTACCATGATTTCTCATTAATTGCTGGACAAATGCCAAGGCCTCCCTACTAAAAACAGAAATGAAGAGGGTAATTTTCTTAGCAAGCAACTTCTGAGAATCAGATCCATTAATACAGACCATAAAAAATTCCAACTTCAACTTGCCAATCACGCAGGCAGCTACCAAGAGATTTCTCCTAAGGCCACACTTAGATACAATAAAATGGCAACCGGACCAGGGGAATGGGTAAATTGGTCAGATTCTCTGTACAACAAAGGATAATTTACAGGGTAAACTTATAATTACAATATTTCAAGAGGTATGGCATAAAAATTCCAAAACATTAAGATATTTTACATGGTAAACTTTTAAATTTCAGTAACACAGCAACAGTGCTAAATAGATCCAGAGATATTCTATCTTATCCATACTTTGTGGATCTTCAAATTCAAGAACGTAGAGTTTTAGAATATTATCACAGCATTTAAGTAAACATTTGAATCAAGTCTGGAAATCTAATTT
This sequence comes from Homo sapiens, assembly GCF_000001405.40. Lineage (NCBI taxonomy): Eukaryota > Metazoa > Chordata > Mammalia > Primates > Hominidae > Homo > Homo sapiens. The sequence continues at coordinate 112,532,452 of NC_000013.11, forward strand.
TGAAAGCAAGTTTAATTTTAACTTGACCCATCTTTTCTTGCTGCTAGTTGAAGCACCTAATCTTTACTATCCAAAGGGCAAATGGAAACTGAGTGGTTCTGCCTCTAACTTGAATATATTGGCATAACTTGTTTACCTTAAGTTTATGGGGGAAGAAGCCAGGTTAGCTACAGAAAGGACTCACCATGCAGCTTCTCTAGATAGTAGTAACACAATGGAAAAAGTTGGTTTACTTTTACAGTACTTACATTTAAGAGCAAAAAATATAAACTTTTCCCCAAATGCTGAAAGTGCTTTCCAACTTAATCATTCGGAATACCTTCCAAACTCTTATAGCCTTCTACTTTTGTCTGCCTTTGCAAATATACAAGATATAAATAAAATAAAAACAAAATTTAGATACCATTCTTAGCACTAGTGGGCTAAAGGTCTATATCCTTTTTATTGTTAAAAAGTAAAATCCCAGATGTTAGACTTAGAGGCAGCTTTCAATGATACCACAGCAGACATAGCAAAGCCCAGATGTCATCTGGAAGTTTTTCTGTCATCTTGCAGTTGCAAATCAGCCAAGCCCAGAGGCAGCTGGGCAGAGAGGCAGTGCAGTGTTCAGCCATGATTGGCACTCAAAGAGCTTCCAGGAAGGAAGACAGGAGAAAGCCTTCACACGTGGAATGAGCTCTGCTGGGCCATCAACAGAGAGACCGAGAGGTCCCTGAGACTGGCAGGAGCCCAACGCAAGGAAGTCCCCGAGGAATAGCAGTAGGCTCTGGGCAGACACAGCCAAGAGGGAGACGCACCGCGTCACCATTCAGCAGGCATCCACCGACTCCCAGGCAGGAGGAACTGGAGGTCAAGGTGAATTCAGGCTTCGGGTCACTACAGAAGGTGCAGCTCTCACACCAGCGCCATGCCCAGCCCATGCATCTCTCATGTTTGCAAAAGCACAGGTCAAAGGAAAGCCCTGGGTCCTGTTCCAACTTGGGCCTCCCTTAACCAGGGCCACAGACAGACAGCACAGCAGGGGTCTGTGGACTTGGGAGGAAAAATAATCTCATCTTTATTTTCACTAACCTCACTAACCTCACTAACCTCTATCTGAAATTTATCTCTTCCTTCAATTATAAATGTGACTAACAAACCACAGCACCCGTGCCTTTGTCGTCAACAGGAACCACACAGTTCACATCACATGTTGAGCTGTTGCAGGTGCTTTGAAATAGGCACTAACCCTTAATGTGCTAAATTTTATTTATTTATTTAAAAAATAAGCCCGCATATTACCACATCACTGACTTGATATTCAGTTTGGACACACTAGATAAAGCAGAGTTCTTTCTAAGAGAATTTCTTTTTTTTTTTTTTTTTAATTTTCTATTTCCATAGGTTTTGGGAAACAAGTGGTGTTTGGTTGCACGAGTAAGTTCTTTAGTGGTGATCTGTGAGATTTTGGTGCACCCATCACCCGAGCAGTGTACACTGCACCCAATTTGTAGTCTTTTATCCCTCACTCCCTTCCCACCCTTTCCCTCCAAGGGAATTTCTTGGAGCCTGCACTACTGCACAGAGGATTGCGAGTGTGGAAGGGAGATGAGTATGCAGAGCTGGTGTGGAAGGAGGTGGCACTCTGAACTCAGCCACCTCCCATCACCTCAAGTTTAGAACAAACTTTGCAGGTCCCCGCCCGACTCCGGGGGCTGCTGCAGGGAATCGGAGGGTGGATAGACCAGGGGTCCTCAAGTTTCAGTGCACAGCAGAAACACCGCGGGGCTTTGGAAATCCTCATGCCCATATCAATCCACATTAAAACTACTGCGGCCGGGCGCGGCGGCTCACGCCTGTAATCCCAGCACTCTGGGAGGCCGAGAGGGGTGGATCACGAGGTCAGGAGATCGAGACCATCCTGGCTAACACGGTGAAACCCCATCTCTACTAAAAGTACAAAAAATTAGCCGGGCGTGGTGGCAAGGCGCCTGTGGTCCCAGCTAATCAGGAGACTGAGGCAGGAGAATGGCGTGAACCCGGGAGGTGGAGCTTGCAGTGAGTCGAGATCGCACCACTGCACTCCAGCCTGGGCGACAGAGGGAAACTCCGTCTCAAAAACAAAACAAAACAAAACAGAAAAAACTCCTGCAAGGCCCCATGTGTGGCAAACAGATGTGCAGCCTGAGAGCTACAGAGCCCTACTTGCGCTCGGCGACGCCATGGTGAACAGGAGCACCTCAACCTAGCAGGGAGGAAGAAGACCCGGGAAAGGAGCCACAGGAGCTACCGTAGCCGGCATCCCTCACCAAGCGTTTGTGTTTTCGGAACTTCTACATTTTTTTTTAGAGGAAATTCACATAATATAAAAGTCACCATTTTAAAGTGTGCAACTTAGTGGCTTCTAGTATATTCACAATATGGTCGTGCGACCATTCCTATGATCTAACTCCAGAAGATTTTCATCAGCCTGGAGAGAAACTCCGTACCCATTAAGCAGTCACTCATTCCTCTCTGCCTCCCCAGCCCCAGTCCCTGACAACATTAACTACTTTCTATCTCTACGCATTTGCCAATTCTGGACATTTCATACGAATGGAATCATACAATATATGGCCTTCTGTGTCTGGCTTACTTCACAGAGCACAATGTTCTCAAGATTCACCCACACTGTAGCAAGTATCAGATTTTCATTTTTTTGTTAAGGCTGAATAATATTCCATTGTATGGATATACGTCATTTTATTTATCAGTTCATCAGTTGATGGACACTGGACCTGTTTTCACTTTTGACTATTATAAATGATGCTGCTATGAATGTTCATAGACAAGTTTTTAGACGAATGCGTGTTTTCATTTCTTTGGGTATATACCTAGGAGTAGAACTGTTGGGTCACATGGTAAATCCATATTTAATTTTTTTAGAAACTGTCAAACTGCTTTCCAGAGGGGCTGCACCATTCTGTGTTTCTAACCAGCAACGATGCAGTTCCCAATTTCTCCAAATCCTTGCCAACACCTGTTATTTTCTGGCTGCTGGTTTGTTTTTGTTAACAAACCTAATGGCTGTGAAGTGGTATTTAATTGTAGTTTTGATTTGCATTTCGCTATAATAATAATCTTTTCCTGTGCTTATTGTCCATTTTTGTATCTTCTTTGGAGAAATATCTTCTCAAACCCTTTTTAAACTGGGTGATTTTTCTTGTTGAGTTGTGATAGTTCTTTATGTATTTGGGATGGGATACTAGACCATTATCAGGTAAGTGATTTGGAAATACTTTTCTCCCACTCTGTGTTTTTTTCACTTTCTCAAAAGTGCCCTTTAATATACATAGTTTTTATTTTGATAAAGCCTGATATACTTGTTCTCACTGCTGGTGCTTTTGATGACATATCTAAGAAACTGCTGCCAAATCCATGGTCCCAAAGATTTACCACTATATCTTCTTCTAAGTTTTATAACTTTGGCCCTTAAATTTAGGTGTCTGATCCATTTTGAGTTAATCTTTACATATGGTGTATGACAGAGATCCCAATGCATTCTTCTACATGCATCCAGTTGTCCTGTTATCATTTGCTGAATACGCTTTTTATCTCCATTGAGTAATCTTGGCACCTTTATTGAAAATCAATAAAAATGAAGATGTACTTCTGGGCTCTCGCTTCTAGTCCATTGACCCAGAGGTCTATCATTATGCCAGTATCACATTGTTTTGATTACCTTGCATTGTAGCATGTTTTAAAATCAGAAAATTTGTTCAACTTTGTTCTTTTACAAGATTGTTTGGCCTCAGGGCCCCTTGTACTTCCCTGTGAATTTGAAGATCAGCTTTTCCATTTCTGCAAAGGCTGTTGGAATTTTGATAGACATTGCATTGAAAGTGTGGCTCGTGTTGGGGGAGTACTGCCATCTTAACAATATCAAACATTGAAAGTGTGTCTCATGTTGGGGAAGCACTGCCATCTTAGCAATATCAAATCTTCCATCCATAAGCACAGAATGTCTTTCCATTTATTTAGGCCTTTTTCATTCCTCTCAACAATGATCTATTCTTTTCAGAGTACAAGTCTTGCACTTCCTTGGTTAAATTTTTTACTATGTATTTAACTTATTTAGATGATATTTTAAATGGAGTTATTTTCTTAATTTCATATTTGGATTATTCATTGAAAGTATATGGAAATATAAATGATTTTTGTTATTGAGCTTGTATCCTGCCAATGTGGTGAACTTATACATTAGACAGCTATACATACACCTCTCTACCTATATATAATCTTTATTATAAAGTATGTGTGGATTCTTTAGTTTTCTATAAATCAGATCAAGTATCTGTGAACAGAAATGGCTTTACTTTTTTTTGGAGACATGGTCTCACTCTGTCACCCAGAGTGCAGTGGTACAATCATAGTTCACTGCAGCCTCAACCTCTTGGGCTCAAGTGATCCTCTGACCTCAGCCTCCCAAGAAGCTAGGACTACAGGTGTGCACCACTACACCTGGCTCATTTTTTCTTAATCTTTTGTAGAGAGGAAGGTCTTGCTATGTTGCCCAGACTGGTCTCAAACTCTGACCGCAAGCCGTGCTCCTGCCTTGGCCTCCCAAAATGCTGGGATTACAGCTGTGAGCCACTGCACCCAGCTGGTTTTACTTTTTCTTTTCCAATCTGGCTATCTGGATGCTTTTACCTTTTTCCTTTTTTTTTTTTTTTTTTTTTAAAAAAAAAAAAAACCTTGACTAATTATCCTGGCCATAACTTTCTCAACAATGCTAAAAGGAAGTGGTAAGAGTGAACACCCTTGTCTTGTTCCTGACCTTATGAAGAAAGCATGGAATCTTTAAGTATGATGTTAGCTGTTGGTGTTTCACAGATGCCCTTTATTAGTTATGTTCCTTTCTATTCCAAGTTTGACTGTTTTATCATAAAAGGGTACTGAATCTCATCAAATGCTTTTTCAGCACCAGTTGAGTTGATCATTTTTTCTTTCACTGCCTTAGTAAGATGTCTTACATTGATTGACTTTGATTATATTGAACTACCCTTGCATTCTTGGGATTAATTCCACTTGGCCATTGTGTACAATCCTTCTACTATGCTGATGAATTCTGTTTTCCAGTATTTTACTGAGGATTTTTGCATCTATATTCCTAAGAACTACTGGTATGTAGTTTTTGTGTGTTGTATCATGTTGACTTCATAAAATGAGTTAAGTAGTATTCCATCCTATTCTATTTTTTTAAGGAATCTGAGAAGGGTTGCTGTTAATTCTTTAAATAGGATTGCTGTTAATTCTTTAAATATTTGGTAGCACTCACCAGAGAAGCCATCGGCTCCTGCACTTTTCTTTGCTAAAGTTTCCTGATTAATGATTCAATCTCTTTACCTGTTACAGGTCTATTCAGGTTTTCTATTTCTTTGTGAATCAATTTTGGTAGTCCGTATGCTTCTAGGAACTCTCTCAAGTTTTATCTATCTAGAAATGTCTTGATTTTGACATCATTTTTGAATGGGAATTCTGTTGGATACAGAATTCTTGAATCATCATGGTTTTGCTTTCCGCCTTTTGAATGTATTCTCCCCCACCTTGTGGCCTCCACAGTTTCTGATGAGAAATCGGCTATTCATCTTATTGAGGATCCCTTCTGTGTGATGGGTTTTCCCACCTGCCACTTTGAAGATTTGCTCTGTCTCTCTACAGTTTGGTTATATAGGTTGAGTATCCCTAATCTCAAAATCTGAAATCCAGAATGCTCAAAAAATCCAAGCATCTTGGACACCAGCATGACACTGACAGGAAATGTTCATTGCAGTATTTCTGATATCAGATTCTCTGACTGGGGATGCTGAACATAAGTATAATGCAAGCATTCCAAAATCCAGACTCCAAAACTTCCGGTCCCAAGCATTTTAGATAAGAGATATTCAACCTAAATGTGTCTTGCTGTGGTGAGTTTATCCTACTTTTGAGAGTTTGCTGAGCTCCTTGAATGTGTAGATTAATGTTTCTCATCAAATTTGGGTCTCTTTGCTCTGTTCATTTTCCTTCCCTCTTTTAACTTTCTGTTCTCAGACTGGATGGTCTCAATTGACCTAAACTCAAGTTGCTGACTTTCTTCTCCCTGTTCAAATCTGCTGTAGTGCCCCACTAGTGAGTTCATTCATTTCAGTAATTGTCCTTTTTAACTCCAGAATTTCTATTTGGCTCTTTTTTACAATTTCTATCTCTTTATTGATATTTTGCACTTTTATTATAAAAAGAAGCATTTTCTTATATAGATATACAATAAATTACTATGAGATGAAAGATTATAAAGCTCACTTATAACTATTTAGAGTTAACCACACACTTGAAAAAAATGCAATTTTACAACAAAGTTATAATTCCCATTAGGGAAACTAAGGAAAAATTAACCTATAGAAGAAACAAAGAGACAAAATTTCCACATTTTAATTACATAGTGATCAAACACACAATGTAATTGTCTAAATTACCAAATTCTTAGGGTAAAGATGTTATTAATACTTAGAGTAAATTAAAGAGAACCTCACCAAAACTAATCAAAGACTTAAATGGATATTTATAAATGTAGGGTCTAACAGAAAAAACAGATGTCCGAGAACTACAAACAAATCAGACAAAGCCCACAGACATCTTAGGGACAGAAGATATTCAAATTTTATCCAATGTTCTCCTTAAAGTAGCAGCAGATACGCTATACACTTCCTATTGGTCTGATGTAATCTTCACACATACACAAAATCACACCAGACAAGCACTATCATACACACATCTGGAAGATGGGGAAGGGAAGGCCCAGAGAGGTGAAGGTATTTGCCCAGGATACAGAGTCATCAGAACCTGAAGCCAACAGCCAGACCCAAATCAGACTTCAGAACCTAAGCTCTTGAGCTCAAACCCACAGAGATAAAGTAGTCAGATGAGTTACAATGAGATAAACCGGTAGGTGGTATATGCCCACTGGTATTGCAGTACTAAACATAGCAGACCCATGGCAAAGAACACAATATACTTTATGTCAAGAAAGATTAATTTTAGCTCCATCAATCACAATGCATTTCTGAAAAAACCTACAAGCAAAATTAGTGAAGCAAACAAGAGTATCTCAGGTGTAAAGAGCTATTTGGACAAAATGACTAGCAAATTTAAAAATTACAAATCATGAACTTCCTAGAGCTCTATCTAATCTCAGACCCTAGGTACGTGCATCAGTAAATACAGAACCTTTAAAATAAAAAAAAGACAGGGATCATGACATCATTGTAGTAGCCTATCGGCATTTGGGTGGTCTTGGGAAAGGATACCTGGGAATGACGACATCAATGTAGTAGCCTATGAGCATTCAGGTGGTCTTGGGAAAGGATACCTGGGAATGAGGACGTCAATGTAGTAGCCTATGAGCATTCAGGTGGTCTTGGGAAAGGATACCTGGGAGTGATGACGTCAATGTAGTAGCCTATGAGCATTCAGGTGGTCTTGGGAAAGGATACCTGGGAGTGATGACGTCAATGTAGTAGCCTATGAGCCTTCAGGTGGTCTTGGGAAAGGACACCTGGGAATGAGGACGTCAATGTAGTAGCCTATGAGCATTCAGGTGGTCTTGGGAAAGGACACCTGGGAATGAGGACGTCAATGTAGTAGCCCTATGAGCATTCAGATGATCTTGGGAAAGGACACCTGGGAATGAGGATGTCAATATAGTAGCCTATGAGCATTCAGGTGGTCTTGGGAAAGGATACCTGGGAGTGATGACGTCAATGTAGTAGCCTATGAGCATTCAGGTGGTCTTGGGAAAGGATACCTGGGAGTGATGACGTCAATGTAGTAGCCTATGAGCATTCAGGTGGTCTTGGGAAAGGACACCTGGGAATGAGGACGTCAATGTAGTAGCCCTATGAGCATTCAGGTGGTCTTGGGAAAGGATACCTGGGAGTGATGACGTCAATGTAGTAGCCTATGAGCATTCAGGTGGTCTTGGGAAAGGACACCTGGGAATGAGGACGTCAATGTAGTAGCCCTATGAGCATTCAGGTGATCTTGGGAAAGGACACCTGGGAATGATGACATCAATGTAGTAGCCTATGAGCATTCAGGTGGTCTTGGGAAAGGACACCTGGGAATGAGGACGTCAATGTAGTAGCCTATGAGCATTCAGGTGGTCTTGGGAAAGGACACCTGGGAATGAGGACGTCAATGTAGTAGCCCTATGAGCATTCAGATGGTCTTGGGAAAGGACACCTGGGAATGATGACATCAATGTAGTAGCCTGTGAGCATTCAGGTGGTCTTGGGAAAGGACACCTGGGAATGTTTTGCATTAATTCTTGCAACTTTTCTAAGTCTAAAATTAAATCAAAAGGAAAACATTTAAAAGTGAAAATCTTTGCCAATGAGGCAAGACCTGAGGTAAGTTCATTAATAATTTGAGATGCTGATTTGAATATTATACTCAATAGACATGCATTATTTTATTTTTAAATAAATAAAACATGAACATTAGCCTTATACATATTCTAAGCAACAAGAGTGCTTCAAAAAAGTTTCCCAAATTTAAACCACACTAGTCCTAAGGGTCTGCTTTTGTCTCACCTCAATGAATCAAAGTTTAAACATATTAAAGAAAAAAGTACAGAAGAAAATCGATTTATCAGTTTTTGCCCAATTCCCTCTGCATTCCCTATCAACTCTCCAGTCCCATCATTACTATCACGAAAGGAAATGAATACACAAGCCTGAATAACACATAAGGCAGAGAATCAATAAAGAACTCGCGGTACCTTTAAGGACTCCTTTAAAAACACAGACAAATGGCCAGGCGTGGTGGCTCTCGCCTGTAATCCCAACACTTTGGGAGGCCGAGGCGGGTGGATCACCTGAGGTCAGGAGTTCAAGACCAGCCTGGCCAACATGGTGAAATCCCGCCTCTACTAAAAATATGAAAATTAGCTGGGCGAGGTGGCACGTGCCTGTAATCCCAGCTACTCAGCAGGCTGAGGAAGGAGAATTGCTTGAACCCAGGAGGCAGAAGTTACAGTGCACCAAGATGATACCACTGCATTCCAGCCTCGGCGGCAGAGCAAGACTCCGTCTCAAAAAAAAAAAAAAAAAAATACCACAGACAAATATAATGAATTGGTGGTTCAACTAAGGAGTACTTTAAAAGCCTGGTTGTGAAAAATATGCAAACTAAATTAATCTCAAGACAGAAGTATTGCAAATTACAAATTAGGTACTAAAGTCAAAAAAGACAATTAGCCAGCTTGTGGCTTTGACTTTTGTTCTAATTATTAGCAATATATATCCTAATAGTATGAAAACTCAGACAATTCCCACTCCAATCTCTGAAGAAAACCAGGTTTATCAATTGATCAGCAATCATTAGAAAAGTTGAAATCGCCCAAATTCATACTATAACTCACACACTAATTATTGAACGAAGAGGATACAGATTCTTTAATTAAATAAAAAGGTAAACTTTCTCCTTTTTATAATCCTAATTTTTAAAGATTGCCTTAAAATATCATCTTTTACTTCTGAAGGGTACAATTATAATGGATGATAAGAAGATACACCTCAAAACTGAGAACAGTAACACACAGAACTTTTTATTTCTGGTGTACATGCTGGTCAAAGTATTTCTCATAAATCTACACCACTAAGCATGGCTGAGAGTAAACAAATCATAGTAATATAAAAAGAACATACGTTCTGAAAATAAAACATTGATTTTTCATTTTCTTAACCACAAGATCACTTAGACTCCCATAAACTAATTAAATAACAAATTTTTTAAACTCAAATAACTTGGCTTATTGTGATAATGGTCAGGAGATTTAATATGCATTCTAAATAATCAATTGCACAGGTTTTTAAACAGCTATCAAAACTCACCTCATCCTGTAATTATGGAATAACTGAACATAAATGCATTAAAAATGGCAAGCCTCACTCTATCAAAGGAAACGCCCATTACCTACATGTCCTTAGCACCTTACCATTGTGATAGATAAAAACTAAATAGTACAAGAATTTAAGTCTCCATTTAATCTTGAAAAATTAAGTCTAGAACTTTAAGTCAATTCAATAATTTTATGATACTTTCCAGAAACAGACCTAAAAATAAGGATTCAAATTTAAATGATGAATACCAAATATACCTCTATAGATGGCATGTATATGTATTTTAACATTGAACATTATATAAAATTTAAACTAAGAATTGAGCTACCTACAGTGTCAGAGGTCAGTATAAAGTTTACCTTTAAGGAGAAGGGGACAATGATGGGTACACAATAGGGGTACTGATAAGTGCTACTTCTTGACTTCGATAGTGACTTAATACAAATTGCATATAAAAAATTAAAAATATAAAATAACCTAGATTTAAACAAAAGGTACAGAGCTTAAGAGTGTAGGGCCAGGCACGGTGGCTCACGCCTGTAATCCCAGCACTTTGAGAGGCCAAGGTGGGCGGATTGCCTGAGCTCAGGAGTTCAAGACCAGCCTGGGCAACAAAGTGAAACCCCGTCTCTACTAAAATACAAAAAAACTTAGCTGGGCGTAGCAGCGTGCGCCTGTAGTTCCAGCTACTTGGGAGGCTGAGGCAGGAGAACTGCTTGAACCCCAGAGGTGGAGGTTGCAGTGAGCTGAGATCGCGCCACTGCACTCCAGCCTGGACAACAAAGCGAGACTCCATCTCAAAAAAAAAGAGTGTGGCGGTCCATGCAGGTATGCAGAACCTGGGAAATGGACACAATTCTTCATCTTAATGGAGGAAGGGGTTAAAAAAGAAAGTTTACTAGTGATTTTAACATTTAGAAAGATACAGGCTCACAAAAGCTCTGAAAAACTTGAGGTAACCATTAGTAAAATAAAACACACCTTACAAAGCTTCAGTTTTTATTTTAAAAGAAAGTTCATACAACAAAAGGAACATAAGAAGCCTGAAAATCCTTTTTAATCTCCAAATCCAATATGCAATCCCTATAAAAATTTTTAAAAGAACTTTTAACGGAATTGACAGGCTGATTCTAAATTCATATCTAAGTATAAATGTGCAAAAACAGAGAAATTGTGAAAAGAACAAAAGGTAAGTACTGCCTCTACCAAATTTCAAACCATAGAGTCATTTAAATCATATTGACAGATGAAAAGCAAACAGAAAAAATACAATCCAGAAACAGATTCAAGTATATAGAGAAATTTAGTTTATGATAAAACGTAGTAAAACTTGTGTGGAGTCTCAGTTAAGGCTCAGTCAACAGTACAATGATTCTTCGTACTATTTTTGCAACTTTTTTATAAGTTTGGAAGAATGTGAAAAAAAGTTAAAAGATATAATTTTTTAAAAGAGCAATTCCATATATAAAAATTTGAAAATATAAAACCATCCATGATTCACTCCTAAAAAGAAAAACAAATCCATAAGAAAAATGGGCAAAGGAAACTAACAGGTAATCAGAAGAAGAAATAAAAAAATAACCTATAAGCACGAAAAGCTGGTCAGTCTCACTAGTAATCAGGGAAATGCAAATAAACACCCCAGTGAGATGGCACATTTCGTGCATTAGGTGAAAATATTCTTATTAACATTGGGTAAGACAAAGTGTTGACAAGGACGCGGGAATGAGGACCATAACAGGAAGCTGATAGCTGCGTCAACCTGGATAGGCACTCCTGAGTGCAACGTGGCAGAAGCAGTTTAAAATATGCATCCCCACAGGCCGGGCGCAGTGGCTCACGCCTGTAATCCCAGCACTTTGGGAGGCCAAGGCGGGCAGATCACAAGGTCAGGAGATCGAGACCATCCTGGCTAACACAGTGAAACCCCGTCTCTACTAAAAATACAAAAATTAGCCAGGCATGGTGGCGGGCACCTGTAGTCCCAAGCTACCTGGGAGGCTGAGGCAGGAGAATGGCGTGAACATGGGAGGCAGAGCCTGCAGTGAGCCGAGATTGAGCCACTGCACTCCAGCCTGGGCAAAAGAGCGAGACTCTGTCTCAAAAAAAAAAAAAAAAAAAAAAAAATGCATCCCCACAACCCAGCAATCCCACCTCCCAGAACCCACGTTAGAGAAACTCATAAATACGTGCAGGGAGACACATAAAAGGATGTTCATTTTAATACTGTTCATAAGATTAAAAACTACAAAGAAAACATCATCTCCATCAACAGGACAGTAGCTAGATAAAAACATATCTGTCCCTACTGTGAAATAATATGCAGTAATAAAGAAAAACTACACACACCATCGGGAAAGTGCTACAAGACAGGCTAAGCAACTCGCCCAACGCAGATGCACACACGCCATGCCGCCCATGTGTTTCAAAAGCACACAGAGCACCAGAGACTCCATTCTGCCCAAACGCTTGCTTTAAAAACAACTTGTAACAGCACAAACAATAAATTAGAAAACAAATTGAATGTAATACAAACCTCACGCTTGCTTATTTGCAATTTCATCCATGAGAAACGGCAGGAGAACACAGGCCACTGCAGCCAGCAGCGCCCACACAAGGCACACCTGTTTCAGATGGCCAGGCCTCCGCCACTTCCCGCCACACACAGTCTGCGGCCCCGACGGCCCACTCCCACAAGAAAGCGCCAGGGTTTTTCCAAGGCCAATGTGATATTTATGGCAGTGCTTATGTATTTCTTAAACTTTAACGTGTTAAACTGCACTACAACTTTTGTTAGATTCCTGTCTTACTGACAAAGGTTTTGAGTGTGGTGCCCCTCACCCTACCTTCCACCAAAAGCCCTATCATTTCTATCATGTGATTTACACAACAGTGATTTTTAAGCAGCACATGCTGCGTTACAGAACTGACCCTATTTCAATAGCTACATACACAACTAACTTGTTTCATTAAGCTGTTAGCACCAAAGTGAGTTTGCAAAGTAATCATGGCAAAGCAGCAGAATCTGCGATGATGACTGCCCCAAGACTCAGGAGGCCTCGTCCTGTTTTGCCATCCACGTGCTAGTAAACTCGGACGAGTGATTCCACCTTGCTGAGGAATAAACTGGGACAATTCTCCACTAACCAAAGAACTCGTGAACTTATCTGCTGTTCAGTGAGATAACCAGCTGTCGAGGCACTGTGTAAAATGTATATGGTATTCAATGGAAGTGCAGTTGCATTCCTGTTAGGAGAACATGGTAATCATGAGGGGAAAAATGAAACAGCATAACTGCGTGCCCATGCTTTTTAAATCCAAGTCTCAGAACCGAACACCGATCCTTACTTCGTGGTAAGTGTCCTCAAGCTCCCCATCATATATCCAGCGGTACAGGAAGCTCAAAACAGGATGAGACACGAGGCTGAGGATGTGCTGCACCAGAGACCGCATGTACGGGTCTCCTGTTTTTGTGTAGGCGTGGACAGCTGAGGCCAGCTCACCTCCTTTCCTTCCTGGGAGAAATGGAGGAAAATACACAAAAACATCCACATTTACACTCATAGTACACACCAGTCACTTCTCACCAACCAAAGACGCCCAAGTAATTGAGATAAAGAGCATTTGTTTTCTTACAGTTAATACCACTTTGGACCTAGAAGCAGCAGTAACATGTCATGATTCAGAAACCAGGAGGTCCAGACTCCAACCCTGGCTTTACACAAGTGTGTGAGTCACTCTTCTCTTTAGGACTGCTGAGGAATTTTTCAGAAACAAAAAGTAGCAAAAAATTGCCGGCTACACAATCTAAAGTTCACATGACTTTTCATGCCTTTTCTACTTGAGACATACTAAGATTCACGCTTCATGGTGCAAAGGAGGGCACAAACATGTATGAAAAGCAGAAGTCCTGTGAATCCATCCTTGTACTTTTTTTTTGGTATGGTATGCTAGCCCCAGCCCATTAACTGGTTTCATAACCCATTAACTGGCTACAACAGACAGTGTGAGAAACACCGCTCTATGTAGAGAGAAGAGGCCCCCCGGGCCTTGGCCAGAACTACACAGTATGAAGGACTGGGAGTGGCAAAAATCCGGTCTGGAAATAGAAGCACATGAAGAGTTCTTATGTTATGCTAAAAATTCAAGATTTTATTAGACCACTGGTAGATTTTAGGGAGAGGAGTGACAGGATCTGATTTTAAGAAGATGGCTCTGGTGTGTGTACACAAAGTGGGGCTGTGAGATTGAATATGGGGATCGGACAGCAGCTCTTATAACAGTCCCTACAGCACCAAGGCCAAGCGCACAGGCTGAGCAGAGTGAAGACAGTGAAGGACCCCAGGGGCCCGCTGGACACAGAAAGTGACAGAGGAGTTTGGGGGATCCAGTTCCGGAGAGGTGCTGGGAACTGGAGAAAACGCTGGCGTTTATTTACTGTGCTCCACTTCTCTCTTTTTTGAGGGAAGTGCCAAGAGGTGAGAGAGGAAGGTGTGCAGACAGCAAGATGACCAATGGGGCCCTGCAGATTCTGGGGAACACCCTGGGCAGAGGATGGCAGTGAGAAGGGAACTCTTGTGTGGCAGATGGCCAACTCGCCCATCTCATGTCATCCTAACAACCCTAAGAAGTAACTGCTACTAGGATCTCAATGTTACAAACGAGGGAGAAGGCAAAGAGGTTCTTGGCCAAGGTAGCACAAACAATGAGAAAAAATGTCAGAAAGCAACTAGCAATACAGAACCTAGAGCCAGAGAGGCCAAAGCAAGACATGCAAATATGGGAACATCTGACCGAGAGTCACCAACATGGTCCCTGACTGCAGAAGGACTAAAGGCAAAAAGCAAAATGCAAGGAAAGGCGACCAAGGGAGCAGCAAGCACCATGGGGAGCCATAACCAAGGACCACACAAGAGAGAAATCTTTAAACACGAGACACCCTCCTCTTTCCCACCTCCATCTCAATGCCAGCCCGAGCTTCTACCATATAAATACTGGGCCACACTGGCAAGTGGTTACGTCCCCTCTTGGCTCCCATCTGTCGATTCCTATCGAATCAACACGGCCATTAAGGACAAAAACGGGCAGGACACAAAAGCAAGCCTGGATGGCGCACCCTACAAACGAGTTCTGAAACAAAGCGAGTGCCAGACGCGCGTGGGAAAGACGCGCGTGGGAAAGACGTGCATGGGAAAGTCGCGCGTGGGAAAGTCGCGCGTGGGAAAGTCGCGCGTGGGAAAGACGTGCGTGGGAAAGACGCGCGTGGGACCTTGGCAGTGGTCCACTAGGGCCGCAAGGGTCTTCAGTCGTATTTTGGGATCATAGGTCCAAACCAGGAGGCGCCGAAGTGTTAAACTACTCTCAAGTCCCAAATTCACACCCTGGTCATCCTCTAGTTGTAGCTAAAAAACAATAAAGATAGAAATGTTTAAGTACAAATAACCACATAGATCACACTTCTTAATCTATATCAAGTGAACATAAGAAAATGATTATACTCATAAAAATGAAGCCAAAGTCCCCTTTAAAAAAAAATAGTATTTTAAAGCTACCTTTAACCGGTAGAACCCCGAAAATTGGCAATTAACTGGCTCTAGGATACACTGAAACTTGATATTCAAACCTTACAAATAATATTATGAAAAATATTGCTGTATTTTAAAAGTAATGTATGAAGGAACTTAAAACATTCTATATAGCTTCAATTTTGTAACACTTCAAATCATAAAGAAATAAA
Source organism: Homo sapiens (assembly GCF_000001405.40). Taxonomy (NCBI): domain Eukaryota; kingdom Metazoa; phylum Chordata; class Mammalia; order Primates; family Hominidae; genus Homo; species Homo sapiens. Next base: position 112,548,088 of record NC_000013.11, read on the forward strand.
AATAAAAATAAAATATTTACCTGAGAATGTAAAACAGAGAGCAATCGATAGTATTCTCTGAGTTCCTGGTGCAAGGCAGCACAAAAGCTCTGTTTGGAGGAGAAATATAATTAAAGCACGACACACTCATTACACATTGACTGATTTTAAGTGGAAAGGTATAATGCGTTTAGATAAAGTTCAGGTGGGGTGCTACAAGATTTAAATTCAGGTTTTGTCAATAATCTTCTAATCATCTTAATCACCACAATATATATTTTAATAATATGAAAAAAGTGTTGTTCCTTAGTACAAAAAGCATGAACTTTGCAGAAGAGGAATGGAAAAAATATATATGGTATAGTTTTCATGAAGTGTAGTGACTTTAGAGAATGATCCTTTAAGATGATATCCCCTGTAGATCTAATTAAACTAAAGAGCTTCTGCACAGCAAAAGAAACTACCATCAGAGTCAACAGGTAACCTGCAGAATGGGAGAAAATTTTTACAATCTACCCTTCTGACAAAGGGCTAATATCCAGAATCTACAAAGAACTTAAACAAATTTACAAGAAAAAATCAAACAATCCCATCAAAAAGTGGGCAAAGCATATGAACAGACACTTCTCAAAAGAAGACATTTATGCAGCCAACAGACACATGAAAAAATGCTCATCATCACTGGCCATCAGAGACATGCAAATCAAACCACAATGAGATACCATCTCACACCAGTTAGAATGGTGATCATTAAAAAGTCAGGAAACAACAGGTGCTGGAGAGGATGTGGAGAAATAGGAACACTTTTACACTGTTGGTGGGACTGTAAACTAGTTCAACCATTGTGGAAGACAGTGTGGCGATTCCTCAAGGATCTAGAGCTAGAAATACCATTTGACCCAGCCATCCCATTAGTGGGTATATACCCAAAGGACTATAAATCATGCTGCTATAAAGACACATGCACACGTATGTTTACTGCAGCACTATTCACAATAGCAAAGACTTGGAACCAACCCAAATGTCCATCAATGATAGACTGGATTAAGAAAATGTGGCACATATACACCATGGAATACTATGCAGCCATAAAAAATGATGAGTTCATGTCCTTTGTAGGGACGTGGATGAAGCTGGAAACCATCATTCTGAGCAAACTATCAGAAGGACAGAAAACAAAACACCGCATGTTCTCACTCACAGGTGGGAATTGAACAATGAGAACACTTGGACACAGGGTGGGGAACTTGGATACCGGGGCCTGTTGTGGGGTGGGGGGAGCGGGGAGGGATGGCATTAGGAGATTTACCTAATGTAAATGACAAGTTAAAGGGTGCAGCACACCAACACGGCACATGTATACATATGTAACAAACCTGCACGTTGTGCACATGTACCCTAAAACTTAAGGTATAATAATAAAAAAATTAATTAATTAATTAATTAAAAAAGATTATATCCCCTGTAAATATTCAGGGTTAAAATGTAATTTTCTTTCATGCTCTTAATTAACAAAATTTTAAAATTGGCAGCTCAATGCCAATCCTCCTAATTTTTGTTCTGTTTGCACTGCTTGTTCTTCTGACCCCTATTAGTAGTAAGAACTTTTCCACACATCTCCAATCTTAAAAACTGATAGGAGGCCGGGTGCAGTGGCTCACGCCTGTAATCCTAGCACTTTGGGAGGCCAAGGCGGGCGGATCACGAGGCCAGGAGATCGAGACCATCCTGGCTAACATGGTGAGACCCCTGTCTCTACTAAAAATACCAAAAATTAGCCGGGCGTGTTGGCGGGTGCCTGTGGTCCCAGCTACTCAGGAGGCTGAGGCAGGAGAATGGCTTGAACACAGGAGGCGGGGCTTGCAGTGAGCCAAGATCACAACACTGCACTTCAGCCTGGGCGACAGGGTGAGACTCCATCTCAAAAAAAAAAAAAAAAAAAAAAAAAAATACTGAAAGGAGTCAGGTCAAAACAACAGGAATCAGAAGCTAGAAGAGGCACCCTGATACACCTGCATCCAGTCCTGTGGCAAGAGCCTTCAGGGATGAGCTGTGGGATGTAACTCCAGGATGCCTGGGGGCAGCTCTGCTGTTCAAGGAGCCCACAGCAGAAGCAGCCTGCAAGGGATAAACCTGTGTTCTTTCTCATTCAGTTTTATCCAGCAAAACTCCATCAAAAAATTTTTTTTAATTGTTTTTTAAACTTGTTTTCTTTAAGTAAATATGTAGGTTGCATACCTTTCTGTATATTTTTAAAATATATCAGCAGTCACCTATAGGTGTATTTTACTGCATTTATGGTTTGTGGACTAAGACAAATGTGAACATTTTCAAGTATGAAAATGAACATAAAACATACTAATTTTGTAGACACAAAAGGACACGTCAAAAGTGAGGTGTGCAAGAAGAAACGTCCTAGAGTCTGGAATGAGACAGACCAGGGGGTAAAAATCCAGGGCTCCCGCTGGAGGTACCGCCACGTGTCAGCCCCTGACGGTATGAACCTCTAGGCTCATCTACAAAGGGAGGAAGAATAAATGCGGTAACGTAGGGCAAGCGCCTGGCACAGTGTGGGCACAAAGGTGCTTACTAAACCATAGGTCAGTTTTCTTAGGTAATATTTACAGAGAAAACGACATGGAATCTGCTCAGGCACAGCATCACTCTTTACCAAAACTCCATCCCAGCCCCAGGGCAGGAGAGCAGACACATAAACACATCAAAGCTTTGAAAAACCTGCTGAAATATGCGGCCAGGTGCGGTGGCTCACGCCTGTAATCTCATCACTTTGGGAGGCCAAGGCGGGCAGATCATGAGGTCAGGAGATTAAGACCATCCTGGCTAACACAGTGAAACCCCGTCTCTATTAAAAATACAAAAAAATTAGCCGGGCGTGGTGGTGGGTGCCTGTGGTTCCGGCTACTCGGGAGGCTGAGGAAGGAGAATGGCGTGAACATGGGAGGCGGAGCTTGCAGTGAGCCGAGATCGCGCCACTGCACTCCAGCCTGGGTGACAGAGCGAGACGACTCCGTCTCAAAAAAAAAACAAAAACAAAACCTGCTGAAATAATCAAATCATTATCCAACGTGTAGAATCTAAGTATTTATATACAGGTGTATGTGAGTCAGCTTCTGAGAAGTCTACAACCAAAAGAGTGGAAGTGCAGGCAGAGCGCGGCAGCGCCACACACACTCAGAGGGAAAAGGCCTGTGGTTAGCAGAGGCTGTTTCCACCTTGGTTCATTAAATGCACATGTAAGTTTCACACTTACAAAACAGTATCTTCATTCATATATGATTTTGCTCCATTTGGTATGTCTAGAGCCAGGACACCTCCAAGGCTAATTGTGGGCACTGGTAATACTGACACAGGACATAAATTATGCAAGGCATAAATTAGGGCACACGGTCACCCCACTGAGAGCACACGCTGGCTCTTCAAATAAGATAAATAAACCATCACTCCTTCAGCAACTGGATGGCACCAAGCAATGACTCCAAACAGCAGGAAATGGAAGAACAGAGACAGCTTTGGAACAGAGTGACACGTCACACCCTAGTCCATACCTGCCATCTACTAGTCAGGGCAACTTGGTCAAATCAATCAAACTTGCTGAGGTTCAATTCTCACATCTGCAAAATGGGGACAATTAATGCTTGCCCTGATCATTTTAGAAGGCTGCTATGATAATCGATAAGGAGAAAGAAGATAAAAGAAGAGCCTCTAAAGTCCAGTACTATAAACAGCAGTCCCCGACCTTTTTGGCACCAGGGACTGGTTTTGTGGAAGACATTTTTTCCACGGACCAGGGTGGGATGGGGGGGCAGAGTGGTTTTGGGATAAAACTGTTCCCACCTCAGATAATCAGACATTAGATTCTCATACGAAGCATGCAACCTAGATCCCTTGAATGCACGGTTCACAACAGGGATCACACTCCTATGAAACTAATGCCATCACTGATCTGACAGGAGGCAGAGCTCAGGCGGTCATGCCTGCTCGCCCTCCACTCACCTCCTGCCGTGCGGCCCAGTTCCTAACAGGCCATGAACCAGTACCGGTCCACAGTCCAGGAACTGGGGACCCCTGCTATAAAACATAATATGATACTACTATAGTGATGATCAATCCATCTCCTGGAATAAAATATCTACATAATGGTTTAGTTATCCTGTATTGATTTTGTGTGTGTGTTTTGCTTCATGTCTATCAAGTTGACTGGGACCTATCAGTGACACTTGCATAAGATGATGATATAAACCCAGACATGATAAAACACTCCCTTCGGGAAAAGGGACAGGGACTCTAAAATTACAGCTGGCTCCTGAGGGGACGGCCCACCAGTCCTACCTGCCTCGAGAAAGAGCCAGCTCACTCCTATCTGCCCTTGCAATGAGGGAGAGTGGTGGCTGGTCATCGAGCAATTCACTAGACTGGCAAACAGAACAGAAAACAGTACTAGACTGGGAAGCAGCATCTTTATACGCATTCTCTCCCCACCTTCACAATCCTAGAGGTAATCACTACCCCACTCTATGCAGGAAGAAACTTGTGGCCAACAGAAGATAACCTGGGCAAGATGACGTGACCATTACAGGAGAAGCCCAAACCAGAACCCTGGGCTGCCTCGCTTCAAAGCTCAAAGTGTGATGCCTACTCAGCAGCCACGCTGCCACAGCACACTCCTCCCCACCAGCCACGCTCCTCCCCACCAGCCACGCTCTTCCCCATCAGCCATGCTCCTACTCAGCAGCCACACTGCCACAGCACACTCCTCCCCACCAGCCACGCTCCTCCCCACCAGCCACGCTCTTCCCCATCAGCCATGCTCCTACTCAGCAGCCACGCTGCCACAGCACACTCCTCCCCACCAGCCATGCTCCTACTCACCAGCCACACTGCCACACTACTCGCCTACTCACCAGCCACACATTCTTACCCACCACCCACACTCCTCCTCACTAGCCACATTCCCAACCACCGGCCATGCTCCTACTCCCAGCCACGTTCTTACCCACCAGCCATGCTCCTCCCCACCAGCCACACTGCCACACCACATGCCTAATCACCAGCCATGTTCTTACCCACTAGCCACACTGCCACACCAAGTGCCTACTCACCAGCCACATTCTTACCCACCGGCCACGTTCCTGCCCACCAGCCACACTACAGCACCACACTCCTCCCCACCAGCCATGCTCTTCTCCATCAGTCACGCTCCTACTCACCAGCCACCCTCCTACCCACCAGCTACGCTGCCATAAGTCCTGTGCTACGCTGAGCTTATAGTACACAGTTGTTCTGTGATTCAATAATTTTTGGAGATTTCATTGGCAGTAATTACTGCCCAATAATCAACCTATGGACAAGACCACATGCTGCTTAGCCACAAAGAAGGGCTGGACAGTGGAGATGCCACGGCTCCTATTAGCTGCCCCCTGTCAGGCTCCAACAGGAGGAGAAGCAGCAGCAGCTCCCTCCCAACCATGCACTGTGCCATCGGCAGTGCCCACCCAGGGCTGTCCAGACAGCCATAGCCAGGATTCCCATCTCCAGCTTCGGCAGTGTTCCCAAATCCTGCCTCACCGTGCTGCCTGGGGAATCACGCAGCTGGGAGTGTCCCCTGTTGGCAGGCCCCGTCCCAGCAGGGCCCCTCCTCAACCTTCTGGAGGAGGCAGCAGCAGCTGGGCAGGGCCCCCTTCGAGCGTTTGGAATCGGGCAATGCCAGCTCCCCATGGCCAGCTCTGTCTCACCATTTTCTCTGTATTTTACAGTCCTCCAGCAGTTCCTGAGCCAACCTGCTGTATTCAGTGTCCTCATCAGCACCTACTGTGGTTTCTACTGTCTTGAGTGGACCCTGAAAGTTGACTCTCAAAGCTGCTTTACTTGGAAAGAGCCTTAGAAGGAGCTATTTCACAGTAAGATTTCAACTAGAGTAAGCGTTTCCCAAAGTGCGCAGCATCCCAGCATCCTAGGAACCATGAACGCACCTGCCCGACGAGTCCGAATGAGCGGTCCAGGCTCCTCTGGTCCGTGTATCTTCTGATTTTATTATGCAACCATCCCAACTCAGAAAGCCTGACTGCTGTGTCTCTCAAAGACCTACTTAGATTTGCCTAAAAAGTAAATACATCAAATGTTAAACATTAAAAAGCAATACTAGAGCTTTAATTAGTATTTTTCTCAAGCACTTCTACTTTTAATACTATAATCCTTAGGCTTCAAGACATAAAAGTTAAAACTAAGATCCCATCACTAAAGGGAAGGAAAGCACATTAAGTGACAGCATGATGGAAAGCACCTCAAAGGGCATGGTGAGCTCATTTCACACCACCCTGCAGTTGGCCTGCGGTGTGGCAGAGAAGGTCTGTGATCTCAGCCACGCTGTGAAAGGGCTAAGAGCCACAGTGTGACCCACACCACAAGAAATGGGCATGGTAAAGGCAGATTATGGAAAAAGGAAACAAAAGTGGGTGAAGACCCCTGACCTGGAATCCTGCATCAATGCCGAAGGTGCCAAGGGACCTCTGTCCCCTGGGTGCCTCAGCCATCACACAGCAGGATGCAGAAATCAGCTATGGGGCAGCCCCATCAGTAGACGTGAGGAAAGGAGGCACACATTAATCACAAAGGGTCCCCATAACAAAACTGAACGAGCCACAATGGACAGAAATAGAAACCAGAATTCCACAGTGCAATTTCACCTCACAACCGATTCGCAAAACCCCAGTACCACCTTATCAATCAACAGCCACTATCTGGACTTCATGACATGTTTTTTCTTTCTGAATATTTTAACTTAGATTTTATGTTACTGTACCTTTCCTTCTACTTTGTAACAATTTTCAGTGTTGTTCATTTTGATGTTTTTGCCATCTATGCCCTGAAAGACGTACAAAATGTCCCTTACCAGAGCTGCTTCTGTAATTTCCATAGTACCTGCAAAATCATTTTTTAAAGACAGTAATTACTAGACAATATTTTAACAGACAATAGATATTATGGTGCAATTAGCTTCAGATTAGATATTTGCCACCCCGATGAAATTTACTAACTCAATAAATAAGCTCAAGATGAAAAAGAGTATGAGATTAGAAAGAAACAAGGCGAGTCTCAGTCTAGAGGTTGGCCTGCTGTGCCATGAACGCACAGCTGTCAAACACGACATGAATCTGCAGCTGTGGACAGAGGCTGGACGCGGGAGCCACACACAGGGACAGGCGGAGTGGGGCAGATGGTGGAGACTACTGCGGGGGCTAATACTGTGCCAGGATGTCCTCCAGCTCTCAGATGCTCCTCACCTTTGCATTCTACGCAAGGACAGGTACAGGTAACATCCAGAGCCATTTCGTAATCAGCAGATTACGAGCCAACAGGGAAACCCAATCCTCTGTTTTCAGGACACTCATGTTTCAAATGCTGCTAACTGTAGTGTTCTCAATAAAGAAACTCAAGCTTCCTTTTGGAATCTAGCAGGGCTTTAAAACCCTCCATGAGGTATTCATCTCACCATTCAGTAATTCCTCAATGACTCTCTTCGACGTGCCAGGCACTGTGCTGAGCACTGGCACCATAAATGAAAAGACATAGCCCCTCTGTGGCCTTAAGACTTTGGTAGAAGAAGGTGACTTTTACTGGGGGCCTAACCCAGCCTTAAAGACTTTCCCAGGGAAACGGCAGGATGAAAACAGACAGGGAGAATGTGATGAGGAACAGCAAAGACGAGAGATGTGGAGGGAGGAGGCCACATGGAAAAGCAGCCAAAAAGCAGACTGTGCTGGGAGGAAAAAGCCCAGGTGGCCTGGGGTGAAAAGCCAAACTCCCCAAGGCGCCGCAGACCACCAGGGACTCTGGACTTCATCATAAGAACAAGAAGAAACCACTAAAAGGTTTGAGGTGGGGCTCCTGGGCTGTACTTTAAAATAAGGAGAGGCTGAATTCCAAGTGTTCACAGAAAAGCTGTATTAACATAGATCCTTACTCACCACCCGTATCCCCTTCTCTCCTGGACCTTGTCATGTTGCGAGACACAGCACTGGGGACACCTTTTGAGGTAGTGGCTTGTGAAGAAGGCTGATTTGCAGTTAAAGTCCATGCGAGTCGTGACCCCAACTGCTGTCGAAGGCAATCTCCTACTCCTGGAGCTTGATTAGACTGTCTAAAAAAAGAAACATGTATTATCTTCTAATAGGCTATTCGCTGAAGAGACAAAAGTGTCCCTAGAAATTTCTCTTGTATTACTATCGTGAATTACATAAATTTATAAATCTGGTATAGCTGATACCATGACTTTACCCTAACCGAATATATCAATAACAGACAGTCCCAAGTCCCTTGAACTTGGTCAAGCCTCCTTGCGACCCTTGGCCTAGCATTCGGACCCAACACAGCAGTGGAAAAATCATCTTACTGCTACCTTACAATATATATTTCTTACCATTAATATCAAAATCTATTTGGCTTTTCTTTATAAACATATAACATACCTTACCCACCCCATAACCACTTTGAAATTCTCTACTTATTTTAACTTCAAAATCCACAACTCTCGTTCACTCCCCATGTACTGAGCAGAGGAATCGAGTCACTGTGACACTGCCCCAGGCGCCTGGCCTCACCTGTCTTCAGCCTTCAGAGTGCTCACTATGAAAAGAAACTGCAATTTTCAATTAACTGCTAAAGTATACAAACGTATAAAATCTAAGGCAAATGCATATTCAAGGTCAAGATGGCTTGTCAGCAATTTTGAGACTATGTCAAAGTTGTTTTTTGAAAAATGTAAGAACCTCATAGCTGATTTCTAATAGCGTCAGTTTTGACAGGTGCAACAAAAATATCACTTCCTGGGACTACAAAACACAAAAATGAGAACCTCAGCTGCTCTACAGTTTCCAGGTGCCAGAGCTTGGATTTAGTACTGGTGCAATACTGGGGGGGTTTATCCATAATCCACTCGTGAAGTAAGGAGAACAGGAAAGAACTGAAACAGTTCTTATTTTATTCCATTTTCATCAGGAGAGAAGTCAACAACATTCACTAAAACTATGTCTCTGGGCATAGTTCTAAATTTAAGAGGATGATTCTAAAAGACTTTCAGTTCAAAGTTCTCTATACAGATTTTTAATAGGATAATAATTCAAATTCTGAGGTATAAATGAGAATGTCAATTGATTCTTTTAGCTGGAACTTAAATTCTAGATTAAATGTGTCAAGTTCTGTTTTTAAATGCTTTGCGTTTTCTTCATAGAACACTAGACCCCATTGGTAATCCATATGTATAGAACACACATTCTGTTTTCGAGTATCTTGAACATAATTGAATAAATCACAAAATGATTTATAATTCTATTACACTCACATGGAAAACACCATTTATTTGATGCTAAATCCTTGGTCACTGTTTTTCTGGAAAAATATCTACTTTATGATAATCCACTTTAATGCGATTTCCGGGAACCAACTATGGCAAAAAGCAAAGCCACCCGTTTATCTACATATAGGAAGAATGTGTAATTAAAAACAAAGAAAAACAAAGTTCCATCCATGAATGACAATGGCGCCTGCTTGATTCTCAGCTGTAAATCCTGTATTTCTTGAAAACATGCTTGGACCACATACATAAAACCTTCGTTGTGCATTCCTGCATTTCATCATCTTAATTCATATGCACTAAAATGTCACGATCCTTAAAGACCTCAGCACTCAAGGAAAGTTCAACCTTATTTTATTTTACTTAACAATTTACTAAAGAATCCAATGAGGAGAAAAACATACATCAATGAAGAGGCCACTATTCCCTAAGGAAAAATCTGAGCACACAGTCAGAGAGCCTCCAGATGAAGGGCTTTGCACAGGGTACTTCAAGCTCCTTCGTGATGGGCACTTCAGTGACAGGTGAGAGCTGGCCAGAGCTTGTGGATTACAAAGTGGAAGGAACTCCTGCTGTAGCATAGCTCTGAAGAGGAGTAACGTTCAGAGATGGAGTGCATCGGACACAGTGCCCAGAACACTGTCTGGCACGTATGAGGCCCCACTGATACTGTGGGTGAACATCAATGTCTGGTTAACAGCCTGCAGGCGTCTCTGTTTCTAACACATAGAGAATCTATACACGTCAGTGTGGCCTTACCCTGGGAGGAGAGATTGTGGCGCAGGCGCGGGGCCACTGAGGGCACACAGGCCAATGCTGCTGATGCCACTGCTGCCCACGCTGCCGGAGCTCTGGGCTGACTGGGCACTCCGATCTTGGTAGCTCAGGGGAAGGGTCTGAGGCCTGGCATAGTAGTAAGGGGTTGAGTGGGCATCTCTTGGTAAGGCCTGAGCAAATAACGTAGCATAGCTAGAAACCTGAAAAGAGAAACACACTAAGAGCAGAGACAGGAAATTACAGAACAGTCTTCCCAAACCTAAAAAGGTCATTTATATTCAGATTTTCCTTCTATTTCTGTAACTGGATTTGGGTTCCATACTTTATTAAACAATAAATTAGATGTTATGCTTTTGAAATATGCCTAAACTGATAAAGTTTTAGAAAATTTTCTGAACTCCAACAACCACTACATCATCTGATAACTAAACACTCACTCTGATCCAAGCAAACTGAAACTTGAATAATTTTTTAAAGTTAGGCATTATTAAAGAATGATTGCCCTCTATATATTCACATCTATATGGTTTACATGTATATTAATATATAATGATTGCTCAGACGAAGCCTTTAGCAATAGACAGAACTCTTTCACCCACACGCTTCAACCTCTTTGCACTCCCACGTCTCTGGTGAGTACTTTATTATACCAGACTCTGGGGCACAGAGCACTGGAATCACTCTGACATACTGCAGGGGACAGACACTGAGCCCGGTGATGACAGGGTTTCACTGGCACAAAAGTAAAGAATGCTCATAACTGAGAGCATGAAAAACTCCTAAAGGGTCTTCTAGTTCATAAAGAATTACCTATCAGTGCTGATATTAGTAACTTCACAAAGTAAACATTTTGAAAACTAACCATTTATTCTCTATTTAATCACCCATTGTTATGTCTGAATAACAAAATTCTGAAAAACATTATCAGGAAACCACACTGACTAAAAATGTCCTTAAAAAGAAAAAGGAAAAGAAATCTCTTGACCTTCCATGACAGACAAGCTTGTTGCTTTCCTAGCATTATTTTCTTAGCTGCAGAAGCCGTTTCCTATCAAAGTCAGCCAGGGTGTCCCGACGGACACGACGCTGCAAAGGCAAAGCCACTTACCTTGCTTGGCTGCCTGCGTGGGTCCTCACTGAGGCTCAGCAAGAGGTAGAGTATTGACCATTTATTTTTCAAAACTCCCTGTTTGGAAAAAAGTTAATATTAAAAGAACGATTTTATACTACTCTCCAGCCTTATTTTCCTCTTTCCTGAACTATATTTCCAAACTAGAAATGCATTTTAAAATTCACATAGTAACGTCAAATCTAACAATTCATAAGTATTTTCAACAGTGCCACCCATCCGAAGGCGGAAGCAAATGTCCTCATGCAACCAACAACCTTGGATCTTTCCTTCCCTTATTAACTAGCTCTAAAGTCCCCAAGAAGAAAAGTTTTTTTAAGTTACCCTATTCCTGAATAACAGTATCGTCTCCCCTGAAATAATTCTTATAATGTCCCCAAAACCGTAATTATGAGACAAAGCCATCATAAAAATATGTGAATTATTTTTTCCTTTATCAACATCCCATTTAAGCCACAAGCACAAGTTAGTCTCAGCATCATGTGTACCTAAAGTCAAGATGCAGGTCTGGGCCGGGAACAGGGGCTCACGCCTGTAATCCCAGCACTTTGGAAGGCCAAAGCAGGTGGACCACTTGAGGTTAGGAGTTCGAGACCAGCCTGGCCAACATGGCGAAACCCCATCTCTACTAAAAACACAAAATTAGCCAGGCGTGGTATCACGCACCTGTAGTCCCAGCTACTCGGGAGGCTGAGACACGAGAATCACTTGAACCTGGGAAGCAGAGGTTGCAGTGAGCTGAGATTACACCACTGCAATCCAGCTGGGAGACAGAGCAAGACTCCGTCTCAAAAAAAAAAAAAAAAGGCCGGGCGCGGTGGCTCACGCCTGTAATCCCAGCACTTTGGGAGGCCGAGGCGGGCGGATCACGAGGTCAGGAGATCGAGACCATCCCGGCTAAAACGGTGAAACCCCGTCTCTACTAAAAATACAAAAAATTAGCTGGGCGTAGTGGCGGGCGCCTGTAGTCCCAGCTACTTGGGAGGCTGAGGCAGGAGAATGGCGTGAACCCGGGAGGCGGAGCTTGCAGTGAGCCGAGATCCCGCCACTGCACTCCAGCCTGGGCGACAGAGCGAGACTCCGTCTCAAAAAAAAAAAAAAAGTGGGTCTGAAGCACTTAGCTGTCAAGATAACCAACCCACAGGTTTCTATGCAAGGGTTATCATACAGATTTCATTAATTTCCAATTGTGTATCACACCAGTCTGATTCGCAAACATAACAGCAGCCAAACCTCAGTATACTCTATTCAGACAGCCTTACCTTTTGCATGCACATGTAAGTACCTTTATTTACATAACAAATTATGGGATGATTGCTTATATTATGTAAACTCTCCATTATATAAAACATTCTCTGGAAGTTTCTTTTAAAAGTAAGCTCATCCCAGGTATTTAAATTACTAACTTTAAAAAATTGGTTGACATAGGCTTTTTCAGAAACTCAACTAATCCCCAGCCAGGGCCACGAGGATAAGAAACAGACCCAGCCCTGATGGAGTGTGTCTCATCACAGGCAACAGACAAGTGGGCAGATGCAACGTGACAAATGGCACTTCACAGCTCACAAAAGGGCTTCTGGAGGAGACTCGAGTCTCCTAGAAAGATGGACCGTGTAGAGGGAGGGACAGGAACAGTGAACACAGCAACCTGGCAAAGGCCAGGAGTCAGGAGGGAAGCTGACATCGGAATGAGGCCTCCACGCTGCACCAAGAAACTTGGATTTGGAGGTAAAGACAACAGCAGGAAGCCTGCGAAGGACGTCCTAGGCAGAGGCACCATCACTGCACAAGTGACGAACATGCTGGAGGGGACAACATGAGAGGAAGACCGCTGTTATCTGGAGGGAGATGCAAGCAGCTGAATGCAATGCAGTGAGCCGAGTGTGTGCTCAGGCATGTGTCCCCGGTGAGTCCCTGCAAGCCAGCAACAGGGGCCCGTGAGGCTCAGGCACTCAGGCCCAGGACCAAGGAGCCAAGCTGCTGCCAACCTTTAGCTCTTTCCACACATTAAATCCTGTCATCGTCACAACCACACTATGACAGGGCTTATTCTCTTCATGCCATAAATGAGAGAACAAAGGACAGCAAATCTGAATAACTCACCCAAATCACAGAGCTACATGCAGGGTTCAAACCCAGGTCTGCCCGACTCCAAAACGGACAAACGAGAGATATAGCTGGGGAGTCAAGATGACACTCAGGTTCTCATGGGGGGCAAGATCAATGGTGCTGTCATTCACCAAAAGAGAGAAGACAGAAGAAAGAGCAGGCAGCGTGCGGGTGGATGCAAATGGACGCCCAGAGGGGTGGAACAAGACGCAACACTTCCTTCAGCTCAGAGGATGCCAAGTTGTAAGTCCCTGTGGGAGTTTCCAGGAAGTCTCTGAGTGAAATGACCGGTAGGTGAAGGGAAAGACGGCAGGAAATGTTCTACCTTTGCACTAAGAAACCGCTAGGTTAAAAATCTCAGATTATATTTTAGCAAAGATGTATCTGAGGGTGAAGGGTGGAGAAATTTCAAAAATGAACAAAATTATGCACCAAAAACTTAGCAAGTGACATAAAGGAGGAGGCAGCATTTTTTAACTATAAAAAGAGCAAGTATAAAACACCCAGGATCTCTTCAGTCTGCTGAAAACCATTTGATACGAAGGTGTGGACGGAAACAGGGAAACCACAGGAGACAGTGAGGCAGTCTGGAAACACCACCAGCAACACTACCAGCCAGGAGCAACTATGGGAATACCACCAGCCAGGACCCACTAGGGAACACCACCAGCCAGGACCCAATAGGGAACACCACCAGCCAGGACCCACTAGGGAACACCACCAGCCAGGACCCACTAGGGAACACCACCAGCCAGGACCCACTAGGGACCACCACCAGCCAGGGCCTACTAGGGAATACCACCAGCCAGGACCTACTAGGGAACACCACCAGCCAGGACCTACTAGGGAACACCACCAGCCAGGGGCCACTAGGGGAACACCACCAGCCAGAAGCCACTAATGACCCTGAGACCAGAGAGATCAGGCTGGAGACAGCAGCTGCAGGGTCCAGGAGGGCCCAACACAGGGCAGGGACTGCCCTCAGGAGCTGTGGTCACAGCTACGCCACTGACAAACAGCTGCCCAGCAGCAGGGGAGATGAGTTTAGTGTCACCCCTCTCCCAACTCCAGACTCACCCTGGAGCTTAAGCCAGCTCCAGCTGAAGCCAACCGGGAGACACACAGCGAGAGGCCAGGAGTATAATCTGCCAGGCCTGGAGAGCACAGAGTGGGCAGGAGTGGGTAGAGGAGAGATCTGGCAGAGGAAACCAGATCATTCCCACCACTCTGGCAGTACAGATGCTTTTAACCACCCGAAATCACTTCAGACCTGCCACCTCAGACTCTGAACTACAGGACCGCAAGTTCAGATACAAAACTTTTAAAACTGTGCACAAACTGAATTGTACGTGAAGAAAGTCTTATCGGGACATGGTAAGATCTAGAGGAACACCAAATAAACATCTTCGCAAAGCAGCCGTTTAGTGCCCAGCACAAGAGCTGATCTCAGCTTTCCCGGCACTGCCACACCAGAACACCCGTCATCAACAGGGCACCACCTACCATGCCGCCACAGCACCTGCACGCTGTTCCCTGCCCTCGAGGCCAGAGTCCTGCCCGGGCAGTGCAGATGCACAATGTTCTAGTTCTACTCCCCTCATAAGCCACCCTCCCCCTTCGGACTTTCCTGCTCAGCCATGCTTCAAACCCAGCTCAGGAACAGCACAGCACTCTACTCCCGTCTCCACGTCAACCTGGACCCTCCTTCCACTCCGGACTCCTTCCTCTAGGTCTACCAACAACAAGAGCAAACATTCGACTGCACCTTTGACCTTTCGTCCCCATGGTCTGCACAGCACACCCACATACGGGGCCCTAACTAAGACAAGATAAAAAATTAGGATCAACAACCTTCACACTTCTGCGGAGCCATTTTTAGCAAAATGATGGAATGGCTACTAACCTGAATCTCCTATTCTACTTGGTTTAATCGTTGGTCTTATACTATTATTTCCTAGTATTTTTCATCATGTTTCAGTCATGCAATGAAAAAGCCAAGCAAGTCAGTTTTGGGGACGAGCCCTAGGGAGCGGGCCACTATTTAAGACATTGATATTTAGGAATAAACATTCAGAGCTCCAAACAAAATTTTGGAAAACAACCATTTTAAGTCACAAAGTGTCTAAATAGGGCCAGGCGCGGTGGCTCACGCCTGTAATCCCACCACTTTGGGAGGCCGAGACGGACAGATCACGAAGTCAGGAGATCGAGACCATCCTGGCTAACACCGTGAAACCCCATCTCTACTAAAAATACCAAAAAAAAAAAAAAAAATTAGCCGGGCGTGTTGGCGGGCGCCTGTAGTCCCAGCTACCTGGGAGGCTGAGGCAGGAGAATGGCGTGAACCCAGAAGGCAGAGCTTGCAGTGAGCCCAGATTGCGCCACTGCACTCCAGCCTGGGGCACAGAGCAAGACTTCGCCTCAAAAAAAAAAAAAAGTGTCTAAATATGTTTTCATCCAATGGCTAATATTAACAAATACAACAGCTTTTACTAGATGAAATCTCCCTTTGGGCATCTTGGTAAGGCTAAGAATCTGGAGAAATATGGTATCCAATAAGCAAATCTTTTTAACATACAGTGTGTAGAAAATGGTTTTAAAAATGGAGAAAGATTTAAGAAAGCAAATGATACAGCAGTTTGAAATAATTTGCCTGGAAATGAATGGACAAAAAAGGTTCCTATTTCTTACTCTGTAAACATTACAAAGATAATATCGCAAATATTATGGAAAAAAGCATGCTTAAAACAGTGAATCCAAGTCAAACAATTAAGGAATCAAAATGGGCAGCAAATGAACTAAGCTTGTTTCCAGAGCACAATATAACAACAGAGGAAGACTCAAAATAAAAGAGTTTAATTACTAGCAGCATTAGGCCTGACTCAATCATTTTCACTGTGTAACACTAACAGTATTTGTTGCGCAAAGCACTAAACCTCTCTAGATTCACTTTCTTCTCCATAAAAGGAAAGAAAGCGGGATGAACTAAGTTCCTTTATAGTCAGAAATCAGAAAAATCTCACCCTATGATTCAATTAATGTATTGGTATACAGGCTGCCAAAATCTTTTATCAAAATACAAGGCTGGGCTTGGTGGCATGCACCTGTAGTCCCAGCTACTTGGGAGGCCCAGGCAGGAGGATTGCTTGAGCCCAGGAGTTTGAGACCAGCCTGGGGAACACAGCGAAGCTGCGTCTCAAAAGAAAAAAAAAAGGTTAGAAAAATCATTCATTTTCAAGTATCAATATCCAACCACGTTCAAAATCAATTTTTTCGTTATTCACTATGGCAGTACAAATTATGACCCAATGAATAAAGTTTATCAGTCAGATAAAGTTTAGCTATTATATGAAGATAAGACTTCTACCAATGTGCTTCCTCCCAGCAGTGTAATTAAGCGACTACAATAAAAACTCACAAATTCTGTTGACTTTCCCTGTGCAGCTTCATTCATCTTTATAAGCAATTTAGCATTAAATCCAGCTAAAACTTCTAATACTGAAGCTCACACAAAAAAAGCAAATGCTATCTATAATTAAAAGCAATTACCAATTATAGAAAAGTTTAATATGATACCACAAAAAACATTCAAAGGTTCCTATACCACTCATCATATCCTCAACAATGAGTGCAATGACCTCCAGAATTCTGCACTGTACCTGTGAATGAAGTTTTCTGTGGAGTTCTGAAAATAATGCAGCATCTGCTTCTCTTCGTTGTCGAATAACTGAAAAGACAGAAAAAAAATAAGTGTGGTAACTACAAACACCAAAATTCATTCTTATGATACTATTTCACCTACAACACCATAACTCGCAAGTGATGAATTCAGAGTCAAAAGTCACTGTCAAATTAGATGATGAGCAACTTTTAAGCTCTATGAATCTGATCAATTCATCTAACCTCCCTGACATTTGTAAAGTACGGAAAATATTAGGCTGGGATCAAAGAGTTTATGTGAAAATTAGGTAAAGTAATAGAAATAATGGGATTACTTACAGTCCATCTACAAATATTAATAAACAGTAAGGCAAACTATGATCACTGTAACCAGTTAACAGTGGTCACCTGGAGGTAGGGATGGAAAGTGAAAATATTAGGAATCCTGAATCCAAGGGCAGTAAGTTAAGTACAATATTCATGGTCATTCATTCCACTTGGAAACTACATATCCTAAACATTTTTGTTAAGATACACAGCAGGCTGGGCGCGGTGGCTCACGCCTGTAATCCCAGCACTTTGGGAGACCGAGGCAGGTGGATCACAAGGTCAGGAGATCGAGACCATCCTGGCTAACACGGTGAAACCGAGTCTCTACTAAAAAATACAAAAAATTAGCTGGGTGTGTTAGCGGGCACCTGTAGTCCCAGCCACCTGGGAGGCTGAGGCAGGTGAATGGCATGAACCCAGGAGGCAGAGCTTGCAGTGAGCCAAGATCACACCACTGCACTCCAGCCTGGCCGACAGAGCGAGACTCTGTCTCAAAAAAAAAAAAAAAAGATACACAGCAATGTGTCATCTTGTTTTAGTATTAAATGTCATACTCACTGTTTCAAAATAAAATTCAAAATAGCTTATTAATTTTCATCCACCAATTCATTTGATTAACAAATGTCTTTGGCTGTTCCAGCTACACTTACAAATTATCTGAAAGCAGTTGCAGCGAATGAGAAGTTCATTCTATGTTCTGTTCCATGAAGGAGGAGAAGCTGCGGTCGTATTGGGTTCCCTGGGGGAAGAGAACCTACTTTGCTCACATTTACAACACTGCAAACATCACCTGTGCACAGATGCCTCTCAAAGAAGCTGTCACACCCACTAGAAAGGTGCCACTTTCAAAGGCTAACTTATAACTTCAATACTCTCTAATGAACCTTTGTATGTATCCCATTTTAGTAGTATGACTTTATAAAAAGCTCATCAGCCAATCACATTTAGCATTAAATGTTCTAATTCATCTGTACAAAGATAATGACTGACTTTACAGCCAACCCCATATTCTTCAGCTAAAAAAGGATCTTGGTATGAAGCACATACCAGAGATTACATAATCTAATCATAACTGTACATGCAACTCTTCCTATATGGAAAAGGAAAGCTATCTTAAAACATACTATGTAAAGTGCATTACACAAAATGAATGCAATTAAAATTTAATATAATTTACTGTATTTACAACATATAAATAGACTCAAAATACAACCATGAAATCAAGCAAGTGACGCTCTTTCTATAGAATGAGATTGGCACTAATTCATACATGCACTACAGTCACAGCACAATAAAATAAGAATAAAAATGAACGCATAGTATTTACAAAATAAGTGATGTTTCTCTATTAAATTGATTCTCTATTAAATTTTAGCACATCTCCAGTTACAATGTACCCCACCTGCCAGTGTGGAAAATGTTTTGTCACACATGATGACTTTTGCAATTTGTTTCAATATAAAACATACTAGCACTTTATATTTGAGGTCGGTTATATCGAATGGAAAATTAACTTCTCCATATTATTCCAAAGAGCAGAGCTACCATAACTCAACTGATCTATCAACAACTGTAATCAAATTTCAAATGTCTAAGCATTCATAAAACATGACAAATTAACAGTGCCTATCACAGGAAAGGACTATAGGTGCTGAAGGAGGTGGTGCTCACTGGAGGGTCCCAAGAAGAGTTGGGGACACCTGCTGGGGACACCCCAGAGGCACCTGAGTCAGTCAATACACAACATGCCTTAATCTCAAAACACAACACCCACAGGAAACACAAACTCTACATTGCTGCAGTTTTCTTCTTTAAAAGGAAAATCCCAGATTCCCTCGAATATCCACTGCAACAAAGTAGCTGTCAGTTCTTTGAGTTTAAACAAACTTTATTTTTAGCTACTATGACACACTTATAGTAGTATGTTTAAATATGTGTAATATGCTCACCACGAGGCCATGAAATGTAACTTTGTAAAGGAAATGGTCTGTTTATCACAGTACCTAATTGCTGGAGTCTTCAGTAATCATCTAAAATGTGTAAAATGGTTTAGGGTTCAAGAGGAGAGTATAGTGTTCTTATGTTGTTATATAGACATTGAGGAAAATAAATTTTTAGTATGTTAACAGCAGTATAAATACCCCATTTTTATTCCCCGTCTTAAATAATACATGCACACTCAGCAACACCAAAGCTCTGCATCATAACAGCAGATGGATCATTTCAGACTCCCACTGCTCGTCCAGCCCTGAACAGGCAAAAGCACTATGTCTAGGTGAAGTACTCTGGGTCACACCCTCAACTCTACCCAGAACTGACTCGCCATCCAGTGCAGTCACACAGGTCTAAAGTGGGACCTCCACAGACCATGGGCCAAACACAGTTCATAATGCAACAGCCAGGGGTGGAAAACTGTGCCACGCAGGACTTCTAGAAGGTGTTATCACTAAGACCCAAGGCCAAATGGACTTCTAGAAAGTGTTATTACTGAGACCCACAGCCAAATGGGCTTCTAGAAGGTGTTATCACTAAGACCTAAGGCCAAATGGACTTCTAAAAGATGTTACTACTGAGACCCAAGGCCAAATGGACTTCTAGAAGGTGTTATCACTAAGACCCACGGCCAAATGGACTTCTAGAAGGTGTTATTACTGAGACCCAAGGCCAAATGGACTTCTGGAAGGTGTTATCACTAAGACCCAAAGCCAAATGGACTTCTAGAAGGTGTTATCACTAAGACCCACAGCCAAATGGACTTCTAGAAGGTGTTATCACTAAGACCCAAGGCCAAATGGACTTCTAGAAGGTGTTATTACTGAGACCCAAGGCCAAATGGGCTTCTAGAACATGTTATTATTGAGACCCAAGGCCAAATGGGTTTCTAGAAGGTGTTACTACTGAGACCCAAGGCCAAATGGGCTTCTAGAACGTGTTATTACTGAGACCCAAGGCCAAATGGGCTTCTAGAAGGTGTTATTACTGAGACCCAAGGCCAAATGGGCTTCTAGAACGTGTTATTACTGAGACCCAAGGCCAAATGGACTTCTAAAAGGTGTTATTACTGAGACCCACAGCCAAATGGACTTCTAGAAGGTGTTACTACTGAGACCCAAGGCCAAATGGACTTCCAGAAGATGTTATTACTGAGACCCAAGGCCAACATCTACTCCACTTGGACAGTTTAACGGGGAGGCCCCAGCAGGGAAATGCACTGACCTTCGCGCAGGCCTCTTTTCTAGGCCAACTGAAAAGCACCACTGCGTTTGGCTTATACAGCCCAGAGAACTATAAGGATGAAGAGCTGGCCACCTGGAAAAACCACCTTTCAAACAGGACAGCTCATGTGTGGCGGCTCATTACTCAGAGCTGAGCTTCCCCTCAGACTCTTCAGAGGTGAAGCAGGGTGGCAGAGCCCTGCCAGGGATAATCAGATAACCTACTCACCAACCAAAAGCTAACAAATGGAAAGCTTTCTTCTCTAAGGTGCCAGGATTTGCAAAAGCTTTATGCACCATCCCAGAATTAAACATTCTAAAGTATTATGTTCTAATAGTTCTGACTCTACAACAGAATTGACTTGTCCTTATTTTGTACCAATATTAAAATGCGCTTGGGAACTACATACACACCTACACACATGCATACATACATCTGCTTAAGCTCTGACGAGTTTAAGAATCCAACACATGACATTTAAGAAAAATACGTACGCTCTTTCTTGATTTTTTCAGCTACTAAAAATTCATCTCTTTCAACAGTTGGGGCGAAGTTGCTGCCAATCACCCGCACAGCATACTGGAACTGCTGGGCTACATCAGCTGAAAGACAAACAAAAGGATGCGGATTGTTACCAACCAGGTTACGTTCTGGTCACCTGAAGCTTCCAGTTCAAGACAGTGAACTAGTAATAACATCTATCTTCCACCTCCCCAAGGTCTTAACTGAGAGGACAGAAAAGCTATTAAGATATCAAAACAGAATGAATGAATGAAATAAGAGTTCAATAAAATAAGAATGAGAACAGTAACACACCAGAGAGTCTGAAAAATCCTAGATGACAAAAAACAAACTGGCTCAGTAATCACGAAAAGAAAAGGAACAGAAAGGGTCACATCCCAACACATGAACAAGAAGAGGAGGCCGGGTCAAGAGAGCCTCTGAGTAACTCCAGGGTCAACACACACAAAAAGCCAGAAGCAGGTCACTCAACAGTCAAAATAGACAGTTAATTTGCATTTTCACCTCTAGATGAAGATGACAGCTTAAACGCATGTGCCTCTACTCCCTTCAAAAACACCATAAAATTGAGGATAAAGGAGTTTTTAAAACTAAAAGCATAAACCAACAAGGACAAAGAAAACAAGGCAGAAAGGAATCAGAGAGAAGTCAAAAAATGTGAGAAGCTGGACTGCAGATAGATGTGTGGTAACTGATTCAAGAGGACAATGAAACCGGAACACTAAATGTCCGTCAAGTTAAGAATGGGGAGAGGGGAGTGGGAGGAATAAATGTCAAGAAGAAATAACAGTTCCCACTGCAGAGCCCAGGCAGGCTCAGGAAAGGAAGGAACTGGATACTCTCAGGATGCAGAAGCAAGCAGGGCTGAAGGGGGAGACCTGGCTGCAAGTTTGGACGGAAACAGACTCCTGGGTCCTCCACCCAATCCCACGCTGCCAGACAACCACCGAGACCCGCCCAGCAAGCCTGGTCTGGATGGACACTAGGGTGGCCCCGGTCACTAAGTAAAGTTAACAGACAACTCAGGGATCCCCAGTCCTTCCCAGAACTCCAGGATGCACAATTTGTCTATGAGAAAACTGATCAGCCCAAGAGAAAAGAGAGACAGATGGTGATGAGTGGGGATCCCCAACAAGCACACGGGTCTTTGTCAAATTCAGACAGACCACAGAGATAGTGCAGATCTGGTTCCAACCACCATATTAAAGAAAATATCACAAAAAGTGAGTCACATGAAACTTTTTGTTTTCCCAGTGCATATAAAAGTTAGGTTTAATATACTGTGGTCTGTTAAGTGTGGAACAGCATTATGTCTAAAAAGAAAAAAACATATACACAGCCTTAATTCAAAAATACTTTATTGCTAAAAAATGCTAACAATCATCTGAGCCTTCAGCAAGTCGAAATCTTTTTGCTGGTGGAGGGTCTCACCTTGATGTTGACGACTACTGACTGACCAGGGCGGTGGTTGCTGAAGGCTGTGGCAATTTCTTAAAATAAGACAACAATGAAGTTTACCACATCGATTGACCCTTCCTTTCATGCTTCTTCTCTATAGCATGTGATGTTGTTTGATAGCATTTTACCCACAGTAGAACTTCTTTCGAAACAGAAGCCAGTCCTCTTAAACCCTGCCACTGTTTTATCAACTAAGTTTATGTAATATTCTAAATTCTTTGTTGTCATTTCAACAATGTTCACAGCACTTCAGCAGGAGTAGATTCCACCTCAAGAAACCACTTTCTCTGCTCATCGATAAAAAGCAACTCCTCATCCCTTCACATTTTATCATGAGATTGTGGCAGTTCAGTTACCTCTTCAAGATCCTCTTCTACTTCTCCTGCTATTGCCACCACATCTGCAGTTCCTTCCTCCACTGAAGGCTTGAACCCTCAAAGTCATCCATCATGGCTGGAATCACTTTCTTCCAAACTCCTGTTAATGTTGACAATTTGACCTCCCATGAATCACAAATGATCTTAATGGCATCTAGAATGATGAATCCTTTCCAGAAGGTTTTCAATTTACTTTGCCCAGATCCATCAGAGGAATCACTATCTATGGCAACTATAGCCTTATAAAATGTGTTTCTCAAGTGATAAGATTTGAAAGTTGAAATTACTCTTTGGTCCATGTTCTGCAGAACAGATGCATGTTAGCAGGCATGAAAACAACTCCAGGTGCATTCTCAACGAGCAGTAAGGAATCTTTTTCTGAGCAGCAGACCTTAATAGGAGGCTTAAAATATTCAGTAAACCATGCTATAAAAAGATGTGCTGTCATCTAGGCTTTGTCGTTTCATTTCTAGAGCACAGGAAGAGTAGATTTAGCATAACTCCTAAGGGCCCCAGGATTTTTGGAATGGTCAACGAGCACTGGCTTCAACAACTTCAGTCACCTGCTGCATTAGCCCCAGACAAGAGTCGGCTTATTCTTTGTAGCTCTGAAGGAAGGCACTAACTTCTCCTCTCTAGGAATGAAAGTTGGCATCTTATTAGACGCCAATAAGATGGCATCTTATTCCAATAGAAGGGTGTTTCACTTACACTGAAAATCTGTTGTTAGTGTAGCCACCTTCCCCAATGATCTCAGCTAGTTCTGGATGACTTGCTGCAGCTTCTCCATTAGCAGGTGCTGCTTCACCTTGCATTTTTATGTTATGGAGACAGCTTCTTTCCTTCAGTCTCATGAACTAAAAACCCCTGCTAGCTTCTAACTTTTCTTCTGCAGCTTCCTCACCTCTCTCAGCCTTCACAGAATTAAGGTCTTGCTCAAGATTAGGTTTTGGCTTAAAGGAATGCTGTGGCTGGTTTGATCTTCTATCCAGACCACTCAAACTTTCTCCATATTAGCAATAAGGCTGTTTCAATTTATTACTCTTGTGTTCACTGGAATAGCATTTGTAATTTCCTTCAAGAACTTTTCCTATTCAATCACAACTTGACTAACTGGCATAAGAGGCCTAGCTTCTCGCGTATCTCAGCTTTTGGCATGCCTTCCTCACCAAGCTTAACCATTTCTAGCTTTTGATTTAAAGTGAGAGGCATGTGACTCTTCATTTCACTTGAACACTAATTTCTTTTATTATTATTTCTTCTAAAAAACAAAAAGCGGGATACATGTGCAGAACGTGCAGGTTTGTTACACAGGTACACGTGTGGCAGGTTTGTTACATAGGTATACGTGTGCTGTGCTGGTTTGCGGCACCTAATGACCCGTCCTCTAAGTTCCCGCCCCTCACCCCCCACCCTCCAACAGGCTCTGGTGTGTGTTGTTCCCCTCTCTGTGTCCATGTGTTCTCACTGTTCAACTCCCACTTATGAGTGAGAAGGTCATGTTTGGTTTTCTGTTGATCACTAATTTCACTTAAACAGTAAGAGGTCACTGTAAGGCTATTAACTGGCCTAATTTCAATATTGTTGTGACTCAGGAAATAGGGAGGCCTGAGGAGAGAGGGTGAGACAGGGAACAGCTGGTCGGCAGAGTAGTCAGAACATACACAACACTTTTTGATTAAGTTTGCGCACTTCATGGCACCCCAAAACAATTACAACAGCAGCATCAAAGATCACAAGTTACACATCAACGTAACAGATGTAATAATCATGAAAAAGTCTGAAATACTGTGAGAATTTCCAAATATGACACAGAGATACAAAGTGAGCACATGCTGTTGGAAAAATGGTACCTAAAGACTTGCCCAACGCAGGGTGCCAAAAACTTCCAATTGTCAAATAACGCAGTATCTGTAAAGGACAATAAGATGACGTGTGCCTGTCCTCCACAAGGAAGCTCAGCACTGGGCAAATGCTGCCCTAGCCAAGACCTTCCGACAACTCCACTCTTAAAGATGAAAAGAACAGGTATCGCCAGATACCTGAGGGCATCATCTAAAACAAAAAGGAGACAAACACAAGAAGGAAAAAAGGAAACTCTAAGAAAAAGTAACAACGTAGGGAATAAGAAAATGGGGGCAAGATGTACAAAAACAAGCTATAATGGCCTACGAGATTAGACATAACACATCCATGAAACAAAACAGTATGCCATAAATTCAGAGAAGACAAGCTCTTGAATATTAAAAGTATGAAGGCAGATGTTTTTTAAAATAAGTAGAAAGCTTGTATTTAAAGTTGAAGAAGTCTCTCAAAAACTAAAACAAAAAGGCAAAAAGATGGAAATTACGACAGCCAAGACAAGGAAATCACCAGATCAGCCCAGGCAGAAGTGGGGAGGGAGAAACCTGGAGTGGAATAAATGTCCAAAGAAGTCATACAAGACAGAAAGGATGAGAAGGGAAGGGCCTTGGAAGTTACATGGTTCACAGCAACTGCCTTAGCCCCAGGAAAAAATCCAGGCTCTCATCTCTGCAGAGGCAAACTCCCAATCTGAGGAACTCCCACCCTCAGTACAAGGGATCTGGGAGAAGAATGTTCCCCACTACAATCTCAGCAGCAAAAGAACGTCAAGGGTCAGGAAGAAATCTTTCAGAAAGCCTCCACCTTCCGAAAGCAATCACTTCAATAAGTGGATTGGAGCTGGTGCCAGGGTGGGATAGCCTGCCTGTCTGCCCAACTTCTATGACTCTAGAAGTCAAGTTACCAGTAGATACCTCCAGATCCCCCCACCCCCACCACTGAGTGCTGGGCCCAGTTCAACCCGGGATGCAGAGGAGCAGCCCAACAGGGCAGTGCCCAGCTGCATCTGCCAGCAAAAGCCAACACTGTTCTCCATCCTAGGAAGGAAGTGGAACTATGAGTGGCACCTGGAAATTCAAGTGGGCACTCTGAGCTCAGTATGGCTTCCTCTGCCCAATCCGCAGAGAATCTTTAAGTGAGCACTCTGAGCTCACAGTGTGGCTTCCCCTGCCCAATCCACAGAGAATCTTCAAGTGGGCACTCTGAGCTCAGTGTGGCTTCCCCTGCCCAATCCACAGAGAATCTTCAAGTGGGCACTCTGAGCTCACAGTGTGGCTTCCCCCTGCCCAATCCACAGAGAATCTTCAAGTGGGCACTCTGAGCTCACAGTGTGGCTTCCCCCTGCCCAATCCACAAAGAATCTTCAAGTGGGCACTCCACGCTCACAGTGTGGCTTCCCCTGCCCAATCCACAGAGAATCTTCAAGTGAGCACTCTGAGCTCAGTGTGGCTTCCCCCTGCCCAATCCACAGAGAATCTTCAAGTGGGCACTCTGAGCTCAGTGTGGCTTCCCCTGCCCAATCCACAGAGAATCTTCAAGTGGGCACTCTGAGCTCACAGTGTGACTTCCCCTGCCCAATCCATAGACAATCCAAAATCCCCAGAAATGTAACAAAGGATTTAAGGAAGATATAAACAAAACCAGAAAAGTGGATCTAAGAAGAGCACTCTTGGTGAAACAGAAACTGAAGAATCCCTGAAAGATGTAAAGAAAACAAACAGGATTGACTTGAAAGAAGAAACTAGAGACAGAAGTCATCTCCGTCAAGACAGAGTAAGCACACTCCACTACTGATGACAATGTAAAACTCTGGCAAAAATACATAAAACACCTCCAATCAGACTCTGAACAATGGGTAAGAGAAGCAGACTGGGTATGAAACTGATGAATCAAAGGAAATCCTGGAATGACTTCCCCCATTTTTGCTTTTTGATATTTTCTTTATCTGTTTGCTGTTTACTGCACCAGCTGGGGCTGGGTAACACTCCAAAACCCAAACCACAAACAGGCAAAGACAGAAAAACCTCCGAGCCAGGCCCAGTCTCCCCAGCCAGGGCCCAGGTGGGGAGGGAGGGAGGAAGCACCACAGCTCTCCCAGCCCTGCGCCAGGCTACCAGCCCCTTCTACCTTCAGGGGCACCCCCGCAGTGGGCTGCCCCATTCCACACTTGACAAGAACCAATAATGGCCCCAAAACTCCATCACAAGGCTGGCAGGCTGGGGGTTCGGATTTTAGCCAGAACATGAGGAAATGTGTTGGGAACCAGAGTGAGGGCAGCAGCACAGAAGAGGAAGCTGGAAAAAGTCACCCCTTAAAGCTGTGTACTATCGAGAAGGAGCCCAACTGAGACATGATGAAAGATATCCTTAAAAATGAAAGGAAGAAGAAAGATATTCCATGAAAACACTATTCAAAGAACGTGAACTGGCTACATTTCTATCAGACAAAGTAAACTTTAGACTAAGAAAAATTAACAAGGATAAAGTAGGGATCACAAAATGATAAAAGGGCAATTCACCAAGATGACATAGCAATTCTAAATGTGAACACTCTAAACAGCAGAGCTGTAAGGCACATGAAGCAAACTCTAATAGAACTGAAAGGAAAAACAGACATTCACAAATACATCTGGAGACATCAAGGGGCATTTCTCAGTAATCCAAAGGGCAAGTGAAGAGAAAATGAGCAAGGATATCAACTTGAACACCAACAACCAACTAAACCTAATCGGTATTCACACAACAGCCCACCCCACAACAAAACAACACACGCTCTTTTCAAATGCACGTGGAACATTCAGGACAGACTGAATTGTGGGTCACAAAGCAGTCTGATTAAATAGAAAACAATAAAATTATTCAAAGTATGTCCTCTAACACTAACAGAATTAAACTAGTAATCCTTAACAGAATGGTATCTGAAAAATCTCCAAACATCTGGCAGTCAGTCAACACACACATGGGCCAAGGAGCCAATGAGCCAAGGAGCACCACAGTCACTGGAGCTGGAAAAGGCGACGCAGCACCCCCCAGAGCCTCCAGGGGTAGCCCAGCCCTGCAACCTGCAGTCAGCCCCAGGACACTGCCTTTGGCTCTGGTCTCCAGAAACACAGGGGAATAAACGAACTAATTTGTAATAATTTGTTACAGCAGTCATAGGAAAATTACGTACGTGCCTTTCATTACTTAAATTAAACCTTATTTAAAAGGTTGTTTTATATCACTATATTACATCTTCACAGTAACAACTACAAGACTTAAAAATTCATGGAATGAACGTAATTCTGAACAGCTAAAAAATTTAACAGAAGCAAGGCTGAGCTGTCAAAAGAAAGGTCAGAACAGGCCTCAAATTGGAAAAACTGCTACTCCTTTCTCTTTCTCTATAAAGGTCCTAGAAATCTCTCGGGGAAAAGCCTCAAACTACAGTAAATGCACTTTCAAGGGGTTGCAGTAGAAGAAAGCAATGCAACTTCTTACTCCAAGAGCAAGCACTTCAAACTTGCAGTCATGGGTGAATGAGTTCTGGAGACCTAACACACAGCATGGGGACGGTAGTTAATGACAATAGATTGTGTACTTGAAATCTGCTGAGAGTAAATCACAGGTTTTCTCACCACACACACAAACACACACAAAAAAACGGGTACTGAGGTGAGCTGACGAACATATTGATTAGCTTCACTGTGGTAATCATTTCACAATCCATACATACATCAAAGCATCACATTGCATACCTTAAATATATATTTTGGATTTATCAATTATACCTCAACAAAGCTGAAAAAAATACATGGGCAATAAAAACTGTCAAAGAAAATCAGAAAATGAATTGAATGAAAATAAAAACACAACATATCAAAATATGTGAGATGTGGCTAAAACAGTCCTTAGAGGAAAATTTATAGCATAAAATGCTTTCTTTAAAAAGGAAGATAGACCTCAAATCAATAATCTCAGTTTATATGATAAAATCTGGAAAAAGAACAAACAAAACTCAAAGTACACATTAGGAAATGGTAAAACAAACAAACAAAAAAAAAAAAACCCCAGCAGTCAATGAAATTTACAACAAAAAATGGTGGGGTGGAGGGAAAAAAAAAATTCTTAAAAAAAAAAAAGAAAAAAAAATCACAGAATTGATAAACCTTTGCCAGACTGACCAAGAAAAACAAGACAAGACACAGAATCAGGAAGGGATACTGCCACTGATCTTATAAAAATTTAAAAGATAATAAGGGCTAAGTAATTTATGTAGACACTTCACTCTCAAGGAGGTAGCTAAAACAACTCCATATCATAAGTGTGGGCTGGGCACACTTTCTTCCAAAGAGCACAATACAGGCAGAAAAAAAGAGTCACTCACAGCAGAGAAACCTGGCACACACACCTTAGCCAAGCGATCAAGGTCACTTTCAAGAATGATGAATCACCCTGGTGGCAGGTATCCTCCATATGATGTGATGAAAATGTCACTTCACCCTGGGGGTCTTCCTCCCAAAAATATGTAGCCCCAGTCTAGTCATGATAAAAATATCAGACTCAGTTGAGACAGTCTACTAATAACCTTTAATCCTCAAAATTCTCAAGATCATGAAAAAAAAAGTCCGAGAAATTGTCAATGTCAAGAGAAGCCCAAAGAGACAAGACAAATGAATGTAACATTCCTAGAGGGAGCCTAGAGACAGCAAAAGGCCACCGAGTGCTAAGTGAGGAAATCTAAATAACTATGGAGCTTGATTAATACTAGTGTATCATTATTAATTAATTAATTCTAACAAGTGTACCACGGTTATGTAAGACAAAATGGTACTGGGCTTACAGGAACTCTATATTTGCAATTTTTCTGTAAGTCTATCATCATTCTAAAATAAAACATTTTTTTAAAATATATTAATGCCAAGACTCACTTTTCACAAATTCTGATTTTATCAGTCTGGAGTGGGGAGCCATGGCATCAATATTTTTTAAAGCTCCGTTTTCAAACTTTTAGTCTTCAAGATAAGAAAGCAACTAAAATGTGAGGGGGGAAAAAGCTTTCTTTGGTAAACTCAAAAATGAATTTCAACCTATATCACATGCCACATATGAAAATTTGTTGGGAAAAGCTGAGTGTTGGGAGAAGCTGAGGCAGGGCTTGCATGTCTGACTAACGTAAAAGAGTCTTGGAACATGTCCGGGGTCCAGGGTCTAAAATCCCTTGAGGCCTTTGGAACGCCAATCTGTGCTAAAGGGCGGAAGGCTACCCTGACGCACCATAATCTCAGCCCAGGGCATAAAACCCCTCGTGGCTTGGATGGAATCCAGGACTCGTGGCTCTGGAATGTGTCTAGACTTGCTGGCTCCTTGCTCCTTGCTCTCCCAGGATCGATTGTATCTTGAGTTAAAAGAACCTGCTCTCGGCCGGGCGCGGTGGCTCACGCCTGTAATCCCAGCACTTTGGGAGGCCGAGGCGGGCGGATCACGAGGTCAGGAGATCGAGACCATCCTGGCTAACACGGTGAAACCCCGTCTCTACTAAAAATACAAAAAATTAGCCGGGCGTGGTGGTGGGCGCCTGTAATCCCAGCTACTCGGGAGGCTGAGGCAGGAGAATGGCATGAACCCAAGAGGCGGAGCTTGCAGTGAGCCGGGATAGCGCCACTGCAGTCCAGCTTGGGCGAAAGAGTGAGACTCCGTCTCAAAAAAAAAAAAAAAAAAAAAAAAAAAAGAACCTGCTCTCCATTATCTCAAGTAGCAGAGCAGATGCTAAATCATCACACCTGTAAATCATGTGCTTAATGCAACGCGACCTTTCGACCCCCACATTCTCACCACCTGTTTCTTTGTTTGATCACCAATAAATAGTCTGGGCTTCCAGAGCTCAGGGCCTTCACAGCCTCCATACTTAGCGATGGCCCCCTGGACCCACTTTCGCTCTCAAACTGTCTTTTCTCATTCCTTCGACTCCACCAGACTTCGTCACCCCCACGACCTGGTGTTGGGTCTGATCACCCCAGCAAAAATTAAATAGAAGAGTAAAACATAAGCCCCTCTTAGAAATAAAACAAAACAAAGAAATCTTTGCAACTTTGAGTTTGGCAGAGTTCCTACATGACACCAAAATGATGACCCATTTTTTTAGAAATTCATACATTGGCCTTCATCAAGATTAAAAACTTTTGCTCTGCAAAAGACACTGTTAAGAGAATGAAAATACTGAGAAAAAATATGTGCAAAACACAAAGACATAAGCAAAAGTTTTGAACAGATAATTCACCAAGAAGACATATGAATGGCAAACACACACACACACACAAAGATGTTCAACATCACTAGGAAAATTAAAATTAAAACCACACTGAGATATCACAACACACTTGCTAGAATAGCTAAGATTAAAAACCACTAACACTGCTGAGTGCAGGTGGGGCCACGGCATCCCTGGAGCTCTCCCACACTGCTGAGTGACAGTGGGGCCACGGCATCCCTGGAGCTCTCCCACACTGCTGAATGCCCGCGGGGCCACGGCATCCCTGGGGCTCTCGCACACTGCTGAGTGCCAGCGGGGCCACGGCATCCCTGCAGCTCTCCCACACTGCTGAGTGCCCGCGGGGCCACGGCATCCCCGGAGCTCTCGCACACTGCTGAGTGTCAGGGGGCCACGGCATCCCTGGAGCTCTCCCACACTGCTGAGTGCCGGGGGGCCACGGCATCCCTGGAGCTCTCCCACACTGCTGTGTGCGGGTGGAGCCATGGCATCCCTGGAGCTCTCCCACACTGCTGAGTGGGGGTGGAGCCATGGCATCCCTGGAGCTCTCCCACACTGCTGTGTGCGGGTGGAGCCATGGCATCCCTGGAGCTCTCCCACACTGCTGGTGCAGCGGCAAAGCAGCCACAGCCATACTGGAAAAGAGTCTGGCAACTTCTGAAAACAATGAGCATGCACCTGCCCTGAGGCCCAACAACCCCACTTGCAGGTGTTTATTCTAGAAAACTAACTTAAGTTCACATAAAAAACCTGTCCATGAATGTTCATAGCAGCATTATCCATAACTGCCAAAAACGGAAGCACTCCAAATGTCCCTCAGTGGTAAAATGGATAAACTGGTTCATCATACAATGGAACACTACTCTGCAATGAAAAGGTGAACTATTGATATGGCACTGTAAATGCATCTCAAACGCGTTATACTAAGTGAAAGAAACAAGTCTCAAAACTTTTGACTGAACACTGTATGACTGCATTTACGTGAAATTCTAGAAGCGGAGACATACACAGACACAGGATGGTGGCGGCCAGCACAAAGGCAAAATGGTAGCACAGAGGAAATCACTGTGAACCTAAACACTGAGAATTTTTTTAAATGGGCTAAATAGCAGAATGGAGATACTAAAGGACAATTTAAATGCAAGCTAGAAAATCAAACACAACAAAAGAACAGTTAGAAATTATGAAGAAAAAATAGTAAAATTTTTCTATCATTAAAAAAAAGTCAGCCCTGCGTGGTGGCTCACACCTGTAATTGCAACACTTTCAGGGGCTGAGGTGGATCACTTGAGCCCAGGAGTTTGCGACCAGCCTGGACAATACAGCAAGATCCTTCTCAAAAAAAAAATTCTAAGTCTGTCACTAGCTTTGAAAAAAATAATAAATTTTAAAAAAAGGAAAAGTCCTCAGATTGAAGGATCATCAAGTGTTAATCCAGGTAAATTTTTAAGTTCCACACCTAGACACATTATTGCAAAATTTCAGAACATGCAGGATTTTTTAAAATTCTAAAAGCTACCAGACACATCTTCAAAGGAGTAAGAAATGGATTAACATCAGACTTCTCATCAATAATGAAAGAATACCTTCAAAGTGGGCAGAGGAAAAACACTTCAGACCAGAATATCTATATCTGACTGATGATCCAAGAGTTCAGGAATAGAAGCGTAAGAGAAATAAAGACATTTTCAGACTATTAAGTAATTATTTAGATCAGCAAATCCTGTTGATTCTATTTCTAAAAGCATATCCCAAATATGATCACTCCACAGCTACCATCCCATTACAGGAAGTCTCCTGAGGAGCTGCTCACTTGCTTCCACCTTTGCCCCCTTAGAGTGAATTATCCACCCAGCAGTCAAAGTGATCCTCTTAAAATATAAATATTATCATCACTCTGCTCACACACCCATCACACTCACAACAGAACCCAACCTCCTGGCCCCAGCCCAGGGAGCCGGCCCCTTGCTCCCCACATTGCACTCCTGCTATTCCTGGAACACACCAAGCTCACCTCCAGCTCGGCACCCAGCTCTCTCTTCTCCACATCCTCTAAGGACTCACACCCCCCCATCTTTCTGTCCCTATTCTAGCTAAAGCAGACACAAGCGCACTGTGTCAGCAAGGATCCAGTGAATGCCTGCATAGTGGGGAAAGGAACAAAATGAAATCTAAAATGTTTTGTGGGGTCACAGGGTCGGGGTAGTTTTTTTCTCCTTATATTTTTCCACTTTCTGAATTTTTACACTGCGTATATATTAATTTTACAAATATTAAAAGTATCATTGAAAAGTTTCCTTTAAAAGTTGTGTCACTATTTAAGAATTTTTTTTTTCCCAGACAAGGTCTCACTCTGTCGCCCAGGCTGGAGTGCAGTGGTAAGATCTCGGCTCCCTGCAACCTCTGCCTCCTGGGCTCAAGTGATTCCCCCACCTCAGCCTCCCAAGTAGCTGGGACTACAGGTATGTGTCACCACATCCAGCTAATTTTTATATTTTCTGTACAGACAGGGTCTTACCATGTTGCCCAGGCTGGTCTCGAACTCCTGGGATCAAGCAATCCTCCCGCCTTGGCCTCCCAAAGTGCTGGGATTACAGGTGTGAGCCACCGTACCCAGCCAGTAAAAATTATTTTTAGGTTACCATTTTCACACTCAAGTACATCACATAAATATCCCCAATCCAAATGTTTTATATACTTTTCAACTTTCTCATACCAAAAAGTTAGGAACTCTTCAATGCCAGAAACACTCTCCTCTTCACCTCCTCACTTTCTCTGCACCTCAGATGGATGTCATCATTTCACCCCCACTTACCTCTTCAGCCACACCTGAGTCTCCCTGTCCTCTTACCAACCAAATTTCCAGTTTATCCTTCTTGCTGATTATAAAATATTTTTAAAAATCCAACTGTTACCTCTTAAACCAAATCTACTTAATCTGTGCTTCAGAGGGAAAAGCACAGAATCCAGACTACTAAAGAAATTAGACATAGCAATCATTCCTTGTTTAGTGAACCTGCAATCAAAGAATAAGCTGGGAAAAAATCAAGCAATGTCCACTACACGCTTCTGGTTTAAATACTCCCAAAATACTGTTCAGTGTTTAAAGTATAACTAAACTCAATCAGTAATTCAATGAATAACTCCTAAATACTTACTACAGGCCAAACACGTCAGGCCCTAACAATATGATGTACAGTGGTTAATGAGACAGACGTAGAACATAACAAATGTGGCACATAAGTACCCAAGGCAGACTGTGATAAGAGCGTCAAAGAAAATGAGGGCACTATGACAGCTCATGACCAGGAGGACCTCGTGAAGTAGATGCTGAGGGAAGGCCTTGCAGGAAACACCGTTAGCCTGGCAGCCAAGGCTGCCACGTGAGGAGCCCAGGGACCAGAGAGGGGAACCCACAGGGAAGGGCGGCACTGGACACTGCTGCTGCAGGGAGGCCGTGCCACAGGGCTCTAAATGCCACTCAGTCAGTCACTCCATCGAGAGCCCCAGGTGACAAGGTCCAGATGTAGATCTCTGATGATTCTGCTTAATGCAAGAGTGAAAAATAGAGTACTCCATTTTTTTGGCCACAAATCACCTAAGGAGAGGTCTAGTTCTCCCACCTCTAATCTGCTCTGGGTGTGTGAGGGGTGGGCAGTTCTCAGGTTCCTGGAAGGGGAGTGAACACTCCTCTGATGATCCTCTGAAATTATTTCAATGAATGCAAGGGCACACTGCCTGACCAGAGAGCAGTGCTGCTGAGTTGTACACTCTAAACACAAGAGCGGATAGAGGTGAGAAGCCATCCCACAAGCTGGGCCATGACTTATTGTCTCTATCGAGCACACAGAGAAATTCGCCATCAAATTCAACACTTAAAAGCCGGGGTGAATTAATTCAAAATATCAAGCTGTAGAATCAGAACTTGGGTTCCAACCTTGGCCCCGCAATTTACTAGCTCGATGATAGTGAGCAAACTACTTAATCTCTCAAAGTCTCAGTTTTCTCATCTAGAAAATGAGGTTCACCATAATTCTACCACAGTATAAGCACAACATCCAGCATATTTTAAGTTTTATATAAATGTTAGCTATTCGTATTGTTATTAACCTGAAAATATTAAATACATACTATATCTGCTACAGCCATTAGAATCACAACTCAAAAAATGCACCCAATTTTTAACCTTGAGCAAGATAATTTGGTCTTCATCTTGAAGACTACAAATAGAGAACAAATTAAGCCTTCAACAGATTCGATGAGATTGGTTTTCTAGAAAGGACCCTCTGACTGAAGAGGAGAAGAGGAACTAGAGGAGATACAAAGCCAAGGCAAGACCCTCAGCTGGAATTGCGTTCAGTCCCAAATGTGAAGGCTCCAGAGACACCTGGATGTGGGCCCAAGAGCTTTTAAACAAAAAAGTTGCCCTTTGTATCCCCAAAAGATTCTATATACACTCAGGTTAAAGATGACAACTGAACTTCAAGATGCACAAAAATAAATTCGACTCAAGTGAATACAGAAACTCCACAGTTGTGTGTTTCTCAAGATTCAAAAAACAACTGCGGAAAAGTTGAACTGTTTGGGGAGACCCAAGTTTCTGCCTTCCTGTTTCTTGTCGACAGCGTGGACTATATGTTCCACACTTCTGCTTTTCTGAAGGATGGGGGAGGGGTCAGGAGGGCGTTGGGAGTAAGCCACAGTGCTTAGTAGAGGAACAGAGCACATACACTAGCCACCCTTGACTCCAGATGCAAGTCAGAGTAACTTATCACGCATTTTAATGTTTCGGATGCCAAGCTCCAACAGACACCTACAGGATCAGAAGCCCTAGAGATGAAGCCCACAATATTAATTCTGAGTAAGTCCCACATTTAGAGAGTTTAAAATGAAAAGGCATGAAGTTAGATACCATAAAAAGTCCTGTTCTCAACCACTGGCCACCAGCTCCCCTTCCCACAGGCAATCAACGTTATCAGGTTCTTGTGAAATCACAGGCGATTCCAATGCATGGCTCTAGTTGAAAAGCAATGCTCTAAAACAACAAAAACATTACTCTAGATGCGTGGTTCTCAAACTCTTTGGTCTCAGGGCTTCTTTACACTATTACGATTGAGAACTCCAAAAAGCTTTTGTTTATGTAGGTTATATCTATCCACAGTTACCATATTAGAAATTTAAGCCAAAACAATTTTTAAATTTTAACTTATTGAAAAATAGTAAATCCATCAAGTACAACTTGAAACAAAGCCTGAAACTCTGAAGTTTTAATACACATCTAATGTATATCTTAATATACATGTAATACACATTGATCTTCCCAAGAATGTAATTATATAACCAAAGGAAGATCACATGGTATTTGGAACTTCATCAAAAGCTCTTTACCATTTTGGAAAATCATGAAACCAATAGCAACACCACTTGTGGTACTGAATCACCAAAACAATAATCCTTTATCTTCTGATAGTGGCTTGTAGGACACTCATAGAGGTCTTGCATATTATGGCAATCATCTTCGAATATGCTGTGTACTGTAGTCATACCTGAACATTTATGATGAAATACTTATCTAATATAAATTCCTCTTTATGTATTCTTTACCTCATAGTTAGAAAAAGGATTACAAAGTAGCTATGAAAAGAAGTGTTACCTCTGACAGATTTGAACATTAACATCAAGCACACTGTTTCCAATGATAAGAATAATTACGCAAAGACATAATAAATAAATGTGCTCCCAGGAGGGGCAGGGATATGGAGACAGGATTTGACTATGACTGGCTGGCAGTATGTGTTTCAAGCAAATTCACAGATGTTATAAGTTGGAAAAGGTGGTAAATCATGGTCATGCTAACTTTGTAAAACTGTCAAGCACCATTATATGTAGGTGCTTTGCTTCTGAAGGTCCCTTGAAGTCAACTGTATAATTTTTTAAAAGATACCTTATAAAAATGTGATTCATATGAAATTCTCATTAAAAGTAACAAGTACCTATTATGCCTTGATTTCATAGTACTAAAAAAAATGTATTACAAAAGCATAAGGCCAATTGTAATATGTCATCAAAGAATAAGGTAATTAATCAAATATTCTATGGAGTTACCAGATAAAATGCTCACTAATCAAATTTTTAACACCAAATATTGTAAAGGTAGTAATTAATATTGCTCCTTTGCTCACTAAGGTATAACAAATGAAAGAACAAGGTAAGCTACTATTTATAAATTCTTCAGTAAATAGCAGCATAATTTAAAATTATATCATAAATGCTTGACAATCCTAGCTATCTAGAACATAGCAAAAAGAGCATCACCTTTAATGGACTTCATGACATAATTTATTCAGAGAGGGCCGGGCGCAGTGGCTCGTGCCTGTAATCCCAGCACTTTGGGAGGCCAAGCGGCAGGGGGGTGGGGTGCAGATCACTTGAGGTCAGGAGTTGGAGACCAGCCTGGCCACATGGTGAAACCCCATCTCTACTAAAAACACAAAAATTAGCCAGGAGTGCTGGCATACACCTGTAATCCCAACTACTTGGGGGGCTGATGCAGGAGAATCACTTGAAGGAGGCAGAGGTTGCAGTGAGCCCAGATCATGCCACTGCACTCCAGCCTAGGTGACAGAGCAAGACTCCATCTCAAATAAATAAATAAATAAATTATTTATTCAGAGAGGACCCTGTCAGGATCTGAGAGCCCACTTTTAGACACAGTTCTAAATGGGAAGATAGTAGGATACAGAATTTTGCTGAAAAGAAGCTTTTCAGTCTCTTAGAAGGGACAAAACTTTTATATCAAAGAATCTTCAATGTAAAAAAAAAAAAGTTTTTGGCTGGGCGCGGTGGCTCACACCTCTAATCCCAGCACTTCGGGAGGCCGAGGCGGGTGCATCACGAGGTCAGGAGATCGAAACCATCCTGGCTAACACAGTGAAACCCCGTCTCTACTAAAAATACAAAAAATGAGCCAGGCGTGGTGGCGGGCGCCTGTAGTCCCAGCTACTCGGGAGGCTGAGGCAGGAGAATGGCATGAACCCGGAAGGTAGAGCTTGGCAGTGAGCCGAGATCACACCACTGCACTCCAGCCTGGGCGACCAGAGTGAGACTCTGTCTCAAAAAAAAAAAAAAGTTCTTAGGTTGAGAAATATCATTCTAGCTCATGATGAATGAATTTCAAAATCCAATTATAACAATGGGAATGTATGAATGTGTGGTTTATCCCTAGAAAAAAAAACTCTGGAACCACTGGTATAAGGAAAACACTGACATTAAGGTGGGTAAGTCCTAACAATCTTAGTTTTATCTGATTCCCCCTATGACGAGGAACATGAAACATGTGAAAGGAAACTCAGTCTGCTAATGACAAAAACAAACGATGGCAGGCCATGCTCATACCTCAAGACCTTTCCACTGGTTCTCTCTACTCAGAACCTTCCCCAGATGTTCAAATGGCCCTCCCTTACTCCATTCAGGTCTCTTTAAATATCTCAGAGGCTTTCCCTCACCTGCCTCTTCCCTCTCTATTCCTTTACCCTACTTTTTCGCCACAGTACTTATTGCTAATTAACATGGCTGGTTTATCATCTGTCTCTTCCAGTAGAGTGTCTGTCAGATCTGTGGGAGGAATGACTTGTGCATCTGCATCACCAGCACTTAGCACAGTTCCCGGGGGGAACTTTGAGGACGGGGTTGTCCTCAAAGATTTCTTAGATAAATAAAGTGATAGAATCAAACTTTACAAGATGCAGCAAGAACTGTGTGAAGTCACTCATTTAATAGCGACACAAAATTATTCATGATTGCCCCAAGATTATCATAGAACATCCAATGAATTATGTACAGTAATTGTCATGAAGCATGAAAGGTCAAAATGCATTCTCAGTACTTTAAATGTAACTTTGAAGTCTTCCTTCAAAAATTGAGTAACTTCTTTTCCACATTTTGGTGCTTAAGATGTAACTCAGTTGCTTCCATTACTCAGAAAATTCCCTCATGGTGCATCCTCACTCTCTGCCCCACCAACCTGGCCAAAACAAGGAGCAAGAAATGGCATCCTGTACCATTTCTTTCAAAGTACCTCGACTACAAAATGGTTTTACCTACCGTATAGGATTAGTTTTGCTTATTAGTAACAATATTCGCCATGTGAACTTTCCCAGAATAGTTTTATATCAAATCCAACCTTCAACCCTTTAAACAGTAGGAAAACACGGCAGTTACAGTCGTTAACACCCTCTTCCCATAATACTCAAGCCTGTTAAACTTTCCTAACGAAAAGGGACGATGATGTGACACTCCAGCACCCCGCATCCACCTCCGCGGCGCAGCCGCTCTCTCCACCCCACAGGATGAACCCAAAGGCGCGCAGAGGCGCCCTCCCACGGCGCGTGACACCAGAGAAGGGGGATAAATTGGCGAGCTGGCATTCCTCCCGTCCTCACTGACGGACCCGCGAGCGGAGTGAGCGGTGACTCAGCCCGCTCCGGCTCGGCTCCGCCCTCCCGCCTCCCGCCCCGGCGTTCTCGCCCCGGCCTTGGCCTCTCCACTCCCTCCGCCCCGGTCCTGGCCCCCAGCCCTCCGCTGTCCTCCCCGGCTCCCTGACCCTCGAACCCCAGCCCTCCGCTCCCTCGTCCGGGCCCCACGTCCTCGGCCCGTCCCCCAGCCCTCTGCCCGGCCCTGCATCCTCGTTCCTCCAGCCCCGGAACGTATTAGGGCTGCACGCGCAGGGAGCAGCCCCCGGGACGGGTCTGCGGGCTTCGCGTCGCCCGGCCACTCTACCTTCGCTCCTGCCCAGGATCCTGCAGCACAGGTTCTGCAGCAGAACGTTCGGCGACTTCTGGTCCGGGGTCGCCATCCTCGCCCGGAGCCGTGCACGGTGGTCCGGGCAGAGCCGCCACTGCCGCCGCACGCGCAGGGACCGCGGCCCGCGCCCTTCCTGCGCCCCGCAAGCTCCCTGCTCCTGACAGGCTAAGGCGCGGGCGCCGCCGGCCACCAGGGCGCCATTTTAACGGAACCCGCCGAAAGCGCGGGCGCTTCCCACAATGCCCCGCTTCTTCCCTGCGCCGCGGCCGCGCGTGCGGCTGCCTAAGCGTTCCCGGCCCTGTCTGGTGCATTCCCCCTGCTGCTGCCCGGTCGGCCGAGAAAGTTCCGGGCGACAGGTGGCCCGAGGCCCTCGAGCTGCGCGGACAGAGCGGCCCCGGAGTCGCGAGCGTGACGGGCTTGCTTGGAGGGCACTTGGTGGCCGGTAGCACCATAAAGGCCATAATTTGGTGTGTGGGTGTGGGGGTGTGTGTGTTAACGGCATTGGTTTGATTCACACTTCTGATGAAAGAAGCCTGTTTAAAAAAGAAAAGAAAAAAGAAGCCTGTTTAAAGGGTGCAGGGTGTTACGATTGTTAACGTGCAGTGGGCAGTTCACCTGCTACGCTATCCAACAGGCGCCCTGCTCAGGCCCGACCTCGCACTGCCGCGCGGGCCGGTCCCCCCCGGCCCGGGTAACTGGGACGTCCTGGGAAAATAAATTAATCACGTACGGAGTGAGAGAACAGGAAACCTGCCGAGAAAAAGATCGATAAGCAGACAATTACACCAAGCCAACTTCAGTGCAATCGTTAAAGCTTACACATGGGTGCACGCTTGGGAGCCGTGAGCTACCATGTTAAAAGGCCAACTTCCTAAGGAAAAATGATGGAAAGAGATCCCGAGATCCTATGAAATGGAAGAGGGAGGACAACCCAGCTATCCCAACATCCCAGCTGAGGCCAGCCACACACGTGACTGTCTGCAAAGCCCGTCGGGCCTGGGTCCAGCTCAGGTTGCAGAATTGTTGGCAAGTAAAACGTTTGTTGTCGTTCTGACTCAAAAACATGGAGACAAAGCAGACTTGTAGGGTATTACAGTCAACAACTAGACCCTACAGCTAAAGGACTGTCTCCTTGCATGATGCAACAACCATCACAGCTCTGCAAGAGCAACCAAACCACCAAGGATGCGATCACCCCTCACTGCCTTCGATACGCATTCTGTGGAAACGCTTCTAAACTTGCATCACACTCAACACGATCAGTTAGTAACTGGCTTCTCATGAAGTTATTCTCTCAGCCGCATACTACAATGTCCAGATGTCATCTAAATCCTGCCACCCTCTCCCCCACCTTCAGCTGAAACGCTGCATGACTGCATCATCTTACCTGACCAGCTCTCTCCTAGGACAGACATGCAAGAACCCCCCTCACTAACGCTGATGTTATTTGGTTTACAGATGGCTCTTACTTAAAGATGCAGCTGGAAGGTATTACACTGGTTATGCCATAGCGTCTTTGCCCAAAGAAATAGAAAGTGCTTGTCTTCCAGGAGCAATCATCTCAACAAGCAAAGTTAATAGCATTAATTAGAGCCTGTCAGTTGGCAAAAGGAATAACTGCTAATCTTTATACCAATAGCAGGTATGCTTATAGAGTAGCTCATAACTTTGGAATGCTATGGAGACAAAGGATTTTTAACCTTTTCTAGTCAGCCCACAAAAAAATGGGTGCCTTGTTTCAGAATTATGGCAAGCCATACTATTGCCAAAATCATTAGCCATTATCAAGATTCCAGGCCATTCAAAGACACTCAAAAAAGCAAGATAAGCCAGTTAGCAGGTAGTATAGCAAACAGGGTGGCCATAAACATATCTGAACAAAAAGATCAAACCATTTTGGCCTTTAAGGAAGTTAGATTTTTATGTAAAATTAGCTCAATCTAAATCTCCAAAAACAGGACGAGAAAATTGGGAAACAAAAGTGGCACATGCGCTTCTGAGACTGATGTACGGTTTGACCAAATGTTCTACTCATACTTCCAACTAAGTTACAACCATCTTTCTTTTTTTTTTTTTCTTTTTCAGATGGAGTCTCGCTCTGTTGCCCAGGCTGGAGTGCAATGGCGTGAACTCCACCTCCTGGGTTCACGCAATTCTCCTGCCTCAGCCTCTTGACTAGCTGGGACTACAGGCACCCGCCACCATGCCGGGCTAATTTTTTGTATTTTTAGTAGAGACGGGGTTACACTCTGTTAGCCAGAATGGTCTCGATCTCCTGACCTCGTGATGTGCCCGCCTCGGCCTCCCAAAGTGCTGGGATTACAGGCGTGAGCCA
The DNA here is from genome assembly GCF_000001405.40 of Homo sapiens. Lineage (NCBI taxonomy): Eukaryota > Metazoa > Chordata > Mammalia > Primates > Hominidae > Homo > Homo sapiens. The sequence goes on from NC_000013.11 coordinate 112,590,264, forward strand.
CCGCGCCCGGTCCAGCCATCTTTCTTAACGTGCATACACGATGTGACTCACTGGAGCCCTGATAAGATTATTGATTTCTTGAGGAGAACAATGTTGTCGGAAACCTTCTCCAACTGTTGCTCACGGGTATACAGTCAGGGCTGTCTTCCCAGAATATAATGCAAGGAAACCTTGACCCAGTTCTCCATGTCATTTTCCTTTACCAGAAGGCCCTTTCGAGGTATGGCAACTAGATTTTTTCAGCTACCACCATCACAAAGATACAGGCACATCCTAGTGATGGTTTGTGTATTTTCTCATGGGTAGAAGCATTTCCATGCAGAAGAGCAGCAGCCTTGGCGGTAAGTAAAATTATCTTAGAGAAAATTATTCCGATTTGGGGAGTTCCTCAAGAACTTTATAGCAACAGAGGCACTCATTTCACTGCACAAATAATCCAGTTAGTATGCAAAATCTGGCCCATTTTCCAGCATTTCCATTGTGCCTATCACCCCAGTCATCTGGGTTAGTAGAATGCACAAGCAGAATAATCAAAACTCATTTGGCAAAATTAACTGAAGTTTTAAAACTCCCTTGACTGGAAGCTCTTTCTTGTTTTTGCTTCACCTAAGATCAGCCCTTATGGGTAAACACCAACTGTCTTCATCTGAAATTATAACGGACAGACCTATGAAATTGTCTCCAGGAAATTGTAAATCGATGATATTAAAAAGGGACAGGTTGTATTATTGCAGCAGCCTCATAAGGCACCTAAGTAAAAACTGTTATTTAGTAAAAGATTCTTTCCACAGTGAGCTCCAAGAAGCAAAAACTCAAGGAACACATACTTCAGCCAGGAGACTTTGTAGGAAACAGCATCCTTTAAAGGACTTTCTCCACCAAGGAGGAAGGAACCTTATCAGGGACTCCTAACCAACCCTTGTGCCACTAAGCTTAAAGGAGTTGATTCCTGGATACCTGCCACCCATGCAAGGAAAGCTGCTTTGTCAATTTGGACTTCATCTCAAATTGGTGATCTAAAACTAAAACTCTCCAGAACCAACAAGGATGAGAAGAAAACAACATGTGAGGCGATCAGCCTTCTCAAGACACCTGACCAGGCCTGTATCTAGACAAACCCTTAATATAATCATCGTCAGTAGATGAGGAAGGTCTTCCTTTACAAGTTCCCACCACACTTCCTTCTTTTTGTCCCTAGTTCTTCTGTTTTGTTGCTACCATCACCAGCCATTGCCCATGAAACAAACATCTTCTTGCAGTAGGCTTGGGCCTGTGCTAGTAAATTACAGGACAACACTCGTTAGGTGTGTGGCCTTGCGCCCCTTTCTGGTGGTTCTGGCCTACCATGGTGGCAGCTCCTCTTCAAGGACAAGAGTAGACAGAATATCAGAAATGTGTCTGTGTTTCTCAGGACAGTCATTGGTGCTTAGCACTAGTATGATGAAGGCAAGTGTGCATCACTGGCCTATGAATGATACTTTACAAAGCAAAAGCCATAGGAAGAGCTTTCCAGTAAAAGTCCACATACCTTAATGCTGGTACTACACCAGCTGAGAGATTAGACCACTCAATATCGGGATGGCATAACACAAACTTGGGATGGTTTCACCTGACTTACCCTCTCTTTGGGTCAACTTAGTTCACGTGCCCCTTTACATTGGGAACAAAAGAATCATATCAAAGATCCCTGGCCCAGGAGCACTGGAGATACGGGATGGAACCCAGAGAACAGTGCATCTACACCATTGTGTTACAGAGTCCTGGCTGGCATGCCACTGAGTGGGCATAGTGACCGGGTGTTTACTGGTTGGCTCCAGATGGAACATCTGGACTCTGTGATAATGACCTATGGCCATGGTTACCCCCAAGGTGGCCAGGACACCATTCTCTGCATTATGCCTGGACATAGGATGGAATAGTTCACAACCGACATAGATAGTAGATAAAACTAGGTAGTCTGAATAATTCAAAGTATGGACTTTGATTCATAATGCTTCAATACTGGTTCTTAAATGTAACAAACAACACACTTTTAATCTGTGCATTGTGAGGTGCTGAGCGAGAGGGGCCGGCTGCCAGGTGCCGGGTGGTGGGTGGGTCAAAGGCCAAACGCAGGTTCCACCAGGCAGGTGTCACTCCCGGCAGGAGTAGAAACCAGAGGCCTCACTGAGAGTGCCAGCCCCCACCCTGGTGTTTCATTTTCCCCCACGGCACTGGGTGAAGGTTAGGTGTGTCTGTGAAGACAGCAGTGAAGGGATACTGTCTCACTGCCCAGAGAGCCCCTAACAAAAGGTTTCTGCCATTCTATGGCCCTGGAGTCAGGGGAAGAGAGAGAGGGAGGCAGCTGAGAGTGGAAAAGTGCTGAATGCAAAGTCAGAGTGGGAAAAATGTCTTCCAGGCCCCCTGAAAAGGAGGCTTTGGCAGAGGTACCTAAGACAGGCCTCAGCCAAGGGACCCATGTGGTCTCGGAAGGGAGGTGCCTGGGTTGGGCACAGGGGATACCCAGGGCACCCAGGTCCTTCCCCGCAACAGCCTTCAGACACGGCAGTGCACTGGCCACACACCATGAGGCAGCCAGGTGGGGCCTTTGTCATCACCCGTGGTCAGACCTGAAAGATCCCACAGGGCATTTGGGCTGCAGCCAGCCAACTTTCCAGGCAGCATGTTGCATTCCAACTCTGTTTCAATAAAACTAGTTTCGAAAAAGAAAGAAACATTTCAAAATATTGACGGGATGCTGCTAAGTTTTGATCGTTGCATTAGAAAGAAAGAGATTAAAGGAATAGTTTAAGCTTCCGCACCAGGAATCTAGAAAAGGAAAACCAAATCAAGCTCAAACTAAGTAGAAGGAAGGGGAGTGAGATCAGAATGGATGCTGGGCGCGGTAGCTCACACCTGTAATCCCAGCACTTTGGGAGGCCAAAGTGGGTGGATCACCTGAGGTCAGGAGTTTGTAACAAGGCTGGCCAACATGGTAAAACCCCATCTCTACAAAAATACAAAAATTAGCTGGGCGTAGTTGTACGCACCTGTAATCCCAGCTGCTCAGGTGGCTGAGGCAAGAGAATCACTTGAACCCAGGAAGCAGAGGTTGCAGTGAGCCACGATGACACCACTGCTCTCCAGCCTGGGGGACAGAGAGAGAGACTTTATCTAAATTCCAAAACTTTGGGAGGCCAAGGGCAGATCACCTGAGGTCAGGAGTTTGAGACCAGCCTATCCAACATGGTGAAACTCCATCTCTACTAAAAACACAAAAATTAGCCAGGCATGCTGCCGCGTGCCTGCAATCCCAGCTACTCGGGAAGCTGAGACAGAAGAATCCTTTGAAACTAGTAGGCGGAGATTGCAGTGAGCTGACACCATGCCACTGCACTCCAGCCTGGGTGACAGAGCAAGACTCCATCTCAAAAAAAAGAAAAAAAAAGATCCGAATGGCAAACAGTGACCTAGAAAACAGTAAGACAAATACGGAAAACAGAAGAAACTAAAAGAAGTTGATTCTAGGAAAACAAACTGATCAGATTTGCTAGACTGGACAAGCCAAAAGGAAAAGAAAAAAACAGAAATATGCCAAATCAGGAATAAAAGAAATAACATACAAGGGTCCATGGTGAAACTAAAAATATCACAAAGAAATTTTAAAATGTTTAAAAAAATAGATAATTTAGATAAAATGGACAAATTCCTAAAGAGACATAAATTATGAGCACTGACCAACAATGAATAGAAAATTTGAACAGATGTATAAGTAACCAAGTTGAATTATAGTTAACTACATGCCCACAAAGAAAAGATCTGAGCCAAATGGCTTCATTGGTGAATTTTCTCAAATGCTTAAGAAACAAATGATATCAATCTTACAGGAAATAGAGACAAAATAACACTTCCCAAATATTTTACAAGGCCAGTATTAACCTGATACCAAAGCCAGGCAAACACATCATAAGAAAACTATAAAATGAGAAAGGTACAACTTTTTAACAAAGTGATTGCAGATTAAATCCAGCAACATGACCAAGTGGGGTTTATCTGAGGAATGCAAGGTTGGGCTAACATCTGAAAGCCAATTAATGTCATAACTCCTCAATAGAATAAAAGAAAAAATCCATATGACCTTCTAATAGCCACAGAAAAAGCATTTGACAAAACCAACCCTTTCATAATAAAAACTCCCAACCTAAGACTACAAAGAAACTTTCACAACCTGATAAAGGTCATCTATAAAATAAACCTGCAGCTATCTAAGTTTCAGAGAATCATCTTTTTGTCTTATTTGTTTCCTCTGTTATGTCTCTGCTTTTATTTCATTAATCTCTTCATTATCTCCTTCATTCTGTTTGCTTTGGGTTTATTTGCTCTTCTATTTCTAGATTCTTGAGGTGAACACTTAGGTTATTGTTTGAGACTTTTCCTCTTTTCTAATGTAAACATTTAGTGCTATAAATTTCTGTCTAAGCACTGCTTTGCTGAGCTTTTGAATTTTGATATGTTGTATTTTCATGTTTATTCTGTTGAGTGTACTTTTACGTATTTCTCTTGATCCTTATTCTTTGACCCATGGATAATGAAAAGTGTGTTATTTCTTTTTCATGTGTTTGGAGATTTTCCTGTTATTTTGTTGTTGATTTCTAGTGGGGGTAAGAGAAGACAGACTAAGATTTTAATTCTTTTAAATATGTTGAGGTTTGTTTGATAGTCAGAAGTGGTATATCTTTTTATATGTTTTGTGGGCACCTGAAAAGAATATATATTCTGCTGTTGTTGATCGCCATGTTCTCCAAATACCCATTAGATCCAGTTGATTGTTCATAAGTTGTTCTCTGTCCTTGTGAATTTTCTGTTTAGTTGTTCTATCAATTGGCGGGAAAGGAGAGTAGGGTCTCTAACAATAATTGTGGATTGCTGTTTCTCTTTTGAGCTCTATCAATTAATACATTTTTTTTTTTTTGAGACAGAGTCTCGCTCTGTCACCCAGGCTGGAGTGCAGTGGTGCAATCTCAGCTCACTGCAAGCTCCACCTCCCGGGTTCACACCATTCTCCTGCCTCAGCCTCCCCAGTAGCTGGGACTACAGGCACCCGCCACCACACCCAGCTAATTTTTTTGTATTGTTAGTAGAGACGGGGTTTCACCATGTTAGCCAGGATGGTCTTGATCTCCTGACCTCGTGATCCACCCGTCTCGGCCTCCCAAAGTGCTGGGATTACAGGCATGAGCCACCCTGCCCAGCCAATTAATACATTTTGCAGCTCTGTCGTTTAGTGTATATATGTTTAAAATTGCTATGCCATCTTAGCAAATTGACCTTTATCTCATTATATAATTGTCTTGGCTCTGAAGTCTACTTTATCTGATATTAATAGGACTGCCTCTTTTGATTGTTTGCATGGTATATATATTTTTCTATTTTTTTCCCCTTTCATTCTACTATGCGATTGTGATTGAAGGATAGACAGCATATAGTTGGGCCATTTTTTTTAATGCTGCCTTCTAATCTCTATCTTCTAGTTGGTATATTTAGACCATTTACATTTGATGTAATTTGATATGTAAGGCTTGAGTCTGCTATTATATTTTTTGTTTTCTATTCATTCTCTGTTTTCCATTTCTCTCTTTTTTGTGCTTTCCTGTGAATTATTTGAACAATTTTTTTTAGAATTCCAGTTTGATTTGTCCATAATGTTTCCCAGTGCATCTTTTTTGAGGAGTTTCTTTAGGTGCTACTTTACATGTACATAACTTATTTCTGTCTACTGCTGTTGATATTTTATGGTGTGAATGAACGCAATCTCCTTTTATGTCCCTTTACATTCCCCTGTTTATGGTATAAATATTTCCTCTACAAACATTGAGAACCACGCTAAATGGTGGTACTGTCTGTGCCTCATATATAATTTAGAAAACTCAAGAGTAGAAGAGAGCCTATTGTAGTTATTCATATTTTCATTCTTTTCATTGTACTTTCTTCCTGATGTTTCGTGATTCTGTCTTTTTCATTTCCTATTTCAAGAACTACCCATTCTTTTGGGATAGGTATGATGGCAGCAAATTCTTTTTGTTTTCCTCCATGTGAAATATCTTGACTCTCCTTTCATTCCTGAAGACTATTTTCACAAGATATAGAATTCTGAGTTAACACTTGATAAATGTTGTGCCACTTCCTTCTGGCCTTTGTGGTTTGTAGTGAGAACTTTTCTTTCATTCAAATAGTTTTCCCCTGATGCTAGGATGTTATTTCTCTCTGGCTGTTTTCAATATTTTTTTTTCTTTGTCTTCAGTTTTTCGGAGTTTGACTATGAAATGTCTTGACATGGTTTCCTTGAGTTTGTTCAGCTTCTTGAATCTATAGGTTTATGTCTTTTGCCAAATTTGGGGATTTTTCAGACATTATTCCTTGACAACTTTTTAGTCCTATGCACATTCTGCTCTCCTTCTAGAACCCTGGTGATGTGGATGTTAATTATTTTGTTATAGTCCCATGGGTCTCTGAGGCTTTCTTCATTTTTAAAAAATATATTTTCTCTTTGTTGTTCAGATTGAATGACTTCTATTATTCTAACATTTCCAGACTTCTATTTTGGGTAATGAAAGACTAGTTAATTCAGACCAATCCTCCCATTTCAAACACATGAAACTAGTGGATACAATATAAAAACCATATGTTCAAAGGTACTGGAACATAACGCAGTGAAAAAACCTGGGAACCAAGATTTGGGAGAATAAGAACATATAGAAGGATGACCTTGGCATTTGAAATGCTTTTCCCCCATGGATTTCCTCCAATTTCCAGAAGAAATGGCTGGGATACTGACAAGCTGAAACTTACTTTAAACTTACTTCTGATCTTACAAAAACAAAAATTGGAGTTTATGGCATGATAAGGAAGAGAGTGGTGGCTGGTCTGTCAGCCTGACTAATGGGCTCTTAAGGTTGCTTAGGGATCTGGGTTGGGAACTGATGGTAAAATTGCAGAATACAGACTAAGCTGTAAATAGATTGTCCTCTTTAGGGATTTGTGCTCAGCTTTAAATTATCTTAACTTATGATTGGATTAAGATGGTGTGCAGGATTGCTAGTGCCCCTAGTACTTGCAAGAATCAAACATAAATCCCCATTAGAGAAATAAAACTTCATTCTAGCCTCAAAGTACCTCTATAAGCTTTCACATAGTGTCTCAGTCACACAATACAATTTAACCAGTCAGGTGAGGAGACAACGAGTGTTTTGGAAAACCAAGAGAAACAACAGAAAACTAGAAAGAGATTTACAGGTGTTACAGACAATGCACTATGAATAAGATGCTCAAGGGAAATCAAAGAAAAGATTGGGAATGTTTGGCAAAGAATTTAGAGAACAACAACAAAAAAAAGCCAGTAGGAACTCTAGAACTAAAAAACATTAACTGAAATTAAAAATCAACGTGTGACCTTAACAGCAGTTTAGATACAACTAAAAAAAAAAATGGTGGTGACATGAAGAAAACAGACACATGAAAACATGCTGAGAAAAGGATTTAAAATATGAGAAAGAATATGAAATACATAGGGGACAGAGTGAAAAAGCATAACATTCATATAATTGGAATCCAGAAGGAGGGGAGAGAGAAAATGTGTCAGAGACAATAACTGAAGAGAACATGGCCAGTGACACTCCCAATATGGCAAAAGACATCAAGGCAATGATAAAAGTGCCACAAACCACAGCCACACTTGCCTAAGGAAAGCCATGCCGAGGCAAATGTAAGCAAAATCCTCGGAGAGCAAAAACAGAGACAGTCTTAATAGCCAGAGGAAAAAAGAGGTTATCGTCAAAGGCGCACCAATTAACCTGATAGTTGATATTTCAGCAGAAAGAAAACATAGAGGCCAGATGAAGATGGAATTATATTTCCAAGTGCAGAAAGAAAACAACTGCCAATCTAGAATTCTATACTCAGCCTAAATATATTTTACAAAGAAAGAGAAACAAAGGCTTTTTTAGAAGAACGGAAATGAAAAAGATTTACCACCAGCAGATTTATAGTAAATGAAACACTAAAGACCATTTCCTTCAGGCAGAAGAAAAATGATACTAGATGAAGGCTAGCACTGTAGGCAGGAACACACAACAGTGGATGCCATGAATACAGGATAAATATGAATGGATATTGATTAGAAAAAACAATGTCTTAGGTTTAACATATGCAAACTTAAATACATAACAAAAATAACTCACCAATAAAGAAGACGGTAAATATTATTAAAGTGCTCTGTTACCTTTGAAATGTCCTAAAAGAGGTAAAAGTACCATTTATATTAAACTTTGATATGTCAAGGATATTTGTTGTAGTTTCTAGGGAAACCATTAAGTGAAGAGTGAAAATACTGATAACTACCAAACTAATAAAGAGTAAATTATCGCCGGGTACGGTGGCTCATGCCTGTAATCCGAGCACTTTGGGAGGCTGAGGTGGGCGGATCGTGAGGTCAGGAGATGGAGACCATCCTGGCTAACATGGTGAAACCCTGTCTCTACTAAAAATACAAAAAATTAGCCGGGCATCGTGGCGCACGCCTGTATAGTCCCAGCTACTCAGGAGGCTGAGGCAGGAGAATCGCTTGAACCTGGAAGTTGGAGGTTGCAGTGAGCCAAAATCGCACCACTGCACTCTAGCCTGGGTGACAGAGCGAGACTCCGTCTCAAAAAAAAAAAAAAAAAGTAAATTATTAGACAATAAAAGGTTTCTATAAATACAAAAAAAAAAGAAAGAAAAATGAACATACTGCAAGAGGGATAAAAGAATATAAAGATGGCAGAGTTAAACCAAAATATCTCACAAGTTACATCAAATATAAAAGCACTAAATCCACAGAGGTAAAGTACAGTTCTGATCGCGTATTATCACGGGTGCATACTGTCAACACGACTTGTCACTGTTGGTGGTAATAACTTTGATCACCTGACTTGGGGTGCTGTTTGTCAGGTAAAGTTATTCTATGAGGTTATTCTTTTTCTTTTTCTTTCCATACTGTAGTCTTTGGAAACAAGTCATTACGCAGCACACACCTAATAAATGGGTCCTTACGCTCCACTTCCCTACGGATAGAATCTCCACATAAATTATTTACCATTGTTCTGACTGAGAGAGTTGTCTATTCTCCCTCATTTATTTATTTATTCAATAGTTTATTTATATTGGTATTTATGGGCATTTAGTTTATATTTTGAGTTATAATCTAAAACTACTTTGCTATGGTTTTTTGTTTTTTGTTTTTTCTTATAGACGGAGTCTCACTCTGTTGCCCAGGCTGGAGTGCAGTGGCGTGGTCTCGGCTCACTGTAACCTCCGCCTCCCAGGTTCAAGAGATTCTCCTACCTCAGCCTCCTGAGTACCTGGGACTACAGGCGCATGCCACCAGGCCCGCCAAGTTATTTTTATTTTTTATTTTTTTTTTTAGTAGAGACGGGGATTCGCTGTGTTGGCCAGGCTGGTCTCAAACTCCTGACCTCGTGATCCGCCTGCCTTGGCCTCCCAAAGTGCTGGGATTACAGGCATGAGCCACTGCGCCCAGCCTACACCTTATGTTTTATACCATTTTAGATTTTATACCATTTTTATACCATTTTAGATTTACAGAAAAATTGAGAAGATAGTACAGACTGTCACACGCCTCTCCCCATCTCCCCACCCCCTGCAGCTTTCTCCTATAATTAGCATCTTGCATTAGTGCACAGTGAATGGACCAATATTAAAACATGATTATTAACTGAGGTCCACAGTTTGCATTAGTCCATGCTAAGACTACGAATCCCACACTTGTGCACCCACTGTGTCATCTCTTCTCCATGAAATGGATCCTTTTAGCTGAGGCGACGCTGGTGGGATGCTGCGGTAGAGAATTCCCAAAGACGGCTGCAAATCATCCCATCCGTCTCTGTGTGAGTCTGTTTCTTCTCTCCATGATGTGGATTAGTTTTAACATTCTTTTATATTCTATCTCTCATGTCACACTTGATATTATAGGGGAAAAATGCATTCAACCTGCCTAAACTGGAAGCTGTATGATTAATGAGGTTATCAGTACTCAACCCAATTAATATAACGAGCTTCTGATTGATTGACTAAAACTAGTGAACAATCTTTAAAATTGCAATTAATTTATAAATTTATACTCACTTTTCTTTTATGAGATCAGAATGATTTGTTGTTCTGACATCATATCAACGGATTGAAACTTGAACCAGGCTTTGAAAAACTCCTATCTTTCAGGAAAATGTCATTAAACTGTTGAAAGTAGATGGATAAATTACTTTAGAAGTCAAGAAGTCTTTTAAACCACTCTCCTTTCTGTTATCTTGCTTTATGAGCATGTAGTGTTTCTTCTTATACTTAAAAAAAATTGGAATTAATTTTCAAAGGTTGACATTTGATAAGGCTTTACTATAAATATCGCTAGGATCGAAGGATGCTTTTTGCCTCTCTCTCCGGGTTGGCAAGCAGAAGCCACTACTCGCCTCTTCTCCAGAATCATTTTCGCCTATATTCTCCTGTCTTATAACTCAGGTCTATAGTTACGGTTTTTGAGGCATATTAAGTTTTTGAGTATGGTGTTTAAGGGGAACACTGTTTCTTTGATTCTAAACGTATTTTAATTTAATTTTAAAACACAATTTAGCTCACACCTGTAATCCCAGCACTTTGAGAGGCCAAGGCAGGTAGATCACTTGAGGCCAGGGGTTCAAGACCAGCCTGGCCAACATGGCGAAACCCCGTCTCTACTCAAAACACAAAAATTAGTCAAACGCAGTAGCGTTTGCCTGTAATCCCAGCTACTAAGGAGCTGAGACAGGAGAATTGCTTCAACCCAGGAGGCAGAGGTTGCTGTGAGCCAAGATCACGCCACTGCACTCTAGCCTGGGCCACAAAGCAAGATTCTGTCTAAAAAAAAAAAAAAAAAAAAAAAAATTTAAAAGAATACAAATGGCTTTTCATAATGGTGATGAAATGTCCTTGTTTGGACACAAAATTCCAGGACTAATATTTTAATCTTCTCTCATCTTGCTCGTCCTCATATGGCCCATTTAATAATGCACTTGCCATGAACTTTAACTTCAGTTTACTTATAAACTGGTTTTCTTTGTAAATTGGTTTAGTGTTCTCATTCTGTCGCCCGGGCTTGAGATGAGTGTGGATTCATTCTCTCGGTAGCGTTAACAGCGCTTCACAGTTCCCCGCGGCTCTGGCCAGGGCTGCTGTGAGGACTGGATGAGGTAACGAGAAGTGTGTGCTGAGACATCTGTGTTCGCCCAGGTGGCCTGTGACATCTGGAATGTCGGGTTCTGAGGTCAGATCACTCTCGAAGGTCAAGACCTTTGGAGTCAGGTTGAAGGTAGCAGTTGGGCATGCCCCAGTCAGGTCCGACTCATCCCCAGCCATGTGAGGTGAGCTCCGTGTCCCCCCTTTTCAGGCCTATACAACCTTCTCAAAGCCTCTTTCCGGATTCATCTTGCTCTAAAATATTGATTTTCATGACAGGATATTCCTTGTGGCCAATCAAGTCTATTAAGCTTCTGGAAGCCAGAGGGTAGGAGAACCCAGGTGCCCCAGGGCCATGGCTACAGAGAGCCCAGAAGAGTCCTGGGGTCCGCACTTCCTGCTGTGCCTCTGTAGCCCCGGGATGTCACTGCTGTTTTCATAAGTTATGATCACTGCACTATTGCTCCTTATGCCAGGCGCTTAGCAGTTATATCTCCAATCCTCACAACAACTGAACAAGGTCAGTCTTGTTCTCCCCATTTTTTAGAAGTGGAAGCTGCAGTCTGAAGTGGTGAGTAGCCTGCCCAAGTTCATGGTCGGGGGAGACCAGTGTTTGAATCTGTGCAGCGAGCCCCCCAGGCTGTTGCTTTCTGGCTGTATGGCAGTGCCTCGCATTCAGACATTTGTGATTGCTTAATATATTTTAATACACTCTCCAGTGTCTTTAGCCCTTCAGTCCTAAGGAATTAGAGGAAAGCATCAAGGGAGAAATCTGATAAGACATTTGAAAGAAAGAAGTTAATGAGTTTCCGGATGATTAGAGCGCTTATTCCCCTTCTGCTTGAACAAAGCGCTTCACCCAGATTAATAATATAAAGATGGAGAGCCTCTGTCCACCACAGAACCTGCAGCTGCAAACTCTTCCGTGAGCCACCACCGTGGTCAGAGGAGGTCTCAAAAGACCTTCTGAATAACTCTCTTTTCCCTCGGCACTGAGCATTGTACTCCATGATTGATTTGAAACACATGAATGCCCAGACGGGCCATTTATTTCTATAAATATATGTTATAAATTACCCTGGCGGCAGCAGGCTTCAGTTCACCTCTGCATAGGAGAGGAAAACATTTGTTCTTTGTCATATTTTTATATTTCATCTGCCTCACAAAACAATTGAGTGGGCTAGTGACCAACCATGCACTGCCACTGCTAAGTGTTCATTTTACCGAACGTTAGCTTGAATGTATTTTGAAAGATACAGCTGGAATTTACAGATGAGTCTGTATAATTTGAGGCAGACACTCAAAACCAAGAAACTCCCCCATCATGTGTTTTACACATTAACGGTTTTATTTTGCACAAGTTATATTTCTACACAAATGGCCCAGCTAACATTTATTTAGTGTATAATGTGACTATAAGATTACCATGTAAATATTCCCAAAGCAAGACCTGCATTATAGTCTGGTGTGCAAAGTCGGTTTTCTGTTAAAAAGCAGCTGATTTAATAAAGCACAGAAAGAGCTTGAGGCCGAAGACTGGGGTTAGGTGGCTCTACTACTGACGAGAAGAAATCATTTTACTTCCTCGCGCCTGCATTCTCAGCTAAGAAACACAAACTCTAGTATTTTATCAATTGTGGATTCTTACTGAAAGAACCAAATGGATCACAACCCATAAAGTTTGACCTTGCCTTCCGATTCTCCTCCAGGCTTCTCCATCCATGATCACAGATTTGCATACAAGAAGAACCGCAAAGTTATCTTTGCAGTTTCCCAGCCTATCTTTGTATTAAAAGTTCCAGAATTTACTCCACCTAAAACTGGGCAAGTCTTTGCTCTTTCCTAATGATTTTATTTAACTACTAAATCTCTAATATTTGGTAGATTTTGTTTTTTTAAAACTTAGAAGATATGAAGAATTCCATATAACGGTCCTAAATGTGCTAGGTGTGGTGGCTCACGCCTGTAATCCCAGTGCTTTGGGAGACTGAGGTGGGCAGATCGCAAGGTCAGGAGATCGAGACCATCCTGGCCAACACGGTGAAACCTTGTCTCTGCTAAAAATACAAAAGAAATTAGCCAGGCATGGTGGCATGCGCCTGTAGTCCCAGTTACTTGCGAGGCTGTGGCAGGAGAATTGCTTGAACCCGGAAGGCAGAGGTTGCAGTGAGCTGAGATCGCGCCATGGCACCCAGCCTGGGCAACATGAGTGAAACTCCATCTCAAAAAAAAAATCCTAAATGTTAGTAACAGTCACAAATTTATCATGCCTAGCATTTTTATCTCGGCTTATGGAATGGGGCCAAAGCTAACATACACAGAGTGAAAGGAAAGCAGAGAAGGAGGAAGGGAGAAGAGGGCAGAGGGAGGATGGAGGGAGAGAGGCTGTTCTGCTCTCTTGATTGATATCGATAATTGCTTTCTGCTTTCTTCATCCCAAATTGGTGCTCTTAACTCTCCTATTCTAGAAGCAAGAGCTAGAACAGAGACTGCAACACTGTCCACTTCCTCTGTTCAAATTTAGTCCTCCCTGGGATCCTATAGCAGTTTTCCAGTCAAAAAATGTGTTAATGGTGAACTCATAGAATCACTATTTCCAGTGAGAAAACAATCCAGTCAAATTCAAATGCTTTGCTCTCATTTGACCTACCAGTCTCTTATTAGGTTTCATTCCAGATCTTTAGAGTCTTGTATTATGGCTTTTTGTTTTCAATTCATGCATTCTTTTTATATTTCCAAGGTTTTCTTTGGGTATCTTTTAGTTTGAGAAACTATCTTCAAATATTCACCAACACACTTGTTTGTTTTGTTGTTGAGACAGGGTCTCACTCTGTCATCCAGGCTGGAGTGCAGTGGTGTCATCACGGCTCACTGCAGCATTGACCTCCCAGACTCGAGTAATCCTCCCACCTCAGCCTCCTGAGTAGCTGGGACTACAGGCATATGCCACCATACCCAGCTCATGTTTTAATTTTTTGTAGAGATGAGGTCTTGACATGTTGCCTAGACTGGTCTCGAACTCCTGGGCTCAAGCAACCCACCCACCTCAGACTCCCAAAGTGCTGTAATTACAGAAGTGAGCTACCATGCCTGGCCCAAATTTATTTTTATTTCATTGGCAAAAATAAGTTTTTTCCTGCTCCTAAGATAATAAATGTGCATTGAAAAATTTGGAAACCACAAAAAATACCCAAAGGATAAAAGTCAGGAGACAGCCCTGGTAATGGGTTAGTGCTGTCCACCCAGTCTCTCTCCACCGCGTGTGTGCATACACTTGTGATTGCACTACACATGATATTTTATAACCTCCCTTTTCACTCAATATCATATCTCATATTTTTCTATGTCATCAAAAAGGCTAACCCTTGGCTATTGAGGGCCTCCTAATACCCCATCACATGGATGTGCTGCTCTTTATGGGATTAATTTCCCTCTTCAAACATGACATCTGGCTTGTCTTTACATTTTTAAATTCTTCGCTATTACATATAAGAAAGTAAAAGCCATTCTAAAAGCAGCTTGGGGCCGGGCACGGTGGCTTATGCCTGTAATCCCAGCACTTTGGAAGGCCGAGGCGGGCAGATCACTTAAGGTCAGGAGTTTGAGACCAGCCTAGCCAACATGGTGAAACCCCGTTTCTACTAAAAATACAAAAAAATTAGCCGGGCCTGGTGGCAGGCACCTGTAATCCCAGCTACTCGGGAGGCTGAGGCAGGAGAATCACTTGAACCCGGGAGGCGGAGGCTGCAGTGAGCCAAGATCGCACCACTGCACTCCAGCCTGGGTGACAGAGCGAGACTGTCTTAAATGATAATGATAATAATAATAATAATAATAACAACAGCTTGGGACCCAAACCATTGGCTGAAGCCCATCTGTAAAGTCATGAATTTGGAGTAGACAATCACACAGGCTCTTTATCCCAACCTTTCCATGGAGCTCAGGCTGTCAGCCACCTCTTCAGAAGTCGGAATGCCTGGAGAGCCCTTAGTCCACGTGTCAGCTGCGCCTCCGTCTTCTGCCTCCACTTTGTCCTCCACCATTTGACCAGGCAGTGCTGGGAAGCAAGGAGGGGACCAGGCTGGAGCCTTAAGTCCTGGCGCAGCTGTCGACCGTCAGTGCGGCCACTGCAAAGCGATGTAAATGTCCCAGAGTGGGGCAGCTGGTCGGTAAGACGATGTCACAGACGCCTGGGAAGAGGAATGCACTGGATAAAACGCTGCGTCACTGAACTCTTATTCACAGCCCTGAGCATCCGCCTTTGATTATATTCATAGCCTTGAGGAAGAGCTAGAGATGAGGCATCTTTCCTCACGGAACAGCCGACACAGATATTACAGCCTGGCTTTGGGCTTCAGGAGACGGGCTCAGAGACATCAAGTGCTCTGCCCAAGATCACACAGCAGTGAGTGGCTGAGCAGAGGCCAGACCCCTCCCGCAGCCACTTTGTAATGGCGGCTACAATCACCGAGACGGGCTGAATTTCAAAGCCTCTATTTAAACAATGATGAGCTACAAAATGCATTCTTACTTCTTAGGTTAACACTTTACTCATAAATTAGGAGATTAAAAAGTCGATATAAAATGTATAAAAAATCTTCACCAGATGACTTCCACCGTGTCAGGAAGCTGCTATTTCTGTTACGTTTTACTGTTCTCTTCCCCAAATCCCTGGCGTGTTGCCTGGAAATTCGCGATTTTCTGTAACTCTTCTTCTAGCTCCGAGGATTTCGTTTGAAATTCCTGCCGCAGTCGGAAACATTTTGGAAGACCGCATTTGAGCATTTGATGCAGAAAAAACACACTCCCGGTTACCAGCAAGATCGCTGTGGGGAATGAGGCACTCGAGAAAATCTACATTTGGCTCTGAATTTTCTCAACTTCTTTCCTTCCTCTAGGGAAACAGAAGCGCGGAAAGGCGCCCTCTCCTTCCCTCAGTCTGAGGCTCTTGCCCGCCAGGCCCTTCCCGACTCCGCCCAGGCCACGGGCTGCCCCACCCACACCGGCCGCCTGAGGGGAAGCGGCGGCACCGCCCGCGCGGGTCCGGCCCTGAGGCGGCCTGGTGCTGCCCCCTGCCGTCCAGCGGGAATCGCAACCGATTTCAGAGACGAAATCTAAGAGTAACTGTCAGATGATTAGGAGGGTTCTCCCAGTTCTACAAATGAGTCTATTTGATCGTGGTCCACAATCTTTGCCTGACTGAAAAAGGCGGTTTTCAGAATGCGGAGGAGCTCGTTCCACCCTGCACGAGCAAGAGAACGTTGGAGGCTGCAAGGTGCCCTGCAAAGCCCTTCAGAAAGTCCTGGTGAAATCCCAGTGCCAGAGACGACTCCGAGCGAGATACTGCTTTGGACTTCCGTGTTCCAATCCTCAAAGTAGATTTCACTTGCAGGATTTTGAGAGGTTTAAAAAATACCTGGCAGGCATGTAAAAATGGCAGCAGTAAAAGAGGGTATGGAATTTTTATTTGTAGATTTCAATATATGAACTTTTTCAAGATTACATGAATAAGATCAATAGAGAGATTCACTTTAGCATACTGAGTCTGTTTTTAAATGAACCTTAATTTAGCATTATACATATGTCAGGATTGCATTATTTTATATATTAAAACTAATCCAAGATTAATGGGAAAATAGAGAATCTAAATTTATCCAATTATTTCAATAGTAGTACTTAATAAAGCTCCGGCTGTAGAGATTTATTGATTCGGCAAACAGAGATGGTCTCATCTCCACAGCACAAGAAACCCTGTGCATCACAAATGAGTTTCACGGGTTTAAAGTAAAATTTCTAGTAGCTGTTTTTTAAAAGTGTAAAATTAATTAATTAAGATTGTTTTATCTTGTATCTTACTTTGCAACCAGTAACATTGTGGCTTCAGAGCCACAAGTCCTAAATTTGAATCCAAGGCTGGCCTCTAGGCAAACACCTCTCAGATGCTAGATGGTGCCTTTGAAATAAGCACGTGTTATATAACCCAGTGTGCACAGAGGCCTCATGCCCACAAACTGTTGCTACCTGGGAATGTCAGATAGTCCTGCCTGCCACTGTCACCCCTGAACTGTATGACTTGTTTCTTCTCCTATGGCCTTGACTCTTGGTTCTTGACTCTGGTATTCACTTGGCCCTGGTGTCATCCATACTAACATGTTGTATATAAGATGCATGTGTACAGTGAGTTTTTATTTTTCTAATTACAAAATGAATAGATGTTCATTAAAAAATTACACCTTGCTGAAATCTGAACTAGACCAGATTAGCCTTGCAAGGCTCTGAAAACCAAATTGTTACTGGAATTACAGTTCACAAAAATAGGCCAGGTCCTATACACTGAACCTAAACAAAGCTACTGTCTGTTAAAAATCAGAAACTTAAATAGGATCAAGAATCTTGGCATAATATTAAAAGTGTGCAGGATACAAGCAAATATTGCTTGTCACAACAAGAAGCAGGAGAAACACAACTTGAATAAGAAAAGACAATCAGCTGACACCACAGTAAAGTAAATCAGAAGGTGGAGTTATAAGATGCTCAAAGCAGCCACAACAATGCTTCAACAAACAATTATGAACTCAGTTGAAATAAATGAACAAATAGGAAACTTAGCAAAAACGAGAAATTATTTTAAAAGGACCAAGTAGAAATTATAGAACTGAAAAGTAAAATAACAGAAATGAAAACATGCTAAATGAGCTTAATAGCAGAATGGAGACGAAAGAGGTTAGAACCAGTGAACATGAAGACTGAGCAATAACATTTACACTCTGAACAACAGAAAGAAGATGGACTAAAAAAAATGAACAGAGCCTCAGGGTCTATGGGGCAGTAAGAAAAGATCTAACATTCACAGCATTAGAGTCCCATAGGAAAGGAGAGTGTGGGGCTGAAAAGAAATTATATCTGAAAACTTTCCAGATTTGGCAAAAGACATAAATCTACAGATTCAGGAAACTGAGAGAATGCCAGTTAGGATAAACCCCCACAAATTCACACCAAGTCACATCAGAATAAAACCTTTTCAAAGACAAAGAAGCAAGCTTAGAAATCTGAAACCATGGAGTCCAGGAGGAAAGGAGCTGAAAGAAAAAGACTGTCGGCTGCAAATCCGAGACCTGGCAAAATGAGTCTTCAGGAGTAAAAGGGAAATAAAGACATTCTCAGACAAAGGAAAACTAACAGAAATGGGCTGAAAGAAACCTGCTGAACAGAAAGAAAATGTTAAAAGAAGACCAAAAATTGATTGGGCACAGTGGCTCACACCTGTAATCCCAGCACTTCGGGAGGCTGAGGCAGGTGGACACCTGAGATCAGGAGTTTGAGACCAGCCTGGCCAACATGGGAAACCCTGTCTCTACTAAAAATACAAAAATTAGCCAGGTGTGGTGGCGTGCACCTGTAGTCCCGGCTACTCGTGAGGCTGAAGCAGAAGAATCACTTGAACCTGGGAGGCAGAGCTTGCAGTGAGCCAAGATTTTGCCACTATACTCCAGCCTGGGCAACAAGAGTGAAACTCAGTCCCAAAAAAAGAAGACCAAAATTTCATCAATAAGAGAAGAGCAATAAAACTATTCCTTTTTTTTTTTTTTTTTTTTGAGATGGAGTTTCACTCTTGTTGCCCAGGCTGGAGTGCAATGGCGCGATCTCAGCTCACTGCAACCTCTGCCTCCCGGGTTCAAGCAATTCTCCTGCCTCAGCCTCCCAAGTAGCTGCTATTAACAGCATGCACCACCATGCCCGACTAATTTTGTATTTTTTAGTAGAGACAAGGTTTCTCCATGTTGATTAGGCTGGTCTCAAACTCCTGACCTCAGGTGAACTGCCTGCGTCAGCCTCCCAAAGCGCTGGGATTATAGGCATGAGCCACCGCGCCCAGCCAATAAACTATTCTTTATCTCATGAGTTTCTTAAATAATATTTTATGGTTAAAGCAAAAAAAAAAAACAAAAACAAAAACAAAACATAACCCCAGCCTGGCCAACATGGTGAAACCCCTTATCTACTAAAAGAAAAACACACAAAAATTAGCCAGGCATGGTGGCACCCACCTGTAATCCCAGCTACTTAGGAGGCTAAGGCAGGAGAATTGCTTGAACCCAGGAGGTAGAGGTTGCAGTAAGCCAAGATCGCGTTCCACTGCACTCCAGCCTGGGCAACAGAAGAGACTCTGTCAAAAAAACAAACAAACAAATAAACAAAAACACAACCCCATCTGGTGTGCTGTGCAATGTATGTAGAGTAAAAACTTGAGACAATCATATTTTAAAAGTGGGTAGGGTAGGGCCTAACACAAGCAGCATTTCAAGGCTTGACTTGAAGTGGTGAAACGTTAATACAGTAGCCTAAGATAATTTATTTATGTGCACTACAGCACCTAGAGCAAGTGCTAGAAAAGTTACACAAAGTGATATACTGAAGAACTGTTATAGATAAATTCAGATATATTTCTAAAAAAAAGTTCAAGTGATTCAAGGCAGAAAAGAGAAACAAAGGAATAAGAAACAGAAAAAACAGACACAAATAATAAAATGGCAGACTTAAGGCCTAAAATATCAATAATTACCTCAAATGTAAATGACATAAATATACCAATTAAAAAAAGATTAGCAAGCAGCACAACTCAATTACATGCTGTCTATAAAAAGCTCACTTCAAATATAATGATTTACTGTATTAGTCCATTTTCACACTGCTATAGAGATACTGCCCAAGACTGGGTACATTATAAAGAAAAGAGGTTAATTGACTCACGTTCCATATGGCTGGGGAGGCCTCAGGAAACTTACAATCCTGGCAGAAGGCAAAGCAGACACCTTCTTCACAAGGCGGCAGGAGAGAGAGAAAAAGCCCAGGGGAACTGCCATTTATACAACCATCAGATCTCGTGAGAACTCACTCACTATGGCAGGAACAGCATGGGGGAAACTGCCCCCATGACCCAATCACTTCCCACCAGGTCCCTTCCTCAACACCCGGGGATTACAATTCAAGATGAGATTTCGGTGGGGACACAAAGCCTAACCATATCAAAAGGCATAGGGATACTGAAGTAATAAAATGGAAAAAGATATATCATACAAACATTAATTTTAAAAAAACAGGAGTAGCTTCATTACTTTCAGATAAAGTAGACTTCAGAGCAAAGAAAATTACTCGGGACAAGAAGAGAAATTGCATAACAATAAAAGGATTAATCCACCAAGAAGAAGTAGTAATCCTAAATCTGTGGGCACCAAAAAACCAGTGCTTCAAAATACATAAAACAAAAACTGACAGAGCTGAAAAGAGAAATAGCCAAATCCAAAATAGTTGGGGGTTTCAACATCCAATTCATTGAAATGAATAGAACTATGAGACAGAAAATCAGCAAGGGTATCGAAGAATGAAGTCACACCGTCAACCAGCAGGGTCTAGCTGACATTTTTCGAACGCTGCATCCAACAGCAGCAGAATCTACATTATTTTCAAACATCATTCCTGTCAATCACCAGGATACAGTAATGTAGGTCACAAAACCAACCCTAATAAATGTAATAGAATTTAAATCATACAGAGTATGTTCTCTGACCATAATGGAACCAAACTAGAAATCTAAGACAATAGGAAAATCTCCAGCATGTAGAAACTAAACAACATACTGCTAAATAATTCATGGGCCAAAAGACATCACAAAAGAAAATCTGAAAATACATAAACTTATAAGACAATGAAAATGCAACATACCAAAATTTGTGGGATGCAATAAAGTGGTGCTAACAGAGACCTTGACAGCTCTAAATGTTTACATTAGAAAAGACGAAAATTAATCATGTAAGTTCCCAATTCAAGCAGCTAGGAAAAGAAGGAAATAATAATAAAAGCAGAAACTAGTACAATTGAAAACAGAAAAAATAGAGAAAATGAATGTATTACAAAGTTAGTTCTTTGAAAAAGTCAGTAAAATTGATAAACCTCTGAAAAAGACAGGAAAGATAAAGAGGACAGAAATCACCATCAGGTATAAAACAGCAAGTATCAGCCAGGTGCAGTGGCTCACATCTGAAATTCCAGCATTTTGGGAGGCCAAGGCAGGCGGATCATTTGAGTTCAGGAGTTCAAGACCAGCCTGGGTGACATGGCAAAATCCCATCTGTACAAAAAGTATAAAAATTAGCCCCTTGTGGTGGCACACACCTATAGTCCCAGCTACTTGGGAGGCTGAGGCGGGAGGATTGCTTGAACCTGGGAGGCGGAGGCTGCAGTGAGCCGAGATTGCACCACTGTACTCCAGCCTAGGCGACAGAGCAAGACTCTGTCTCAAAAATAAATAAATAAATACACAAACAAATAAAACAGCAAATATAACTGCCGATCCTGCAACCATTATGGATAAAAAGGGATTACTATGAACATACCTACAACTTACACTCACGCATGTGGCAACTTCGAGGGATTAATCAAATCGTTAATCCTTGAAGAAATGCAAATGAAAACTGAAGCGTGATGCGACTTTACACTAAAATGGCCAACACAGAAAAGATGATAATATCAGTTAGCAAAGGGTGTGGAGCAGCTGGACTCTCTCCTGCCATTGGGATTGTATAATAAAATGGTGCAGTTACTGGAAAATGTGTCACATTTCTTATACAGCAAAACATACACCAATCTTATGACCCAGCAACTCTCCTAGAGAAAGTATACGTCCACAAAAAAAACTTTACAATAATGTTAGGGCAGTTTTATTTACAATAACCCCAACAGAAAGCAATATCCATCAACAAGAGAACAGACACACAAAGTGTGGTGTGATCATACAATGGAATTCTATTCAGCAATTGAAAAAAGAAAGAACTATTGGGGCATAAAAATGTAGGATGAATCTCAGAAACATTATGTTGAACAAAAGAAGCTAGAAACACTCAGAACTTTGGGAGGCCGATGGGGGTGGATCACCTGAGGTCAGGAGTTTGAGACCAGCCTGACCAACATGGAGAACCCCATCTCTACTAAAAATACAAAATTAGCCGGGCATGGTGGTGCATGCCTGTAATCCTGTCCAGCTCCTGGGGAGGCTGAGGCAGGAGAATCACTTGAACCCAGGACGCGGAGGTTGCAGTGAGCCAAGGTTGTGCCATTGCACTCTAGCCTAGGCAACAAGAGTGAAACTCCGTCTCAAAAAAAAAAAAAAAAAAAAGGAGCCAGAAACAATCGTGTGTTATTGCCTTTATTTGAAGTTGAAATGACACAAATCTAATCAACAGTGATAGGAATCAGAACCGTGGATGCTCATGTCAGGGAGAGGTTGGGTCTGACCAAAATGAAGCATGCGGGAGTTTCTTGAGTGACGGAAAAGTTCTATATCTTTTTGTTTGTTCATTCAAGTCAGGGTCTGGCTGTATCACCCAGGCTGGAGTGCAGTGGCACCATCTTGGCTCACCGCAACCTCCATCTCCTGAGCTCAAGCAATCCTCCCACCTCAGCCTCCCAAGTAGGTGGGACTACAGGAAAGCACCACCATGCCTGGCTAATGTATTGTATTTTTTTTGTAGAGAAGGGGTTTCACCATGTTGCCCAGGCTGGTCTCAAACTCCTGAGCTCAAGTGATCCTCCCACCTCAGCCTCCCAAAGTGTTAGGATTGCAGGTATGAGCTGCCACACCTGGCCACGTATCTTGGCGGCAGTGCTGGTTAACTGGGGATAAACATGTGTCAAAACCACTGAATAGGACACTAAAGCTCCGTGCATGTCACTGTATGCAAATTTTACCTCAATAAAGCAAGTGCATGCACTTAACTCAAAAGCAAACATTTAAATGTTTTATTGGCCAGGCTCGGTGGCTCATGCCTGTAATCCCAGCACTTTGGGAGGCCAAGGTGGGGAGATCACTTGAGGTCAGAAGTTTGAGACCAGCCTGACCAACATGGTGAAACTCCATCTCTACTAAAATAGAAAAATTAGCTAGGCGTGGTGGCGCGTGCCTGTAATCCCAGCTACTTAGGAGGCTAAGGGAGGAGAATCGCTTGAACCCAGGAAGCGGAGGTTGCAGTGAGTCGAGATTGCACCACTGCACTCCAGCCTGGGTGACAGAGCAAGACTCCATCTCAAAAATAATAATAATAAAAAATAAATGTATTATTAAATAAATTCTTAAAGAGAATCCTTATATGATATATATAAATATTTCCTTTAAGATTAGGAGTAAAATGAAGATGCTTTGTTGATTGCATGGCCCTGGAAGCCCTGTTGCAAACTTTAGGTAAGTAAGAGATGAAGTATTCAAATAAATAAACACAATTATCAATATGTTTGTGGCCATTAGTCCTTTTTCAGAGTGGCCTTGCTTGGGGTTCTGTGTACGGAGGCATATGGTGGGCTCGGACCTCTGCTTCTGTGCCCGACAGTCACAGTGAAGGGTGCACATAAATTAAACAGACAAAAAGGGTCCCTCAGATTCACCTTTATCACTTAGAATCCTGCTGTCTCTTAACACGCAGTTACACGTTCCTTTCTATATATTAAAAAATGCCTCAAGATGCTTCAAAGGAGAAGGAAAGTTGTCTTCTATTTTCAGTCAGCTGAGTGGTAGCTGGCCCAAGACATGTCCTTCCTGTCCACCTCAAGTTCCTTTTAGCATCTGGTTGAGATGAAGAGAAAATGGTCCTCTGATAGTAAATCAATATCTAAGCAGGATAGAAAGAGTGTTTTATATCAAGTTTCCATAATGCCACTGTCGGGTATGCGATAATGCTTAAAAATGATGCTGCCGCCCCTGCCAACAATAGACTCAAAAGTGCAATTTTGGCAAAATAAATAAAATGATGGTTACAAAAATGATTTTCTTTTGTAGTGATCTCATAGGACACAACATTGAGAAGCAAGGGCAGATTTCTTGCAAAGCTTGTAGAATCTGTGGGAGATAGTTGAGAAGTTAAAACGTGGAAGGAACTAAAAGATGCTGGAGAGGAACAGAAACTTCCTGTGTGCCCACTGATTGCAGGCACTTTACATAAATCACCTTCAAAGCCATCCCAAGCCTGTGCTCGCGCGTGCGTGGACCCAGCACTCCCAATCCTGGCTGTGCAACTCCCCGCAGTGCTCTCTAAAAGACCACCAAGATCTCTGCAGGTTGAACTCAAGGCAGGTGTTTTTGAGAAGTCCTCAAAGGCTTTGAATCCAAGGTTTCATCTCCTGGGGTCACAGAGACCCACCTGCTGTCTCAGCCCTGGGTCTGCCCCAGCTTTGAGCTCCCGCCCCTGCTCCTTTTCTTCTTTATGGAGCTTGTTCTTGACCACCTGTGGATCTCCGTTCTTCCTCCTGATCTCTGAATCATGTTGCACTGAGGAAGAACCTAAATGCTTCTTCTCTATGTGCACCTGCTGTGTGGCGCCCCAAGATATCACATTTGGGCTCCGTAGAGGACACCTCACCCCATCCCTGGCCCCAGTGGGCCCTGTCTCCAACCTCCCCTCAATGTTTTTGTTTTTTTGTTTTTTGTTTTTTGTGAGACAGTCTCACTTTGTTGTCACCCAGGCTAAAGTGCAATGATGCAACCTGCACTCACTGCAACCTCCACATTCCAGATTCAAGTGATCCTCCTGCCTCGGCCTCCTGAGTAGCTGGGATTACAGGCATGTACCGCTATGCCTGGCTAATTTTTGTATTTTTAGTAGACAGAGGGTTACCACGCGTTCCTAGCCCTGATTCCTTCCATATCCCTTCAAAGAGCTGCTCTGCTGGCCTGTCTGAGGTCACCGTAAGCTCCTTGGTGCCCGGTCAAAAGTCTGTGTTGAATTTTCATCCTACCTGAGCTCTCCCCAGCACTGGACAATGACCACTTTGGAAACTCTCTGTTCTTGGTGTCAGGAACACCACTCTTTCCTGGTTTAATAAAACTAATTGACGAATGGTTCCTCCTGTCGACTATCCCTTAAATGGCAGGTTTCCAGCTTCCATCGGGGCACTGTTTGGCTTCTGTGTATCTTCATCCCTCCGACCTGCTGGTGACTTGGATGCTGGGTAATCATCCACCAAGTCTGTGGGCTGCTCCCAGGGGTGCTAACCCCACTCCCTTTGCCCCACCAGCCTCATAGGCTGGATGGACCTTGGCAGCCGGAGGGAGCCCTCAGGAAGGAGCCCAGGTACTTGCAGCAGTGGCCCTCAGTGGGTGTGCCCGGGGCAAGGCGGGGCAGTGCGGGCAGGCTCAGCACAGAACCTCACCACTCTCATGTGATTCATCCATTTGACTCTGAGCTCCCTGAGGGTGGAGGCCATGCTTTATTAATACCTATATCCCAGCATCGATATATTGCCATTCAATAAATGTTTGCTATGAATAAATAAATGAAGACTTATTAAATGTGATTCAAAAGGCACTTAGGGGAAAGACCTTCAGTGAATCATAAATATTCAGAGAAGGGGCCAAATAGGAGGCATTCTTCAGCATTTTATAAGGCTAAGAAAAGATACTTTTACTCCCTAAGTTTGGCTTTTGTGAAATAACACAAGTGATGTGTGATATTCATGTGTTTGGCATAAAACCAATAACTTGCAAATGGCTATTTCTTCCCATTGAAAAGAGCATCGACCTGTCAGATGCATGCAGTTTCCATGCAGTTGGTGGCCAGCCCCTCTTTGCAGGGCCTCAGAGTTATCGCCGCGGTCACTCACAGTCCCCCCAGCTCCAGGTGCCGGGATCTTACAATCACGGTACAAACACTGCATTCGGGAGTGATCCAGCCCCTCTTTGCAGGGCTCAGAGTTATCGCCGCAGTCACTCACAGTCACCCCAGCTCCGGATGCTGGGATCTTACAATCATGGTACAAACACCGCATTCGGGAGTGATCCAGTGGTGCCAGAGCTGACAGCAGACAGTTAAAAGTCCCAGCTGTCCTCAAGGGTACTTTCTCTCCAACAACAACGAATTTATTTAATCCTTTTAATTCTTCCTGTTATTAATTACAGCATTAGGAGTTTCATTAATTTACTTATTATAAAAGCTCAGTGCTTTCTTTGAAAAGTAGTGGATTTTCCTCTTCCAAATTAAAGAGAGGTCCCCCAGGTGCTGGGATCTGGGTTTGGTGACGAGCCTGAGGTCCTCCTGACTCTACAGAACTCAATGTTGCCCTCAAAGCCTTCCTATTTCGCTTGGTAAATCCATCTCTCGTCTACTTTTTTTCCCCCAGAAATGACCATAGCAATTGGTCGTCTGGCAGTATTTTTCTCGCTTCCTCCGTGCCTGGAGGTGCGTGCCTGGAGGTGCATGCCTGGAACTGTTCCTGGCACCTCTGCAGGGGACGTACCCTGGTTTGTCCTGGAGTATGACAATGAGCACTAAGCTTTGACCACCCTTTGCCCTCCAGATTCCTTCCTAAGGGGCCTGGCAACAGGTGCATCTGCAGACCATCAACCTTGCTAAGAGGTCACCCTGACCCCGGGAACTGTGGCTTGCTCTGGCAAGGCTAGCAAACTTTCTTATCTTAACTAACACATAGTAAAGTCAAAAGTTGGACATTCCTTTCTGTTGATCCCAAGTTTTAGACAAAGCCTTGCTCCTTCAAACAATTTCAAAATTAAGAATCTCGGAATCCACCTAGGACCTGGAAATCCCTGCTTCAAGACTTCCTGCCTTTTTGGCCAAGCCAACGCATAACCTCCATGTGTCAATCTGCGACTTTGCCTGTAGGGGTCACACGTCCTGGAAATGTGTGAGGCAGTTACAAACTGTCTGCCTTGGGAGCACTGGGTCAGGATTCTAAAGCCTGTGTTTCCCTGGGCTGCAGTCACTCATATTTGCTGAGAATAAACCTCTTTAAGTATTTTGCAGAGTTTGGTTTTTCCATTGACACATAAGTGTGGTATTGTGTCTTTAGTACCGCTTTGGATGGCCTAAAGCATTTTGTTCTTGCTGTGCTCATAAATTGGTGTTTAAAAGACATCAGATACAAAGTATTTTCGATAATTTAAATTACCTCCCACGACACATGCAAACAGATTACATCTGAGACCCAGCTAAGCCCATCCACTCAGTTTTCTAGATGCAGAAAACCCTCTTTATTTCAGGTCACACAAGCACAGGACTAGGAGGAACCTGGGCGATGCCCTGATTCCTTTTCTTCCCTTCAGGCAGGACCCAATTAACTGACCCAACACAGGTAGAAACCAGTTCTGTCGTTAAAGACCTTTAGGGAAGGTGGTTCCATCTTCTTCCCCTGCAATCAATTCTTACTGCAATGTGAGACTGGAATACATCAAACCTATCCGGAAGAATCGTCTCTGCCAGAAGCTCCCTCCCCAAGGGACTCCAAGAGGAATCCCATGGTTTATGGCCCCTTATTCTTCACCAGGTCAAGGTGCAGAGCCTCTCTCTCCCGTGGGCTGGGAGGCGGCTTTGTCAGTCCACTCGGGGGTTCACACCTGGTGGCTGGAGTTACACTGTCCGTCTGTCTTTGTTGGGAGGCGCCTGTCTGGCCACAGACGGGGCTGAATGTGGACACCAGTCCTGCTCCAAATGCGTGCTGCTCTCTCGGGCTTCAAGATGAAGGTGAACGCAGCAAGACCTGGGGCACCCCCTCCCTCCAGGGCCCAGTGACCCATCCAGAGCTGAAACAGATCAGAAGAGAAGGAGAGAGCAGGAGACCCCCGGCCAGGTCACAGCAGAGGCCCCTGGGAGACAGAGGTCCCTGTCCTGCAGACAGCATTGACCCTTGGACTCTGCTGGGCTACAAGATGGCCCGCCTGAGACCTGGACACATGCCACGCCCACGCCCGCTGAGACTGCAGCCCAGAGGCCGCCACTCAGTGCCCGTTCGCTGTCTTCCCTGGACATAATCGTCCCAGGGCCTCAGCCTTTCCACAGGGGAGAAATTCATGGAGAGGTCCTCTTTCACAGGACATGCTATAGTGTGGGGTCACCCATGAGTCCGTGAACTAGCCCAGCCCCCAGCACCACGCTTCTCCCCACCCCTCATTACAGACTCTACTCTTTTTGTAAATTCTCTTGGTAGAGACCCGTTGCATCTCTACTAAGACATAAACTCAAGAACTGTCTAATCAGCCAGTAAATAATTTCTGAGCTCCTACTCCGTGTTAACTCAGGCCTTGAGAGGAAGCTATCGAGACGCTGAGCCCTGGGAGGGTCCTCTCGAAGCTCTTGAGCTCACCTGCGCTCCCTCTTGGGGGCCTGGACACAGCGACGTCATCCCAAGCTGCGCAGAGACAGCAAGTGGCAGCTACAACAGGAGGGCAGGTGGCATCTCCCTGGACCCAGCTGCCCCTGGCCTCTCGGTCCTCGGCAATGAGAAGAGCAAGGGGCCTGAGGCCGGATGCCGGTCAGCAGAAGTCCAAGTTCACCACATTGTAGCTGTTTCATCCTGGGGGAGTTCCTCAATCTTCCTGAACTTGAGTATCCTCACCTATAAAGTTTTGTGTCTCAAGGTTGTGACAAATTCTTTTTGTTTGTTTCGAGATGGAGTCTCACTCACTCTCACTCTGTTGCCCAGGCTGGAGTGCAGTGGAGAGATCTCGTCTCACTGCAAACTCTGCCACCCGGGTTCAAGCAATTCTCGTGCCTCAGCCACCCGAGTAGCTGGGATTACAGGCACCTGCCATCACGCCTGGCAAATTTTTGTATTTTGAGTAGAGACAGGGTTTTGCTATGTTGGCCAGGCTGGTCTTGAACTCCTGACCTCAAGTGACTCGCCTGCCTCGGCCTCCCAAAGTGCTGGGATTACAGGTGTGAGCCACAGCGCCTGGCCGGTTGTGACACCTACTAATGGTTTCTACTGTTATTGTTCCTAAGATTCCTTTTGACCCTGGTTGGCACGTGGGGACTCGGCCACTTTGAGCAGAATGCTGGGTTCGTCCTGCTGTGCATGCTTCCAACACCAGCCCGTTTTTCCTAAACCATGAACGTTTGGGGTTTAGGAAATGGAATAAATTAAAATTCATATCACATTCTGTTCTGTCTATATTTTTATGAGATACATTGTAAGGGATACATTTGCATTAATGATTCCGTATTCTTTATTGCTGAAAGGTAAAGAATAAAGATTCTCTTCTATTTTAGAATGCACAGGTAGTCGTAATAACTAGGCATGTCTTGTGTACCAAATTTAAGTATATTACATATGCCAACCTATTTGATTGCCGATCTCCTGACAATCCAGTGAGGTAGGCACTATTATTATCCCCACTTTAAAGATGAGGAAAAGAGGCCCACGTGTGGCAGGAGAACAGGGAATGAGGGTAGCCAAGGGATAAGGCAGAAGCAAAAGAACAGCAGGTGCAGCCAGTTCTGGGCAGGATCAGGCAGCACTCAGGCCACAGCCTCACTCCTGAAATAACGAGACTGTCTCCACTTCAGCCTCTGATTGGCCATGAGCTGCCTCCACTTCAGCCTCTGATTGGTCGTGGGGCAATAGGATGTAGCCAATTGGAGGCCTCTATAGGGCACCTGGGGGTGTTACCAAATTCTTTTAGCTTAATAACATCCCTAACGGGGGACTCTGGAGCCGCTGGCGCAAGTTCCCTCCCACTCTGTGGAAGTACTTTTGCTTCCGTAAATCTGCGCTTTTGTTGCTTCTTCTTTCGTTGCTTCATTCTTTTGTTGCTTTGTTTGTTTTGTTCAATTCTTTGTTCGACGTGCCAAGAACCTGGACAGCTCTCAGCCGAGACCCTTCATCTGGTGACGAATGGACGTTGAGTGAGTGCTCAAGCTCAGACAGCTGCCTAACAAGGTTCTCGAAGTCCCCGCCACACACACACCTTTTTTTTTTTTCCTGTATAGATAAATACGTGAGAGACAGAGGACTGTGCTGTATTCTCCAGGGCCCAGGAGGGCTAGTGCAGAGTGCCATGCTTCTTTCCAGTGCTAATTTGAAAAACCTCAGTGCACCGTGGGTCACCTGCACGGCCACCTTAGGAGTGAGTGTTGTTGTGGCACGGCCTGCACTCAGGACTGGGTTTATCATCAAGAACCTGGCAGGCTGCCTCTAAAGAGAGCGTCACCTGCTTATGGGGCCCATGTACGTCTTTCCACTGCAGCTAGACAAGTCCCGAATTCAAATGACGATTACGCATGTTAAAAGCTTGGACTAGGCCAGGTGTGGTGGCTCATGCCTGTAATCTCAGCACTTTGGGAGGCCAAGGCAGGCGGATCACCTGAGGACGGGAGTTCGAGACCAGCCTGCCAACAAGGATAAACCCCGTCTCTACTAAAAATACAAAATTAGCCGGTTGTGGTGGCACATGCGTGTTATCCCAGCTACTTGGAAGGTTGAGGCAGGAGAATCGCTTGAACCCGGGAGGCAGAGGTTGCTGTGAGCCGAGATTGCGCCATTGCACTCCAGACTGGGCAATAAGAGTGAAATTCCGTCAAAAAAAAAAAAAAAAAGCTTGGACTAGTTATGAAGTCAACACTTATTTTTGCAATGAGAAGACATTTTCTGGCAGAGACCAGCCTAGGCAACATAGGGAGACCCCATCTCTACAAAAAAAATATGCAGACAAAAAATTAGCCGGCCGGGCACAGTGGCTCACGCCTGTAATCCCAGCACTTTGGGAGGCCAAGACAGGTGGATCACCTGAGGTTAGGAGTTTGAGACCAGCCTGACCAACATGGTGAAACCCTATCTCTACTGAAAATACAAAAAAATTAGCCAGGCATGGTGGCACATGCCTGTAATCCCAGCTACTTGGGAGGCTAAGGCAGGAGAATCACTTGAATCTGGGAGGTGGAGGTTGCAATGAGCCGAGATGGTGCCACTGCACTCCAGTCTGAGAGACAGAGTGAGACTCCATCTTAAAAAAAAAAAAAAAAAGTGGACCAGGGAAGCACAAAACGTGCCAATGTATGAGTATTTTAGATAAACCCAAGCGACTCATCTATTATGAAGAATGCTGTTGATTCGGATTTTATTGATTGTATAGTTTCGTCTTATTTGATTTGTTGTAAATATAAAGAGTTCATACATAATTTCACACTTAGGTATAGTTAAGTCATAGCATAATTTTAAAATACTTTGTTGAAAATATAAAGCCATAGAAATATTTTTTTCAAATGGGATCCATTTATTTCTCAAGTTCAACACAAAGTAATAAAGATAGCTTACACATATGTTAATGTTCGTTGGTTCTAATCTATCGGGGGGACTAACAAACTTCAAATTTTTTATTGTGCTGAATGTGTTGATACTTCGTCTCAAAGGTTCTGCCGGCTACAAATTGAGTGATGACTGCAGCTTAATTTCTAGAGCTTACTCTACTCACATATAATACTGAGATAACACCAACATCACGGGGAATTTGTGAGCACTTGGTTTATGATGTGTGTGACCACACCCTGTAGACTCCTAGCATAATGTGAGTTATCTGTGTATGTGCGTGTATGTATATTTTTACTGAATTTATTCACATTAAACTTAGCTACAGACTTCAGGCAGCTCTCTAGCCTTCCTTTTCTGAAATTAGGTAAACGAGTATTATTAATCCACTAATCATTACATTTTCCTAAGATATATCTTTTATTTTCAAACTTAAAACTCAAATATTTTCTTTTATTAGTCTTTTGATGAAAAATCTCTCTGTATACATGAGAATAGTAATTGCTTTCTGGACTTTTCCTTACTTTAGTATTTATTTCTCAAGTTCGGCAATGAAAAGAATATATAGATTTCCAGGTGCGGAGATAGGCGGGAAGACGTGTTCTGCTGTTTCCAGCGTCCTTCCTAATAGAGCACAGCAATATTTGCTGATGTTTTTGTTGACCACAGCTGTATCCTGGGTTTGGATTTCATCTGCCTGTGCTGGGACGCTCCACCTGGAGGCTTCTCTTAACCGCAGACTCATCCTGTCTGGAGGGAGGCCTCCCATCACTGCCACCTGCCTCCCCTAGCTGTCCCTGTGTCCTTCCCATCACACGCCTTTATTCCCCTCACCCAGTTCCTGTCGCCAGGTCCCTCCGTTCTCCCTGCCGAGGTCCTGGCCCACCCTTTCCTTTCTGTGTCTGCTGCCAGACCCCAGGTCCTCCACACATTCATTCAAAAGGTTTATTTAGGGACTCTATATGCCAGACCCTCTGCTGGGGTGGGAGCCGGGGTGAGCACTCCACCATAGTCCCTGTCCCCAGGCCCTCTGCTGGGGTGGGAGCTGGGCGAGAACTCCACCACAGTCCCTGTCCCCAGGGAATTCATACGTCAGGCACACTTGTGACAGGTCCTGAACAACAGGACAACTGGTATACTGGGTGAGCCAAGGAGCCACAAGCTGGGCCAGGAGGAGGTGCTCCTGGTTTGCTTTGTTCAAAGAATCCTTCCCAGAAAAGTGGATGCCTACGGAGGATGTTAATGATGAGTATCAGGAACGTTCGAGGAAGAGAAGGTAGAGAGGAGAAAATACACACAGATGGGTGATTCATTCCCCCTCACCTGATCTGCAAAACTCAGCTAATCATTGCTCTTACCTGGTGAGGTTGTTGTGAGAATTAAATCTAATGGAAAAATACATGCAAAGTGTTTAACACCCGACACGGAGGAGGCACCCATACCTGTTGGCTGTTATTATCATTCAGACTGTACAGTCTTTTGGGGAAAATAAGACATACAATATGAAAAGTTCTTCAGAGACAAAAATATCTAAATAACACACTAACCTTCTCCTGGGCAAAGGGCTGAGGTGAGCATCCTGCCTGCAGCTTCTCTCCGTATTATTCCTCCACTTATTTACAACAATCAGCCGCCGCCAGCCGCCAGCACTTACTGCATCCCTGCTGGGCCCTGCGGACTGCTGGACGCTTTGCACGTGTGGTTTTGAATCCTGCCATCATCTGTGCCATCATCTGTGAGGCGTATGTCATATTTCCACTCGTGGATAAAGAAATTAAACCTCACTTTGATAAGGATCTGCCCCCATCTCATAGGTATCTGGGCTAAGATTTGAACCCCAGCCCGTCTGGCTGTGAGCACAGGCTCCCTCCACCAGCACAGAGATCTGGGCTGAGATTTGAACCCCGGCCCGTCTGGCTGTGAGCACAGGCTCGCTCCACCAGCACAGTGAGCACACATGGGAAGCCGTTCTTCATCACCCGCCTCCTCCAGGAATAGCTCAGGAGGACGTCACTTGGGTTCTTCAGCCATTTATGAAAGTGTTCAACCAACTGGTCACAGAAATGTCCAGGCAGGGATCCCTTGGGATGGCAGAACCATGGCTCTGTCAGAGGTGGGCCGGACTATTCTGAGGATAGTCTGTTGCCAGGAGTTCATGTGGGTACCAGGCACCCCTTGGAAGGATGTGATGGGAAGGGCACTTCTTCCCAGAACCCCAGTCGAACCATGGGTAGCACATCAGACAAACCCAAATCGAGGGACTTTCTTCAAAACACAGAACGGTCCAGGTCATGACAGACAAGGAAAGGCCGAGGACTCGCCACAGACTGGAAGACGCTACAGAGACAGGACATCCACATGCAGTAGGCACCTTGGAGGGGATTGTAGGACAGAAAGGGGGCCCTCGTAGAAACACGGGTGAGGTCAGTGAAGTGTGGAGGGTAAGAGCAGCAACCTGTGTGGACGCTCCATTTCCTCCTGTGTTTCCAGGGCTGGCACTGCACGCTGGGCGCCTATGCATGGCCCCAGCTGGACGACCCGAGGGGCTTGGCCTGCGGGGAAGGTGCAGGACATGTGCCAGTGCCTCCGGCAGCAGCACTTGTTCCTGGAATGGAGGCACCACTCAGGGGTCAGCACGGAGCACCGGCTCAGTCCTGCGGCCAGCGCTGCTGCGAAGTCCTTAGAAAGGCTTAGCAGTCCTCCGTTCATTGCCAGCCAGCAAGAAAGTGTCGGCTGAGAGTGTTGTCTCACTGTCTTGCACGACTGTGCACCCAGCTTTGCAGCTCAGACAGACACACTGGGTGGGTGCCACTGCCTGGGATCTACTTGCACCTCCCAATTTACGCAGAGGGAGTCATTCCACTTAGAGCCCCAGGCTGGGGAGGGCGAGTGGCATTTGGGTTGTAAAGACTGAATGCCTACTGTGTTTGGAGCAAAGCAGTGAGCCCCCAAGTCACAGCCCCTGGTGTGGACAGAAACGCCATCAATGGGAACCCCTGAGTATCTTCAGGATTCAGAAGAGGGAAGAGCAGCAGGACTTTGCAGACCTGGGAAACTTCATAGGGAAAGAGGAGTGTTCAGGGTTATTCCAGTAGGGTGAGAGAAGGGAGGAACACCAGGCAGGATGAACACGCTGTGGCCATAGTGGGCTTGGGGAGCAATGCACCGAGGTGCTGTTCCTTTGTTTAGCCCGCATGTTGAACCTACTCTGTCCGATGCTATGCTGGGTGACTTGCGTAATGCTGAACATACAATCAATACATGTCTCTGGCTAGCTGGACATGTAGTTCAAGGAATCAGAAACACAGTCAACAAATAAACAACATTGTAGCTACAAATTGTGGGGAATAAAAACATGAGGGAAGTAATCCCAAGAAGAATAATGAGGCCTCCCTGCGGCACTGGGCAGTTGGCCGTGTGAGAGCTGAAAGGGGAACAGAAACCAGCCAGGTGGAGCTGGTAGAAGGTCACTGCAGGTGCACTGGCCTCCTCTGTGGCCCTGCCCCAACCCCCGAGTCCCACCTCGTGTTCTCATCCTTGCCCTGGTGGTCAGTGTCACACAGCTGCTCTCTGCGGCCCTCGCTTTTCTCCGGGGCATTCCTGATGCAGCGGGGAGGATCCCCGGGCTGGATACATGAGGGCATCAACACTCCCTGTGGCAATGCTTGGACACCAGGGAATAGGGGCCCAGGAGTAACGGGACACCTCCCACCCCACTGCATGGTGGACAGGGCTCCCCTGAGGCCCGTCACCAACAGTGGTGGCCAGCCTGGCAGCACACGCTTAATTTGTCCTTCCTCCCTGCCGGCTCCACACTTCCCAGTCTCCCTCTCCTGCCCCCGGCCTCCCTTCCCAAATCAACCACCTTCACACAGGCCCTTGTCTCCAGCTCTGCTGTCTGGGGGAGCCCAGAGGTGGCCTGAAAAATGCATCCTCAGGATGGGTTTGAGAACTCACTGCTGATGGTACGGGAAGTGGTGTTTTAGTCAGCCCAGGTTAGTATAATACAAACACAACCTGGGTGGCTCAATTTCTCTCTCACCATCCTGGAGACAGGTAAGTCTAAGATCAAGGTGCTGGCAGATTTACTTTGTGATGAGGGCTCTCTTCCTGGTTTGCAGGCAGCCACCTTCTTTCTGTAGCCTCACGTGGCAGGCAGAGAGAGAAGGCGGTGCTCTATCTTCCTCTGCTTAGAAGGAGCCTCACCATTGTGACCGCACCTAAACCTACATAATGCCCAAAGGCTCACCTCTAAATGCCCTCACACTGGGTGTTAGGGCTTCAGCACGGGAGATGTGGAGGGACACACACACTCAGTCCATAGCAGGTGGTGACACACAGGAACATGCAGCTGAGGCTCATACCGTGACCCTCCCAGAGGTGCTCAGGGTGAGGTGCAGGTGGAAAGAAATGCATTAGCTTCCTCGGTCACTGTGGTATTGAACGAAATGGAGGAAATTGCTCTATAAAGACTGTGGAGTTGGCTGACTTTAGAAGCCCCTAAGAAAGAAAACGATGGGCTTGGCAAGCCACCCTCAGCTCAAGGCTCCCTGTGAAAGCCAGAAGGTTCCAAAGGCAGTGTTGATAGAGGCCTCCGCCTCCTGCGGCTGCTGGGGAGGCTGCAGAAGGTCAGGCCCAAGGGCTGATTGAAGAGTAGCAGAGCTACAAGAAAACAGAACTTACAGCCTTGACATATCTCCTGTGCCAAGTCAGGGCCCTGTGATGAGCAGCCCCCTGCGACCTGGGAGGAAACACCTGCTGTCCATGGCCTGACGCTCTCGAATGCCTGACACCCCTGAACCCCCAGAGTGGGCAGAGCGGCTCCCTCCTCCTGCTAGTCACACAGACACTGGCCTGCAGGAGTGAACACGGAACCTGAGTGTGTGTCTCACATGAACACTCTCCAGAGTGTCCACTCCAGAGAAGGAACTTAGCCCCGGGTTACAATATGATGTGTGTGCCTCCCTCAAATGTATATGTGGAAATCCTGACCCCTCAGGGGGTGGTACCAAGAGGTGGGGTCTCTGGGAGGCTCCACCCTCATGCATAGGATTAGCATCTTTTTTTTTTTTTTTTTTGAGACAGAGTCTCACTCTGTCGCTCAGGCAGGAGTGCAATGGTGCCATCTCGGCTCACTGCAACCTCTGCCTCCTGGGTTCAAGTGATTCACCTGCCTCAGTCTCCTGAGTAGCTGGGATTACAGGCACTTGCCATGATGCCCAGCTAATTGTTTTGTATTTTTAGTAGAGATGGGGTTTCAACATGTTGGCCAGGCTGGTCTCGACGTCTTGACCTCAGGTGATCTGCTCACCTTGGCCTCCAAAGTGCTGGGATTACAGGTGTGAGCCACTGTGCCCGGCCGGATTAGCGTCTTTAGAAAAGATGTGTCAGGGGCTTGGGGTGCCCACCTGCCACTCGAGGGCTCTGCAGGAGACACGGTCTGTGAATCTGCCGGCACCTTGGTCTTGAACTCGCCAGCCTTCAGATCCAAGCAACACATTCTTGTCTATAAATTACACCATCAATGACATTTGCTTATAGCAGCCCAATCGTACCAAGCTGACCAGGAAGACAGAATGAGCTGTGGGTGTCAGCAGGCCCCTCTCAGCACTGGTGCCTTCTGGGCCGGTGATGGCACAGCAGGGGTTGGGAGGAGGTGGGTGCAGGCCCACACAGGGGCTCCCTGTCACCCATTCTGCTCCCGGTTCTGCCCACAGCGCCCGACCCTGATGTGGCGTCTCACTGAGGGAACAGCGGGCTGTGCACGTGTTGATCACCTGGGAAGAGGCGGCTGTCTGCACTAGAGCCACCTCCGCTCTGTGTAGGAGGGAGGCTGCTCTGCTAGGTGATGGGCAGTCACAGCAGCAAAAGGGGCCTTGAGAGAACCCACCCAGCTTAGAGGCATGAGGCTCCTCAGAGGGAGGCAGCCCTGAGCGAGGCTGGGGCATTGCTGGTGAATCCGGGTCCCTGGAAGTTGTGTGTGTGTGTGTGTGTGTGTGTGTGTGTGTGTGTGAGAGAGAGAGAGAGAGAGAGAGAGAGACAGGGTCTTGTTCTGTCACCCAGGCTGGAGTGCAGTGGCACGATCACAGCTCATTGCAGCCTAGACCTCCTGGACTCAAGCAATCCTCCCACCTCAGCCTCTTGAGAAGCTGGGACCACAGTCACACACTACCATGCCCAGCTAATTAAAAAAAAAATTTTTTTTTTAGAGATGGGGTCTTGCTGTGTTGCCCAGGCTGGTTGAAAGCTCCTGGCCTCAAGCAGCTTCCTGCCTTGGCCTCCCAAAGTGCTGGGATGACAGGTGTGAGCCACCATGCTCAGTGGAATTTTGCTTCATTGCTTTTTTCAACTAAGCAAAAACTGATTGAATTGGCCACTGTCAGATGCACATGAAAGAAACAGTAAAGGGAGTATTTGCTGCAGAGGGAAAATGATCCCAGATAGAATCCCAGTGATAAAGGAATAAATCGACAACTTCCAGTGACCCGTATTCACCAGCGCTGCCCCAGCCTTGCTCAGGGCTGCCTCCCTCTGAGAAGCCTCATGCCTGTAAGCTGGGTGGGTTCCCTCAAGGTCCCTGGTGCTGCTGTGACTGTCACCTAGCAGAATCTAAATAAAAATAATTGTATAAAATTAACAATTCATTATTTATTTTTAAACATACAGAAAATTAAAATTCATGAATCTGATATCATGTAGGTCCGCGTGGGGTGTTCTATGGGGAAAAGAGCTCTAGGGCCCTTGCATTGTCTCAGAAGGGGTAAAGGTGCTCTCTCACTTCTATTAGAGTTTAATAAGTCAAGGATACATGCCGTAAACTGTAGGCTGACCACTAAAAATAGCAAAAGAATGTCTAACTAATAAACTACTGGGAAGAAATGTGTGATAAAAATTTCTTAAGAGCTTGGCACCGTGGCTCACGCCTGTAGTCCCAGCACTTTGGGAGGCTGAGGCAGGCGGTCACCTGTGGTCAGGAGTTCGAGACCAGCCTGGCCAACATGGTGAAACCCCGTCTCTACTAAAAACGACAAAAATTAGCCAGGTGTGGTGGTGTACATGCCTGTAATCCCAGCTACTCGGGAGGCTGAGGTGGGAGAATCGCTTGAACCTGGGAGGCAGAGGTTGCAGTGAGCTGAGATCACAACACTGCACTCCATCCTGGGCGACAGAGCAAGACTCCATCTCAAAAAAAAAAAAGTTATTAATAAAAAGGTAATCAATAAAAGAGAAAAGGGGATGGCAGAGGAAATGTGAAAAATAGTAAGCAAATAGTAAACTGATAGATTTAAACCCAACAGCTTCTATAATTACACAGAATGTAAAATAGCTAACTATACTGATTTAAAAAATAAAGATTAACAGTTGGAACAACGACAACAAAAAAAACCCAAACCATAACAACTAAGTGTTTCCTAGAAGACGAAATATACCATAAAAATTATGTACTAAAAATAAAAGGATGAGAAAAAACGCATGATGCAAACACCATCTCTACAGGAATGCTGGTGTAGTTACTCCAATATCAGACAAGTAGCCCTTAAAGCAAGAAGATTTACTAGAAATAAAAGTGGAGCGTGATGAGAAAAGTGCCAATTAACAGGGGAGCTGCAGCTCTTCTAAATTTGCATGTGGCCAATAAGAAAGTCTCAAAAGTTATAAAGCACAATTGAAAGACACGAAAAGAGAATTGGACCAACTGACCACCATAATGAGTAAACGGATATTCCTCTTCCGGTGGCCGAGGAGCATAAGGAGGAAACGGAATATTCCTCTTCCGGTGGCCGATGGAACACGTTGACCCCTTCCCTCCTCCCCTCCCCCAAAAAGACTAATTGTGTGGCAGATTTAAACAATCTCAGGAACATAAGTAAGCAAGTATAGAACATTGTACCCAATAACTATGAAATACACATTCTTTTAAAGGTCCTTTGAACAGCTCTAAAGCAAGCCATGGTTGAAAGCACTGCAATGACACAAAGTAGATACTCTTTTTTTTTTTTTTTTCCGAGACGGAGTCATGCTCTGTCACCCAGGCTGGAGTGCGGTGGCTTATCTCGGCTCACTTCAACCTCTGCTTCCCAGTTCAAGGAATTCTCCTGCCTCAGCCTCCCGAGTAGCTGGGATTATAGGCGCCTGCCACCGTGCCTGGCTGATTTTTGTATTTTTAGTAGAGACGGGTTTCACCATGTTGGCCAGCCTGGTCTTGAACTCCTGACCTCAGGTGACTTGCTCGCCTTGGCCTCCCAAAGTGCTGGGATTACAGGCGTGAGCCACTGCGTCTGGCTGAAGTATATACCCTTTAATCTCAGTAGGTTTACGTCAGTGTTTCTCCATCCTTTTTTCATTATTATTCTCTCTAAGGATAAAAATTACACTTAATTTAATTAGTTTAGATTAAATTAAATTTCTAATGAAAGAAATGAAATACTAATGGATAAGATTTTGTCAAAGTTGAGCTTCAG
The DNA here is from genome assembly GCF_000001405.40 of Homo sapiens. NCBI lineage: Eukaryota > Metazoa > Chordata > Mammalia > Primates > Hominidae > Homo > Homo sapiens. The sequence continues at coordinate 112,630,043 of NC_000013.11, forward strand.
AGAGCAAAATGTTGTAATACTGAAGGATTTTTTGGTCCCTGAATAACGAATTTTTACCACTTCGGTGATGATGTCGCCACTAAACCCTGCCCAATTGAGACTGCATGGTTTAAATGAAATAAAAATCCCCAAATATTCTGAAATTAAGTAATATTTTAATTGTTCATGGCTAAGAAAAAAATATTGGAAATTTAAAATGTTTCAACTAAATGAAAATAAAAATAAGGCTTGTTGAAACTTGTGGCATGCAATTAAAGCCAGACTTTAAAAAACTACATAAATGTAAATGCATACTTTAAAGAAGGTAGAAAGCCTAAGAGGTATCTAAGTATCTACCTTCAGAAGTTAGGGCCGGGCGCCGGGGCTCACGCCTGTCATTCCAGTACTTTGGGAGGCCAAGGCGGGCTGATCACAAGAGATCAGTAGTTCAAGACCAGCCTGGCCAAGATGGTGAAACCACGTCTCTACTAAAAATACAAAAATTAGCCGGGCATGGTAGCAGGCACCTGTAATCCCAGCTACTCGGGAGGCTGATGCAGGAGAATCCCTTGAACCTGGGAGGCGGAGGTTGCCGTGAGCTGAGATTGCGCCATTGCACTCCAGCCTGGGTGACAGAGCAAGGCTCCATCTCAAAAAAAGTTAAGAGGAGAAAGGAGATAAAACATAAGAAAATATGAAAAAAGTGATGATAAGAGTAGAAACTATTGATGTGGGAAAAAATAAAGAGAACCAACTAGGTAAAAACTTATTTCTTTGAAGAATTTCGAAAAACCCAGACAATTGGCAAGATTGATAAACATAAATTTAAAAAACTACACAGATTACCAATATCAGAAATGAAAAATGAAACATCACCGCAGCTCTTACACGTACAACAACAACAAAAGGATATTTTGAACTGTTTTATGTAAGTACTTCGACATCTTAGATGAAATGGATAAATTCCTTGAAAAACACAATTTACCCCAACAGAGGCAAGAAGATATAGAAAACCTGAATAGGCTTTTTCTATTAAGGAAATTGGCATCCATAATTTTAGAACTTTTCACAAAACAAAATCCAAACCTATATGCCTCTCCAGTGAATTCTTCCACAACTTTAAGGAAACACAGTGGTCTCACATGTGCTGATGGAGACAGAAGAAAGACGAGGAAAGTGCACCAACTCGTTTTTGGAACCAGGATAGCCTTCGTACCAAACTTCTAAACACATTGCCAGAAGTAAAACTTACAGACCAACATCCTTTATAAACATAGATGCAAAAATCACATTAAGAATAGCAAACAGGCTGGGCGCGGTGACTCATACCTGTAATCCCAGCACTTTGGGAGGCCGAGGTGGGCGGATCACAAGGTCAGGAGTTCGAGACCAACCTGACCAACATGGTGAAACCCCATCTCTACTAAAAATACAAAAATTAGCCGGGCACGGTGGTGCATGCCTGTAATTCCAGCTACTCAGGAGGCTGAGGAGAATCGCTTGAATCTGGGAGGCGGAGGTTGCAGTGAGCCGAGATCATGCTCCAGCCTGAGTGACGGAGACTCCAACTCAAAAAAAAAGAATAGCAAACTATGTGTAGTATATCTAATTAAAATGAGGATACATTATGACCAAATAGAATTAATCCCAGGAATGCAAAATTAGTCAATGTTAGAAAATCCATCAATATAACTCAGGACAGTAGTAGAACACAGGAGTAAAATGTGTGACAATCTCCAAAGATGCACAAAACATAAAATTCAACATCCAGTCATGATCAAAGTTCTCAGCAATTCATATGGCAACACTTTAAATCTGAAAAATATAATTTACAGAACAACTATAACAAGCTTTCTACTTAATCACACAACAGTAAACAGTGTTACCCTGAGATCAGGAACAGAAAGCAGGTTTACTGTTACCACTCATGCCCTCGCCTTTTAACTGGAGGAGTTCTAGACAGAGAACGAAAGCAAATAATAATAATAATAATAATAATAATAATAATACATTAAGGATTGGAAATGAAGATATAAAACTGTGTTTACTCATGGAAAAAATTATTTTATACGTAAAAAAATTAAATACAGATGAAGGTGACTACAGGTCAATATTCAAAAATAAACTGTGGGCTGGGTATGGTGGCTCACGCCTGTAATCCCAGCACTTTGGGAGGCCGAGGTGGGCGGACCACTTGAGGTCAGGAGTTCAAGACCAGCCTGGCCAACATGGTAAAACCCTGTCTTTAATAAAAATTCAAAAATTAGCCAGGCGTGGTGGTGCACACCTGTAATTCCAGCTACTCGGGAGGCTGAGGCACGAGAATTGCTTGAACCTGGGAGGCAGAGGTTGCAGTGAGCTGTTATCACGCCACTGCACTCCAGCCTGGGTGACAGAGTGAGACTCTGTCACAAAAAAAAACAATAAATAAATAAACAAACAAACTATGAAGATCTGTCTCTAGTGATGACCAAGTAAGCTCCTATCAAACCAATCCTACTGCAGAAAGTACTATAAACTCAAGACAAAGTTTAAAAAAAAATCAACTACCTGGTCAGGCACAGTGGCTCACACCTGCAATTTCAGCACTTTGGGAGGCTGAGACTGGGGGATTGTTTGAGCTCAGGAGTTCAAGACCAGCCTGGCCAACACGACAAGACCCCCGTCTCCACCAAAAATTAAAAATTAGCCAGGCATGGTGGCACGAGCCTGTGGTTCCAGCTACTTGGGAGGGTGAGGTGGGAGGATCGCTTGAGCCTGGGAAACGGAAGTTGCAGCGAACTGAGACTGTACCAGTGCACTCCAACCTGGGTGATAGAGCGAGACCCTGTCTCAAGAAAAAAGAAATAAAAATTCAACTACCTGAAGAATGACTCAAAAGAAGACAAATTCTAGAGGTAAATTGACACTTAAAAAAAGGAAACAGCTTCCCGGTATGTTAGTTTGCTGGGGCTTCCATAACAAAGTACCACGGGCTGTGTGGCTTAAACAATAGATATTTACTTTCTCACAGTTCTAGAGCCTGGAAGTCCAAGGTCAAGGTGCCAGCAGGACTGGTTTCTTCTGAGGCCTCTCCCCTTGGTTTGTAGACAGCTGTCTTCTCCCTGAGTCCTCACCTCGTCTTCGCTCTGTACGTGATATAGTGAGGAACAATTATTCAAAGAACAGCTAACTCCTCATCAGAAACAACAAGGCCAGAGGAGAGTGGAATAATATCTTTTTTTTTTTTTTTTGACAGAATTTAGCTTTGTCACCCAGGCTGGAGTGCATTGGCGCCATCTCAGGTCACTGCAATCTGCCTCCTGGGTTCAAGTGATTCTCCTGCCTCAGCCTCTCGAGTAGCTGGGACTACAGGTGCCCACCATCACACCCGGCTAATTTTGTACTTTTAGTAGAGATGGAATTTGCACCATGTTGGCCAGGCTGGTCTTGAACTCCTGACCTCAGGTAATCTGCCTGCCTCGGCCTCCCAAAGTACAGGGATTACAGGCGTGAACCACCGCACCCGGCCTTAAATATTAATTATTAAACACTTTAATTAAAAGGCAAACATTATCAGAGTGGACTTCAGAATGCAAAGCCCACTGTATGCTGTCCTCAGGAGCTCCCCTTCAGATATAAAGAGTGGGCTAAGAACCAGTGATGACGAAGGATACACCATACAAATAATTAGCTTGAGAACGCTGGACTATCAGCTGTCCCAGTCTCAGTAGACTTCAAGGCAGAGAATTAAGAGAAACAAAGACACATTTCATAATGTCTGAGGAAAAAAAATTCTGTTTTTCCCTACTCTTACACAATGCTATTGAAACCAAACGGGGTGTTTTTCACCCACATCAACCAACCTCCAGTGCTCCAGACACCAATGCAACGTCCTAAAACTCAGTCATGGTATTACTTGGAGCTAGTGGGACCCCGTGGGTTGAGGGCTCAGTCCTGCAAGACTGCCTCCACTTCAGACACCAGTTTCAAGCAGTGGGTCCCCAAGTGACCACTTCTGTCCAATGTAAATGCATATTAGGGTTTCCCACGAACCCCTCTTCAGGTTTCATAGTTTGCTGACAGCTTACAGCACTCAGGGAAACACTTATGTTCACTGACGTATTATAAAGACTATGGATGAATTCTCAGATGAAGAAAGTTGCCAGTGCAGGAGCTGGGGTGCACCCGCAACAACCCCACCTGCAAGCATGTGGGGTTGCTCACCAAATCGGAAGCTCTCCGAACCTCCTAGTTGGGGATTTCACCAAGGTCTCGTCACGTGGGCGTCATCAGTTATGAGCTCCATCTCCAGCTCCCCCGGGAGGTTGGAGCTGAGAGTTCCAGGCTTCTCATGACGGCTCGGTCTTTTCCGGTGACCAGCCCCTCTCCCACAAGCCACCAAGAATCACCTCATTAGAACAAAAGGTGCTCCTATCACCCCAGAAATTCCAAGGAATTAGGGGCTCTGTGCCAGGAACTGGGGACAAAGACCAAATATATATTTCTTGTTATTTCACAATATTACATCTCAAATTAATTTCGCAAATGAGGCAGAAAGGTGAAAACCCGTGCCTTGGTCACTAGAAATGGAACTAGGAGGAAAAGATGAGGGAGAAAGTGCAGCTGTGTGACTCTTAGACAGATGTTGCTCCTTGATAGATCACAATTCAGCCCAGAGCCTTGAAACTTCTTGGTCAGAAACTTGCAGCCTTATAGAAAATTTGCAAAAAAAGTACAAAGAATATCCAATCCTTTCCTCGACTCATTTACTGTTAACATTTTGCCCTATTTGCTTTAGCATTTGTTTTGCTCTCTCATCTGATATATAGTATATAAAATGTGTAAATATATACATAAAAAGGAATAAAATATCCTATATAAATATATATTTTCCCCTAAGTTATTTGAGAATAAATTGTGTATGTTGTGGCCTCTGAATGCTTTATTTAGCCTCTGAACATTTACCTTCTAAATATTTCAGTGTCTTTCCTAAAACCAAAGACATTCTCTAACATAACCACAGGACAGCTATCAATTTCAGTAAATTTAACATTGATAAAATATTTTTATCTAATCTACTGCCTGTGTTCCAGGTTCACCACAGACTGATAATGTCCTTCAGTGTCCTCTTTCCCCCAGCACAGGATCTATTCTAGGATCATAGATGGCTTTTAATTTTCTTGTTTTTTAATCCTCAGCCTTCCTGTCTTTGATGGCATCAGTGCGGTGTTTGCTTTAATGATAATACAGAATGTGTTTATGGCATTGGAGCTATTCCTCTGGTGAGAAGAAGAGAGCCAGAGTCAGGGGCTTCTAGGGTGGGGCAGGCACCCCCCCCAACCCACCGCAACTCTCTCCAACCCAGCAGAGCACCAAGCATCAACAGCCCTCACCTGTGACCCCTCCCCTAACTCTTTCTTGAATCCATTACAGGACCCGCAGGGCAGACAGTCTGCAATCACAAGGCATGGATCTCGTCTCATGCAGGGCAGCCTGTCCCTTGCTCCCACTTTCTGCCCACAGGTGTCAGAGGAAGGGAGGAAAAGAAAGAGGACTTCTGGGACCCCAAGACCCCCACCCCAGGCTTAGAGGAGGCAGGAGTCAGCAATGCCATTCTTGATAGCCCAGGTATCCTGGATGTCAAAGAAACAGAAAGACAGGCTCTGAGAACAGGAGACTCCTTCACGTTCTCCCGTCCTACAGCCACGTGTGCTCCCACCCTGACAGAGATTTGTGGAGTTCAGACTCCAATCCTCGGCTTATCTGAAACAGTCAGAGAGAACCGTGTGCGATCTGCCAGAGGAAAACATTCAAAACCAGTTTTTAGGTGGTACTTAAGTTATTTCAGGCTATCTGAACTCTGGGCTAATCCCAGTTATTTCAGAATTTGAAAATCTTCAAAAGAACAAAAGAAAGCCCTAGAGGCATTACAGATAATTATAATAAAACATGAGTGACATTTTTAATTGCAAAATTGCTCAAGAAATAGCATCTTCAAAGTGGGAATTGATCTATAGCTGATACTGACTATTGCTTATGGTTGCTTCCAAATTATATTCTGCCCCTGACGTTTTTCCGATGGAAAAATCAACATCTCTTTCAAAGATCGAATATTGTGTTTTCCTTAATTGAGCATCTAAATGATTTGCCCCTTCCAGTGGGTTCTTTTTCTGTCTTCATTCACCAGCCGGCTTCCATTTCTATTCTGCAGCGCTGCTTGCTAGCAGTTTCTGTCAAGCCAGTGCTCAAAGTTTGTCAATTACTCATGCAAATGAGCTCGGTTGCCAATCCAGAATTGGAAGAACTGGGTTTCCCTTTTTATTTTAAGATTGTGCTAGAGTGCAGGGAAAACCAGCTGTGTCCGTCAGAATGCTTTCAGCTGCAAGGGACAGAGAACCTCATGAGGGGAGCTCGGCCAGTCGGGAGAACGGGTCACCTCGAGTCACAAGTCCGGGGGGAGTGCAGGTCTGGGGACCCCAAGGAATTCAGGGGCCACAGACACCACAATTCTTCCCTGTCTCTGCTGTAGAATCCAGGCTCTCTCCTCCAAGGGGTGCAGCTGAGGAACTCAGAGAGCAGATTGACCCCGCCGATCCCGGCTGCAGGACTAGCAAGGGCTTCATCTGCAGGTCCCATCCCCTCCAGGGAGGATGGGGATGACAGCCAATGCCCTCGGGTGCGCACCATGGCCAGGACACTGCCCCAACACAGGCCATTCTTTTGATGACCCTGCGAACGTGCACGATGACTGACTCCCGTGTTACAGAGGAGGAGCCAGGAGCACGGAGACGTCAGGAGTCACCCAAGACCATGCAGCCCAGGAGCCAGGATCTGCTCTGCCTGTGCTTTGCACCGACAACCCTCACTGTCTGCACCTCATGGGGTTGTCTGGGTCCTGGGGTTTGTATGAGTAACACGCAGGCAGGCACATGGTCATGCTATCCACTGCCAGCTACCAGTTTTCCGAGCACTATCCCATTTCTTTCCTGGTTCCCAGCTTGTCCCCATGTGGCACCTGGAGGCCAAAGGCAAATCTGGGGCTGTGCATGACAAGGGCTCGGGTGGGAACTCCGCCCACAGACACACCCACCCTCCTGAGGCCCATGTCTGCTCTAGGGCGAGGCCCTGGCTTCCATTGGGTCCACGACAGGCAGGGCTCGAGGTGTCATTATTTCACCCCACAGCCCAACGTGCTTCTGTCAGTCGACGGTTTTTACTCCAGCGAGCAGCATCACCCTTAAAAAGGTGGCAGAAACATGGGAGATGGGTGGGAGGAGGGCAACAGAGCCACCGTCTGCTTTCATCGCCCAAGCGCAGCGGCTCTGCCACCTGGCAGCCGAGGCCATGCAAGATTTCGCAGGAGGAGCCCATGGCCGCGGGGAGGAGGAGTGGGCGCAGGAGCCCACGGAACAGGCCAGGCAGGAGGGAAGGAGGAGTGGGAGACCCAGGCCATTCTCCTTCCCACTTTGGCGCTGGCAGACAGATCCAAGGAGCTGCCGCCAGGGCGGCCTCCAGGCCCCCGAGAAGAATTCCTCAGAGATTTTGCAAAGCCAGGGTTTCCTTCACGCAGTGCCACTGTCACAGGCGTTCGAACCAGAGCAACTCCATCTTGAGTGAGGGCTGGAAAATGAGGCTAGGCCTTGCTGGGCTGCATTCTTAGGAAGTCAGGCATTCCGAGCCTCTAGATGTTTACAGTTCAGGGAACAAATTAACAATGTTTACTAAACAGACCCAGACTTGAGAGTGTCCAGATATCCCCATAACTGGAGAACAAAGGCATTCCTAACTTTGCTTTAAAGCGAATAATATCTATTCTTGTAAAATATAGTAATTAAGAAACCTAATCCTTTATCACAAACCCTTGTAGCAGAGCACATCTCCCCATATGAAGCAGCATTTTCCCAGGGTGGACGCGTCCCTCCTCTTACTTTCTGGAACGTTCTCCTCTGTCTATGGAGCAGCTGCACTTTCACCACTTTGCTTTCTTAATAAACTTGCTTTTACTTTGCCCTGTGAACTCGCCCTGAATTCCTTCTCGCGCAAGACCCAAGAACCCCCTCTTGGGGTCTGGATTGGGACCCCGTCCTGTAACATATTTCTGGCGACCACAGAAGGGATGATAGTGCAGAATCCCTGAGCTGATGGCCACCTGAGGGTGCGTGGTGGGTCCTGCAGCACCCCTGCCTGCCCCACTGGCCACCTCTGCTGCAGGGGGCTTCAGCTGCCACCTCACAGCAGAAAACGTCTCGCCCTGGAAATGAAGTGGGTTCTGCAGGAACCAGGAAGATTTTATTTGATTGCAGTGGTGAAGAGAGAAACGGTCAAAGCTGACTCTGGCACAGGACAGGCTTGGAGGGCGCCGAGGATGAGGTCGAACAGACGATCGCGTGTGCGCCTTGACCTTCCCTGTGCCCTTGCCCTGCCCTGCCCAGCACGATCTGGCCGCCGACATTCTACACGGATAGCAAATGAGGGTCTGAGTCTTCATGTCTTTCCCCTGGAGCTACGCTTCCCACCTGGGAAGCTTTCAAAGCAAACTGGCTGGGACTCCACCCTCAGGTTTCCGATTCCATCACCTGGGGTGTGGCCCTGCCATGGTGTTTCCGACAAGTTCCCACGTGACGCGGCGAGGCCGGCTGCAAAGCTCTGCTCTGGGTCTTTGTTTTGCAGTTTGGAGTAGAAGCATCAACAACGCAGTTAAGCACCAATTCAATGACCCCCTATTTAGTACCTGGCATATTTTGTACTGGGCATGGGACTTGGTTATTGCGCCCCACGTAATTACAGGGTACAGTCCGGGCTGAGAGCCACTTCCCCAGGGATATACACGTCCAGCCCCTGCCTAGGAGGTGTTCCTGGTGGATCTACCTCTTCCTTCAAGTTTACTGTTAAGGGGAGGGATGATTTTTATAGAGAAGGGAGAGTTTCGAAAATGCCAAGTCTCTTAGCTCAGTGTCCGTGCCAGACCCTGCCCTGCTCCAACAGCCCTAGGGCCCCTCTTTCCTGTTCCCTTCAGCCTCTGTTCTTGCTTTTTTGCTGAATCAGCAGAGCATAAAAGTGTCGTCAGATCAACTAGCATCTGCTCCATGCTATGGCCATGTAGGTAGGCAGTGGCTTCTGTCCCACCAGCCACATGGCCACAGTCGTCCAGTTGCCCAGGAGGGGAAGGTGAGTGTAGTATGCCGTCACCACCCTCAGCAGCCTCTCGCGCCACGTCCTGTGACTCGACCCGCATAGTCCTCCCCTCCCAGTGCCCCATCTGGAAATGTAACTCATCTGCCTCTCCAGGGGCTAAAAATCTGATAAATTAATTTCCTTTTAAGATATAAGTGGATTGATAAAGCTTAGTACAGTTACCATCTTAGAGATGCCTCTATTCTGTTGGCCATAGTACCTCCACGTTGAAAGCATGAAGATTCTGTAATGTACATTGGGAGAGAATTCCCCACAGGTCTCTCACATTGCTGTGTGTCTTGCAGGCAAGGCACTAACTGCCTTTGTCCAAAGCTGTCTTTTCCAGAATGACTGTATAGCAAACAGCCTTGAAAGATACAGATCGTTTCTCTCTGGAGCAAAGGGTAAGCATGTTTCCTGCCTATGATAAAAGATTTATATCTTCTGAGCTCAGGGTTTCTCTCTGTAATGCACCTGCTCTGTGTGGGGGCACCCACCTGTGCCCATCCACTTCCAGTACCCCATGGCACTGGAAGACAAGAGGAACTGCCGTAAAGATGCAGATGCCTGTGCTGCCTGTGCCACGAGTGACAGGCTTTTGTCTCTGACCTCGGAATCTCATGCCTCCTACAGAATCTCTGAAATGGGCAGGCTGATGTGTTAGCTCACAAGTGGTGAAATCTCAGTCTTTCACAGTTTCTGGCACTATGTTCACACGGTGGATGATTACACAGCTGTCAGAATGAATGCACTGCAGTGAGACACAACATGGTAAAACTCAGCAACGCAATAGTAAGGCAAAAAGTAGTCTAAAACCACTACAGAAAGCATAATACCACGTTAGTAAAGTTAAGCACGTCTATATTAACACACTTTTTAGGAATACCTATGGGTGCAAAACTATTTTTTAAAAAGTGAAAGTGGAGAAGCAGGGACATGGGATTTAGGATGATGGTCAGCTGGGGGTGAAGAGCTAGGGGATGGTGCGGGAGCATGGGATCAGGTGCAGCCGTGTGGTTTAAGGCAGGTTACAGCCAAAATCCTGGCTTCTGTTTGGGTTGTAGACACTCCATCCACATTATCAAAATAAAACTAGTAGCTCACCGTATTGGCCAATGAATGAAACTGTACTATGTGAAGCAAGGATTATTATTAATTTAGTTTGTTTACCTGAAAATAGTTAGATAAGGATGGACAGATAAATAGATTAAATAAATAAATGCATGGATGAATAGACGGATGGATACATAAACAACAGACAAAAAGCTTGGCGGAAAACCTCCTTCCTGAGGAAGTTTCTTACTCAGGAACTCTTGTCCTTTCTTTTAATCTAAAGATGAAATGAGACATCTTATCGGGAATATTGGTTTAGAGGACTGAGTACCAATGCCACGTGGCAGCGCTTTTTTTTTTCTTTTTTTTTTTTTTTTTTTTTTTGCATAAACACCTGTGATAGCAATTTCTTACATTGCGCAGCCCAGAGACATCCTTCAAGTCCCCCAGTCTGGGCGTGGTCAACTTTGCTGTATGTTCAGGGAGACCCAGCCACAGCATTGAGGGAATTTCTAGAAAAACTCAACAGCTGACCTCTTTGCCTGGCTCCCTGAAGTCCCAAAGAGGCTGAGGGACCCTGGGAACAACTGGAATTGCGGGTTTCTCCCTTGGGTGTTCGCGGGCCTGGGCACAGCGCGATGGGAAACGCAGGTGCCGCCCACCCAGTCGGCAGTTCCGGACCTGCACGGCCGTGCACTCTGCCCCCAGGTGGCGCTCTTGGGATCTGGCCCGCATGGCGGGGTCCTTTGGCTCAGCTTGTTCTGAGCCCCCAGAGCTTGAGCTGCCTGTGCCAATGTCCCCCTAAAAGGGATGCCAGTTTACAGACTTTTCTAGGCCTCTAGGCTTGAGGTAAATCTTACAAGTTAATTTCCTTGAAAGACAGAATTGCTGTGGGTGAAGAAAGGCTTGTATGGCTTGTATGGCCTGAGCAGGGAATGAGGTGTGTAATTTAAAATTACTTCATGGCTGGGCATGATGGCTCACGCCTATAATCCCAACACTTTGGGAACCTGAGGCAAGCAGATCACCGGAGGTCAGGAATTCAAGACCAGCCTGGGCAACATGGTGAATGAAACCCCGTCTCTACTAAAAATACAAAAATTAGCCGGGCATGGTGGCGCATGCCTATAATCCCAGCTACTCAGGAGGCTGAGGCAGGAGAATTGCTTAAACCCGGGATGTGGTGGTTGCAGTGAGCCAAGATTGCACCACTGCACTCCAACCTGGGCAACAGAGCAAGACTCTGTTAAAAAATAAATAACATAAAATAAAATCAGTTCCTAGAAAATGAAATATCGACCGTTGAAATGTGGAGTTTCTGAGGCTACGCAGCCCAGGCCCTGGCTGGAGATTTGTGCTAATAAGCCTCGTGACCCTGGGCACAGCCCAGCTTTATCACCTTCCCTGTGGGTCAGATGCGGAGGCAGCAGCCAGTCTCCAAGTCTGCTTCCAGTGCTGAGATGCCGTCATTCCTGCTTCCACACCACACCCTGGTCCTCGCTGCAGGTGTCCGTTTCCCAGGCCCCTGAAAGAGGAATTGGAAGATAAAGATTCTATTTCAGGCACGATGACCGCTCTCTGATCCCTTCGTCTACACAGCAATTGCACACAACTCCTTTGAGGTTGTTGTTTTTCATCCATGGCCTTCGGTTCACGATGCCCATCACGCCCCCAGTCCAGGAGGATTCATTAGACAATGTCTGTGAAGGGCTGACCTCATCAAAGGGAAGTGCTATATGAATCCGAGGCATTAAAAATAGAAGTGAAGCCAGAAGATGTTTAATCTCAAGGGTAAACGTTTCCTGTGCTGCTCGATAAACCGCACGTGTTCAAAGAGGAGCAGGCAACACAATGCAAGGAGGAGGACGGCGTCTACACGGGAGTAAAAGCAGGCCAGCCCATCGGGCGCTGGAAGAAAAGGCACCCCCGTGCTTAGAGGCCCACTGATGACCAGAGGGGCTGTCCTGGGGCCCACATACGCAGGAGGTGAACAGCATCCCCGTGCCTTGCTCGGCGTTTCCGTGAGGTGTCAAGGCAGCCCTAAGCGGTGCATGTGCCCTGCAATGGGAAGGCGGGGTGGGGCCCTAACCTTCCCCTGGACCTTGGGCAAGCACTTCCTGCCTCTGAGTCCCATCTTGGAGAGGAGGGCTGGCCATACACTTTTCAGTTTGCACAAAGGCCTGTGATGCCTTTGCTGCATGAATTCCATCAAACCCATCCCTGCCTGAGAGGCGTCGGAGCACCGTGGCCAAGAACCCAGATCCTGGAGCCTTGGTTCAAATCTCACTTCTGTCACTTAATATTTCCCCCAATATTTTGTTAAGGAAAAATTTAAACATGGAAAAGCTGCCAGAATGGCTCAGTGAGCACCTGCCCACCCGCCGCCTGCCCGCCACCCACTCCTACATGCTAGCAATGGACATTTTATCACATCTGCCCCCAGGTCCAATGCTCTGTCCACCAACCCATCTTGCTTTCATGTATTTCAAATGAACTTTAGGCCAGGCAGCCTTCCTATCAGGAAGGCTGAGGCATTGGCCTCCCATGGCTGCTCCAGCAACATCTCCAAACCAACAAACAACTCTGCCCAAGAGCAACCAGAGTCGTGTGGATTTCACTTTACAAGTAAGATGCCAGATTAGGGAGAAGGATTACAAATGGGTAGGAAAGTCAGGGATGGTCCCTGTGTGCCTGAGTGCTGTCACTGAACAGCAGCGGGCATCCGTGATTCCGATGCCCACATCAGGGCCCTTCTGAGCACCAGGTAGGTGGCATGTCCAGCACTCCCAGACCCACCAACAGATGACTCGGAAAGGCTGGGCTTTTACTGAAACATCTGTACCAAGAAGTCATCTGCTAATAGTTTTCTTTGTCAGACTCTCTGTTTTCATGTTTCATCATGAGCAATCTCAGCGTTAGAGGAAGTTTGGAGAAAAATAACCCATTGCCCACACCTAACTATTTATGTTTATTTTTATTTATCTATTTTTTTATTTTTTTGCCGGGCCACTTCATGAGACCTCATGTAGTTCACCCTCGGCAACCTCAACATGTCTCTGAAAAACAAGGATGTTCTCCTGCACAGTCAAAGTACCATTCTCACACCTAAGAAAGTCAGTAACGATTCCTTAATACCATCTCCTATCGTGTCCAAATTCAGAATGTCCCCGTTGTCCCCACATGCCTTGTATTACAGAACCAGTCAAAGTTCATGCATTGTATTTTGTTTTTCTGTCTCTATTGCCTCTTTATTTTATTTTATTTTATTTTATTTTATTTTATTTGAGACATAGTCGCACTCTCTTGCCCAGACTGGAGTGCAGTGGTGCCATCTTGGCTCACTGCAACCTCTGCCTCCCGGGTTCAAGCAATTCTGCTGCCTCAGTCTCCTGAGTAGCTGGGATTACAGGTGTCCGCCACCAGGCTCAGCTAATTTTTTGTGTTTTTAGTAGAGATAGGTTTCACCATGTTGGCCAGGCTGGTCTCGAACTCCTGACCTCAGGTGATCCACCCACCTCAGCCTCCCAAACTGTTGGTGGCGTGAGCCACCATACCTGACCTAGAAAAATAATTTACTCTTTAAATTTGATTGGATTTTAACAAAAGTATGTTCATGCCTCCTCAATACATCTTCTATGAGAACTGCATACAGACATTCACCTGTTCACAAGAAACTTTAGTAAATTATTTAAATGTTACTGTGCCCTCCCTGGATTGGACTTTGGAATTTGCCTTTCATTAACACACTACAGTCTGACATGGGGCTAAAATATAAACACTGTCTCTATTTTAAAATAAGTGATCCTACTTAAAATTAGCAAAATGGAACCCTGTTAGGCTGTGAAATGAAGTGCCCAGTTGGACGTCAAGCAAGTGCGGCCTCCCCATTGCCTGACCATCCACCAGTCTCCCTGGAGTGGTGGCTGCTGCATCTGACCCTGACTCAGATGTTAGTTGACTCCAGAGTGTCCGGAGTTTGCCAGCTTCCTGTGTAGAGCCAGAGTGAGACGGGCAGGCAGCCAGGAACGCACCTGCAACAGATGCCCATTGGATGGAGTTTCTCTCCCGGCTTCCCTGCCCTGCTCCCGGAGTCTCCCAGGTCCTAGGCCCTCACTGCCTGAGGCCACAGCCCTGAGTATGCATCAGCTTTTCCTCCCTGAGCTGTGCCAGAGCCCTGAGCCCACCTCGTACCCCCAGGATCCCATCCCTGTCCTCTGGCTTCAGGCTGGAAAGATGGCGGTGTCAGTGGCCCCCAAAAAGGTCATGTCCACTAGAAGCTGTGAATGTGACTTTATTTGGAAATAGGGTCTTTGTGGGCCAGGTGCAGCGGCTCACATCTGTAATCCCAGAACTTTGGGAGGCCAATGCAGGTGGATCACGAGGTCAAGAGATGGAGACCATCCTGGCCAACATGGTGAAACCCCATCTTTACTAAAAACACAAAAATTAGCTGGGTGTGGTGACCTGCACCTGTAGTCCCAGCTACTCGGGAGGCTGAGGCAGGAGAATCACTTGAACCTGGGAGGCAGAGGTTGCAGTGAGCCGAGATCACGCCACTGCACTCCAGCCTGGTGACAGAGTAAGACTCCGTCTCAAAAAAAAAAAAAAAAGGAAATAGGGTCTTTGTGGGTGGAATCAAGTTAAGGTGAGGTCACACTGAAGTAGGGTGAGCTTGGATGCAACCACCAGTGAGTGTCCTTAAAGGAAGGAAATTGGGCCGGGTGCAGTGCCTGTAATCCCAGCACTTTGGGAGGCCAAGGCAGGTGGATCACCTGAGTTAAGGAGTTCGAGACCAGCCTGGCCAACATGGTGAAACCCCATCTCTACTAAAAATACAAAACTTAGCCTGGTGTGGTGGCAGGCGCCTGTGATCCCAGCTACTGAGGAGGCTGAGGCACAAGAATGGCTTAAACCCAGGAAGCGGAGGTTGCAGTGAGCTGAGATGGTGCCACCGCATTCCAGCCTGGGTGACAGAGCGAGAGTCCATATCAAAAAAAAAAGAAGAAGGAAATCTGAACACAGACACACACACACACACACACACACACACACACACACACACACACACACGGGAGACCAGCAAGTGACGTTCAAGGCAGAGGCTGGAGCGATGTGTCCACCAACCAGAGGACACCGAGGATGGCGAGGATGGCGAGGACAGTGAGGATGGTGAGGATGGCGAGGACACCGAGGACGGCGAGGACACCGAGGACGGCGAGGACGGCGAGGACGGCGAGGATGGCGAGGATGGCGAGGACACTGAGGATGGCGAGGATGGCGAGGACGGTGAGGACGGCGAGGACGGCGAGGATGGCGAGGACACAGAGGACGGTGAGCATGGCGAGGACGGCGAGGATGGCGAGGACGGCGAGGACGGCGAGGACGGCGAGGACACCGAGGATGGCGAGGACGGCGAGGACGGTGAGGACGGCGAGGATGGCGAGGATGGCAAGGATGGCTGGCAGCCAGCAGGGGCTGGGAGAGGGGTGAAGGGTCTTCCCCAGAGCCTGCCAAGGGGGCATGTTTCTGCCTACACTTTGACCTTGGGCATTCGGTCCCCAGAACGGTGAGAGAACGCACTTCTGTTGTGTATACTATGCAGTGTGTGACACTTTGTTACGGCAGTCCTAGGACATGAACTCAGGAGGCGTCAGTGACTGGCCAGGGTGTCCTTTCCAAGAAGGTTTTAAAGCAGGACAGTGTCTCAGCTCAGGAGGAAACATCTAAAATGGTGAAGGCGTCGGACCAGCTACTCAGCAGGTAGAAATCATATCTCAGAATGCAAGAAGAGAATTTGAGAAAACTGCTTTGATCTGCAGGTTTTGAAGGAACGGTGGGCATTTTGATGTCACTTTTCTGAGCAATTGTGCTCAAGGCGACCATGTAGACATGGGAAGGCATAACTGTCTGTTTCTAAGCACTGCTGGTAACAGACACCCCTGATCAGACAACCCGATCATTCCTCATCCCAGACCTCCCCCTTTTCCCTGCTAAGGAGATGCTGGCCAGGGAAGAGGCGAATTCACTCAATAATTCAGCAAAATAACTCGATGACTTTTTTTTTTTTTGAGACGGAGTCTCACTCTGTCACCCAGGCTGGAGTGCAATGGTGCCGGCTCGGCTCACTGCAACCTCCACTGCCTCCCAGGTTGAAGTGATTCTCCTGCCTCAGCCTCCTGAGTAGCTGGGACTACAGGAGCCCGTCACCACGGCTGGCTAATTTTTGTATTTTTAGTAGAGACAGGGTTTCACCATGTTGGCCAGGCTGGTCTGGAACTCCTGACCTCAGGTGATCTGCCCACGTCGGCCTCCTAAAGTGATTTAAAAAGGAAATATTCCCTCCTCCCCACTTTCATCTGGTTGTTCACATACTAATTCTGAGAAACACAGCCATTGCACTTTGATACTAATTATTCCATTTCTTACAATCTTTAACCAATACTCTGACAAATTGTTAATTTAAGAAGAATTTGCAAAGCAAGTAACCCTACTATGTTTTTTAAAAGGCAGACAAGAAAAGAGTGTGTGAAAGTGTCTCTTACTGTAACCTGCCCTGGAAGGGTAAGCCTTTTAAAATCACAGCCTAACACACCTGAATTCTGCATCGAGAACTTCAGCTTTCTGTGGTGTGTGACCGTATAATACAAGCTACATATGGTGGTGACCTACCAGTTTGGGTTGAATTAAATATTGAAAGCAAACTCCAGAAATATCTAAAAGGAAACACACCAGCAATATTGTATTGATTGTGGTAGGCTGCTTAATAATTAATTCCCTCACCTCAGTTTTTGAATGTTGTTCTGTTTATGCCTCAGTATCAAAAACAACTGAGAAAGGGGCCGCAGCTCCGGCCTTCATCTGCTATTGCAAATTCGGAGCAGGGTGCTACTGGGGGGTGGGGGAGTAAAGAGAACGGGCCCTTTCTTCGTGTGTCCACTTCGTAGGAACCCAGGCAAGAGTACCCAAGCAGACCTCTGCTTAAAGCAAAAACAGACTGAAGTTGTTTTCCCCTCAACACGGTGACCATCCCCAGGTTTAGCAGAGAGAATCTAAACAATGACCCTTGCAAACACAGCAAGGATACCGACAAACGCTGGAAAGCTCAGCTGTGGAGTTTTAGTCGTGGCTGAGTTTAGGTGGCCTTGCTTCAACGCCATCAGGGTTTTGAACACCGTCGGGGGGAAGACGCCAGTCTGCTCAAGTGGTGCCCAAACCAGAAATGCCAGTGTCATGTCCACGTTTCCGCTTCTTCGGAGAAGGGACCTGTCTCACACGTCCAGCCAGAGCTTCTGAGCTGGAGATGCAACCCTGCGACAGAGAAGCCCTGGTTTGTAATCATACCGAGCTTGGGCAAGGAGGCCGGAAAAGGTAGGTTCTATGTCTTGGGTGGGGCCTTGCTTAATTCTTTTTTGTTGTTGTTGTAGTTTTGAGATGGAGTTCCACTCTTTCACCCAGGCTGGAGCGCAATGGCACGATCTTGGCTCACTGCAACCTCCACCTCCTGAGTTCCAGTGATTCTCCTGTCTCAGCCTCCCAAGTAGCTGGGATTACAGGCATGCGCCACCATGACCGGCTAATTGTTGTATTTTTTAGTAGAGACAGGGTTTCACCATGTTGGCCAGGCTTATCTCAAACTCATGACCTCATGATCCGCTTGCCTCAGCCTCCCAGAGTAGTGGGATTACAGGCGTGAGCCACCGTGCCACGCCTCCTTGCTTAATTCTTAAAAGGCCTGATTGAGTTACGGATTTAACAACTGAATTCGTGAAAATAATCTCACTGGAAGGATTTTGCCAACAGGAAGAGTTCGGGATTGTTCATGGGCATTTTTTGTTTTGTTTTGTTTTCCTCATCACATGCAAAGCCTTCCTTGTTCCACCCACAGATGGGAGATGGAGACGAGTCTTTTCCTGACCAGGTTGTCAAGGCTCACGGGGGGCACACAGACCCTTCGGTCAGCTCCTACCTGCAGCCGGGAGCGGTACTGAGTGCCCAGCTTCAGGTTTCACGGATCTCGCAATGATCCTGACAGGCGCAGCAGCAGGGGGCCCAAGCAGGGTGGTGACTGCCCTGGGGGGCTCAGATAAAGCCAGCAGCACAGGAAAGCACAGCAGGGGCGGGTTTGTAAAGCAAGGGTGATGGTGAGGGGAGGGTTACCACATGGAGCCTGGGGCCGGGCCAGGCAGGAGAAAGAGGGCCTCATTCTGTTTTTCTAACCTTTGTTAGTTTCAGGTTTTAAGTACTGTGAGTATTCAAATTTGGGCTCCTTGCATTACCTGGTTTATGCAGGTAGAATGTAGAATACTATATATTAGGCCAAAAGACCAGTGAAAGCAACATTTCCTACATTTACTCTTTTTTTTTTTTTTTTTTTTTGAGACAGAGTCTCACTCTGTCGCTCAGGCTGAAGTGCAGTAGCGTGATCTCGGCTCACTGCAACCTCTGCCTCCTGGGTTCAAGCAATTCTCCCCCCTCAGCCTCCCGAGTAGCTGGGATTACAGGTACGTGCCACCACGCCTGGCTAATTTTTGTATTTTTAGTAGAGATGGGGTTTACCATGTTAGTCAGGCTGGTCTCGAACTCCTGACCTCACGTGATCCACCTGCCTCGGCCTCACAAAGTGCTGGGATTACAGGGTGAGCCACCACACCTGGCCTCGTCCATTCAATCATTCGTCCATTCAATTCATATTTCTCAAGCACCATCTAAGAGCCGAGCCCTGTACTGGGCCCTGGGTGTGTGGGAAGCTCCACATAGAGCTGCGCTGAGTCCGGTCCTTCCCGGGGCCGCCGCTGGGATTGGTCAGTGCTGCCTCCCACGCGATGCTGTCTCATCGGCGTACCTCCGAGAACACACTGGGTTCTCTTGGCTTTGTGCTGGGAGTCCCGTCATTTGATAACTGACATTGATAACTCGCGTAGGCACCCGAGACTCTACTTCACTGGCTGACATCGCTGATCTAAAATTGGGCGCGCGCCCACTCACTCCCGAGACCGCCCAGTTCCTACATCTTGCTGCAAGAGGCCATTTGGTCTGGGGCAAGGTGGCCTCTGGGTAGCCAGCCTCCACTTCAGCACAGCGTCTGCGAGGTTCAGAAATGCTCACTTCTCTCCAGAAGGCAGGGTGGGGTCCTTGCCACGGTGGGACCCCTCCATCTGACGCTAAGAACTGCAGCGGTGGTTTCTACTCTTGGCCTTTAGGTGCCGTGTCCCCAGGGGCCTTCTGTTTCCCGCCTAGGCACTAGACAGAGCCAGCCCTCCTTCTCTTCTGCCCACACCTAGAGGCCACACCCAGCCCTGGTCCCGTCCCCGCTCCCAGAAGCAGATCCAGTATCACACTCAGGAATGAGAAATTTGTACGGAAGAGTTAACGGGCAGGGGACTCACTCTTCATGCAGCAGAAGGTAACCTGATTCCTCCTGGGCAGTTGTGTTCCCCTCCTAAGTTCTCTCCTTTTGCTCATCCCCACAGTCTCTATGTGAAGCATTGACCTCTCTCTCCCTTGTTGTGAACCATTTACCTCTGAACTCAGCTTCTGGGCTCCATTCAGCCAAACAAAAGTCATGCGGATACTCGGACCATCTATGGTACTTTAAGGGTGCTCCTCGGTGGTCTCAGCCTCCGCACACCTTCCCAACACAAGATGATGGACATATTTTTTCAACTAACAAAATATAAGCAAACAGGCCGGGCGCGGTGGCTCTTGCCTGTAATCCCAGCATTTTGGGAGGCCAAGGCAGGTGGATCACGTGAGGTCAGGAGTTCGAGACCAGCCTGGCCAACATGGTGAAACCTTGTCTCTATTAAAAATACAAAAATTAGCCAGGCATGGTGGCGGGCGCCTGTAATCTCAGCTACCCTGGAGGCTGAGGCAGGAGAATTGCTTGAACCCGGGAGGCGGAGGTTGTAGTGAGCCAAGATTGTGCCATTGCACTTCAGCCTGGGCAACAGAGAGAGGCTCGGTCTCAATAATAATAATAAGAAGAAGCAAACAAAAATATCCTGGCTGGAATGCTATTGCGAAGGAAACATGTTCTCCTTGATATGGGTGGGTGAGGCTTTTCCTGTGATCTAGCCTTGCGCCCTCGGGTCACTGACTCTCCCTGGGCCTCAGTTTCCCCAGCTATAAAAGGAAAGGGTTGGTCTCATAGTCTCAAGTTCTAACTGGATCTGGAGCAACCGGGGACCACCATGGGAGAAGCGTCACTAACACAGAGAGACAATGGCCTCCTCTTCCCAAACGGAGTCATGGAACCATCTTTGGACCCATTAGCCAAATAGTCCTCATTCTCTGCATCATCTGGTTGGAGATGTCTAGAAAGAGACAGAATTCCAATTGTGTGCTAGGTGCCATAAAGAGACCCCTGCGCAGGTGGCTGAGGGGTTGCCATTCTGTCTCCCTGCAGGGCACTGACTTTCACACTAACAATGTCAACTCACCGACAACCCTAGGTGATTCTCCAGAAGTTCACGGCCAGCTGTCTGTTCTCACCACACAGAACCAATGCCCGTTCCCTTTTCCTCTAGCTCTGCCGTTGTTCCTACCTAAGTCACGTGCTGGTCCATCGAGCTCCCTGCATTTTAATGGTTGTTTTTCTGTTTGTTTGAGAGTGGAGGTTGCAAGAGAAGTCTGGTGTACAGCTTAGCGGGGGACAAGACCAAGCCCATGAATGCCGCTGCTATGCTAAAGCTTCCACACAGATCTTCTCTGGGCAAAGCCAGAACCTCATGCCTGTCAAACAAGTCAAAAGGGGTTTCTCTAAAAGCTTTGAAATGCAAGACTGATTCAAGGTAGAACTCAAAAATAACAATGACAACAGCTCCCCAAAGGGCCCACAGTCTCTATCTAAAGCCCTGGTGAGCTAGTCCATCACTCCAGAGCGTGTAAGCATGCAAAGCACTGCCGCGTGATCCCAGGCCCTATAAGCAAGGAAGGCACTACCCTTGAGGGAGGAGCCGTGTGTTAATTCCCATTTTAAAGCAAGTAGAAACCCAGGAAGGTAGAGTGATGTGCAGAAGAGAATCCTGTGGGTCAGAGATTCGGAGGTGCTGGGTCACACGACAAACCCAGGTTTCACCCTGTGCTCTGCCCACTCCGAGGCCCTGGGACCCAAATGTCATAAAACACTCATGCACTTCCCAGGGGCTCAGTGTAAATGGCGCACTCTTGGCACACCTGATTTTAACACTTGTCAAGCAGATAAGGCCTTGAGAAAATTTAGAAGAACAATGATTGGCATTTTGCCACTTAAAACCTTAAATGAACTCCCACTTTAAGACGTCAGCCTTTGAGGTTTATTATCAGGCAGCCTCTTCCACTGGAAAGATTCTCTGTTGCACTGAGGTCTCCGGCTTCACGTGCTGCACAAGAAAAGCACAGCTATTGTGCAAGGAGAATGAGAGGAGCAAAAATGAATATGAATCTGCTGCAAAATGCCCTCCTGATACTCATGTCTTATTCATGAATGTGCCTCATCAACATTGAGACCACAGGGAAATTTGTACTATAAGTGGGAATTCTAGAGAAAGTGGCTAACTTAAATTTTCTTACTTTAACCAGCTCTTGATGAATAATGCATAATATACAAGATGCTTATCAAGTTTGACTTAGAAAATGAGAAAGTAAATTTACTGAAATAAGAAGGAGAGAAAAAAACTCCAAATTATTCAAGGACTTGAGATCTACAATAACAACAAAATATCACAAGCACTTAAAAAAAGCTGACCAAGAGAAATTCCTCTCCTTAGTCATTTAGTCTACATGGAAAAAATCATCATCATTTATGGAGAACTTTATTTAATAAAATAGGCTGGCTGTGTGTAAAACACCCTCTTGTCCTATGTTCCTGTCAACAAAACGAAAATTCAACTTCTGCCTAACACCAGATGCCTAGATGGCCTGCAGTTTCCCTTCCAGCTGTCTGATAACATTGAACAGATAAAATCCTCCTTTAAGAAACAGAGAACTTTTAAGAGTCTGGCAGGCCAAAGAAGTTCTGCTTCAAAAATTAAAGATCTACAATTCTATTAGGACAAAAGGGAGCTTGGGAGCTCCCATGGGAAAGATTCCGTGTCTAGTCTGCAGAGCATCAGGCTTTGATGGGAAACTGGAACACTCAGCCAGCGCCATCTCCCCTGCCAGGAGACGGCCACGGACGGAGGTCACCTGCTCCTGCAGCTGTCGTGGCCACTGGCAGGTCTCAGCAGATCTCATGGTCCCTTAGTCCTGGGGTACCTGGGCATGAGAGGACAGGGACTCAGACTACAAGAGAGAGATGCTAATAAAAAGGAGAGAGTCAGATCCAAGTGACAGAGAGAGACAGAAAAGAGAGCGACTCACCAAAACCAGCACACTGTGGGCCCTTTGTGAACCCCAGATATCTGAGACAGACAGCTCTCAGTTAATTTAGAAAGTTTATTTTGCCAAAGTTAGGGATGAGTGCCCGTGACTCAGTCTCAGGAAGTCCTGGCATGTGCCCAAGGTGGTTGGGGCACAGCTTGGTTTTATACATTTTAGGGAGACATAACACATCAATCAACACGTGTGAGATGTATGTTGGTTCTGTCCAGAAAGGCGGGACAACTCGAAGCAGGGAGGGGGCTTCCAGGTCATAGGTAGGTAAGAGACAAAAGGTTGCATTCTTTTGAGTGTCTGATCAGCCTTTCCAATTCCAGCCATCAGATATGCATCTATGTCAGTGAGCGGAGGGCGAGTTTGAGTTCTGTCTGTCCTTTGTCCACAGGGAAATTCCTTATGAGGGAGGTATGTCACTCTTTTTTTCTTTCTTTCTTTCTTTCTTTTTTAATCTTAGTAGCTTCCTTTTTAAGGAATAGAATGGGATGCAGCTTTGCCCTAAGCAGTTCTCAGCTTGACTTTTCCCTTTAGCTTACTGATTTTGGGGTGCCAAGATTTATTTTCTTTTCACACCTTTCAAGGCAATCCTGCTCTGTCTGCAGAGATGACAGAAAGCTGCACTCAAGCGGGACCCAGCCCCTTTCCATTATGGACGCAGAGAACTGAGGCCCAACACAGTCCTGGCACCCAGCCCCCTTTCCATTACAAACGCAGAGAACTGAGGCCCAAGACAGTTCCTTGGCTGCAGAAGAGAAAGAAAATGAGAAAACCAGGAAGAGCAAGAAAAGGAGGAACAGGAAAGGGAGTTTATCAGTTTCAAATAACACTGTTTAATGAAGCAATTTTTAACTCATTTTTATTTTATTAAGTTGAACCTAATTCAATGTTTTACATTGAACCATATGAAATAGCCATTTTTGCCAGTAAAACTGGAGAATTTCATGTAGTTCCACTTGATGTATCGTCGGTGGGAGTCAGTTCTGACTTGATATATCGTTGGTGGGAGTCAGGTCTGACTTGATATATTGTTGGTGGGGGTCAGTTCTGAGTTGGACCCACATGTTTAGACCCTCTGGGTCAGGAATTCACAGACTTTTTCAAATTACCAAATTCAGGAATGAAAGAGTGGATGACACTGTTGACCAGCCTTACAGAAACAGAAAGGGATGTGATGGGGATTGCTAGGAGAACTGTGTGCCAATAAAGTAGGTAACTAAGAGGAAATGGAAATTTTTACAATAATAAAAGCTACTGAAATGAACTCAAGAAGAAACAGAAAATCTGAATACACCTATAACAAGTAAAGAGACTTAATTAGTAATTTTAAATTTTCCTACAAAGAAAAGCCCAGGCCCAGATAGAAGTAATACCAAAACTTCACTAACTCTTCCAAAAAATAGAAGACCACTTCTAAGGAACACCTCCTGATTCACTGTATGAGGTCAGTATTACCCCAATACCAAAAGCAGGCTAATACTGTCATCACAAGAAAACTACCTCAATGAATATAAATGCAGCCGGGTGTGGTGGCTCAGCCTGTAATCCCAGTACTTTGGGAGGCCGAAGTGAGCAGATTGCCTGAGGTCAGGAGTTTGAGACCAGCCTGGCCAACATGGGGAAACCCCATCTCTACTAAAAATACAAAAATTAGCCAGGCATGGTGGCGACACCTGTAATCCCAGCTACTGGGGAGGCTGAGGCAGGAGAATCACTTGAACTCAGGAGGCGGAGGTGCAGTGAGCCAAGATGGCACCATTGCACTCCAGCCTGGGCGACAGAGTGAGACTCCGTCTCAAAATAATAATAATAATAATGATAACGCGATTTGCTTTGCTTTTTCTTTTACATTGGCTAATTACAAGACACATTAAGAAGGTACTTGAGCACAATTAACTGGGGGTTGAGGGAGAGGGAAGGCCAGAGGCAGACAGAGCTCTAGTGATGATCCTGTGGGTTGAACCGTACAGTCTAGAGTGGCATGAGGGCGTGCACACGCGTCTCCTCTCCTGGCTTGCAATCCCACCGGCCTCACACCCCTGCAAGGTGCTGTCTTCAAGATTATTATAAATAGCAGTGCTGGGGGACTGCAGGACCAAGGACCTGGATGTACTCAATGTGATTGATTACAATGTGATGTGATTACAAAAACTTAACGTTTCAGCTGGGCGTGGGTGGCTCACACCTGTAATCCCAACACTTTGGGAGGCCAAGGCGGGGTATCACCTGAGCTCAAAACTGGCCTGGCCAACATGGTGAAACCCCATCTCTACTAAAAATATAAAATTAGCCAGGCATGGTGGCACATGCCTATAATCCCAGGTACTTGGGAGGCTGAGGCAGGAGAATCGCTTGAACCCAGGAGGTGGAGGCTTCACTGAGCCAAGATCACGTCATTGCACTCCACCCTGGGCAACAGCGAGACTCCGTCTCAAGAAAAAAAAAAAAAAGAAGTAACATTTCTTAGCATAAAGAAAAAAGAGAATACTTCAAGGAAAAAGACAAGTATCAAACTGCAAAAAAAATTTGCAAACATATGACAAGAGGCTAATTTACTGATGCAACAAATTTTACAAAAGAAAAAACCACAGTGGTAAAACTGTCTGAATATGCATCCAGAAATAAACAAAATGGCCAATTGACCAACTTCACGATGAATCTGAGAAATGTCAATTCTAACAGTGATTAAATATTTCACACCTATTTGATTAGCCCTCAGCATTGGAGAGACAGGGAGGTGAATCCGGAACTCTCCTTGGCTGCTGGGGGAGAATAAATTGGTAGAATCTTTTGGGGAGAAATTTGACTTTATAAATGAAAATCATCTATTAAGATGCACACTTTTAAGGTGGAGATTCCACTTAAGACTTCACGCTGAGACAATGGTGATCTGTATGGACAAAGGTTCACTCTGGCATATTTTGCAATAACCAAAAATGAATACAATATGGACGTCTATCACAAGGAGACTGGAGAGATGAATATGATAGAGTGATATAATTCAATATGGGTTTTTTATTTTTATTTATTTTTTTTTGAGATGGAGTTTCACTCTTGTTGCCCAGGCTGGAGTGCAATGCGATCTCGGCTCACTGCAACCTCCGCCTCCTGGGTTCAAGCAATTCTCCTGCCTCAGCCTCCCAAGTAGCTGGGATTACAGGTGCCTGCCACCACACCCGGCTAATCTAATTTTTTGTATTTTTAGTACAGACAGGGTTTCACCATGTTGGCCAGGCTGGTCTCAAACTCCTGACCTCAGGTGATCTGCCTGCCTCAGCCTCCCAAACTCTGCTTTTTTTTTAGTAGCATAGGAGGACCTGATACCTCCCTGCAGCCAAAACCCCTCCTAGCTCCAGGTGGACAGGAGGTGAGAGGGAGAGGAATCACCACAAGAAAAGGTCAGAATCGTCTGAGAGAACGTTTCTCCTTGGGGGAATCCCACAGCAGTGGAATAAAGCAAAGAACCTAGGAGACAGATGCCTCCTGCCAGGGGGCCTGATGTGGGTGCCTTGTTTACTAAGCATTTATTTATCACTGCTAAACACCCCCAGGCCGGTGGCTGAGCTGACCTCAAGATCTGAGATAAAGCTAGGGTGGGTAGAAGCAGAAAGTACAACTGCATAATTTCAGTGCCAATGAATAAAGGAAAACGGTTGTTGGCTAAATGGATCAAGCAGCCCACCCCACAGCCCCAAATACAGCATACGGTAGGAAAACAAATAAGTTATTTCCACTGGCATTGATGCTTTTGGGTCTTTTTGAGAATAATTTACTATAATTCGTGTAGAAAACCTTTGATTTTAGAAAAATGTTTTAAATAAATTAATTTTTTCACAGTCTACTGTTGATACAGGAGTTAAGAAGAAATTAGGCAGATAGTAAGGGTGTGGAAGTCCTCGGTGCGGTTTTTCCTTTTAATGAAAATCAGCCCCAAATCATTTTCCTTTCTAACAAAGAGCAGCCTGTGAAATCGAGCTGCAGACATAGATGCAGGCAGTTGTGCCAATCATTTTCAAGATGGCGGCCCCCTCTTGTCTGTAATCCCAGCTACTCGGGAGGCTGAGGCAGGAGAATTGCTTGAACCCAGGAGGCGGAGGTTGCAGTGAGCCGAGATCGCACCACTGCACTCCAGCCTGGGCGACAGAGTGAGACTCCATCTCAGATAAATAAATAAATAAATAAAGCAGGACTCAATTACAAATCCAAAAAGTGCTGGTGCTCTCAGACAACAGTGGAGGAAATTACCTCTCAATTCTCCTTTAAGGCAAACGGGTCGTGTCAAGGTCAGGAAGAGCAAATGCGTCTCCACTCAAAGGTGCGATTCAGAGCTGCCGGTGGCTGGGGCCCGTCCGCAGCCTTCCCTGAGCTCCCCTGTGAATGCTGTGCGGATTGTTCAGATGGAGATCACTGAACACCTACTAAGCGCCAGGTGTCTGGGGGAGCACGTCACTGAACACCCACTGAGCTCCAGGCGTCTTGAGGGGCACTTTCCACCGATTTTGTCCCTGATGGCAGAGCCGCTGTGGGACTGGAGGTCATAGAATTCTCTTCATCACACAGACAAGGACATGGAGGGTGGAGATGGCCGAGGGTGGCTACGGGCATCTTATCAGGAAGGAGTCTGCCTGGGACCCCACTCAGGGCTCACACCCACACACACACTCTCCATGCCTGGGACCCACACAGGGCGCGCACACACACACACACACACACACACACACACACACACATCCTCCACCTGATTCTTCTGCCTCCTGGATTCTGTCTGGGGCTGAGACCCAGGTAGCGGCCAGCACCAGGTGTCTTTCTGAAGCAGCCAGTACAGAGACCCAAGACAAGGCCCTGGGGCCTCCTTCCTGATGGGGCCTCCTTCCTACTAGGACCTCCTTCCTGGTGGGGTCTCCTTCCTGGTGGGACCTCCTTCCTGATGGGGCCTCCTTCCTGTTGGGGCCTCCTTCCTGATGGGGCCTCCTTCCTGGTGGGACCTTCTTCCTGGTGGGACCTCCTTCCTCATGGGACTTCCTTCCTGGTGGGACCTCCTTCCTGGTGGGGCCTCCTTCCTGTTGGGACCTCCTTCCTGATGGGGCCTCCTTCCTGTTGGGGCCTCCTTCCTGGTGGGGCCTCCTTCCTGGTGGGACCTTCTTCCTGGTGGGACCTCCTTCCTCATGGGACTTCCTTCCTGGTGGGACCTCCTTCCTGGTGGGACCTCCTTCCTGGTGGGGCCTCCTTTCTGATGGGACCTCCTTCCTGGTGGGGCCTCCTTTCTGATGGGACCTCTATCCTGGTGGGGCCTCCTTCCTGGTAGAGCCCATGGGGAGGAGGTAGGGACGGGACTCCCCCTCCTAAGGAGTCTGTCTGCCATGTGCATAGAGACACCTGACACCAGGGTCACAAAGGACCCGCCTTCCCCTTAGTCCCAAACTGAGGGGTTCCCAGAAGGATGGGACTTGCGGTGTTAAAACCAGGAATGTCCCAGGGAGGTGGGAGTGAGCCCAGAGCCCAGGCTTTTGCTGGAGCCCCCGAGTCGCAGGGCAGTGGCCTGGACTATCTCACCAGCTGGAGGAACACTGCCACCTGCCAATGGCGGCACTGCTAATTTCCGGTCACCGCAGTCAGCTAAGATTCATCCCACCTGCCTAGGGGCTAGGCCTCAAACCCACGTCATCTGCGTTGTCTGCAGCTGTCAGCGTCTTGGAATGTGCACCCACAGGGCTCACACGCTGAGCGAACTTGGCTGTGTGATTAGAGCCCCGGGCTTCTGGGTGAAGATTTAATTTCTCTTGTTAAATAATTTACAGCTCTGGCAGGCAGCTGAAGAAGTTTCATTTGCAAATGCCAGTGTTTTTAGCTTAGCTTTTTCCCTCAAAACTCTGAGTTTGAAAGAATAAACTTAAAAAGGATACGTTTCCAGGCTTTCTTCTCCCTTCATTGAATGGTGTTTCTTCATGTAGCTTGAGGAAATGGCTTGGAGTCAGTTGCAGGAAATAAAGTGAAAATTAGAGACTCACAGCCATATTGGCAAGAATGAGAGAGAGACAGACAGAGAGGAAGGTAGGAAGAAAAGAAGGCACATAGAAACCTAGGTTTGTATTATATGTGTGCATACACATGTGTAACCCTCTAGTACATAACGGGAATATGGAGGAGATATTGGGAACCCCTGTGAGACAGTGCACCAGTTTGAGACGATACATTGTGTACTTGGAAATAAGAGAGAACATGCTATGAGTTGTATTTATGTGCTACTTTGTTTATTTATTGTTGTTTTTCCCTGTCAGCAGCAGAATATGTGATATTTTGTCTAAACCTGACTATGTCCATATGTGACAGGCCTGAGGGGAAGCATGGTGTTTCTAACCTGTCTCTCTCTCTTCACTCCCTGCCCCACCTCCTGCCCCTCCCTGTCTCCCAGACCCTTCCCAGGCCTCTTAGGCAGCACGTGGTGGCCAGCAGAGGAAAACAGGATTCCAGAACAGTCATGCCATCTCTTTCAGACAAACACATGTTGTTAATACCAGCTTCCCTAACTTGAAATAAATTCATACATGTTATCTACCCTCACAGACAGTTTTTGAAAATCTCTGTAGTGTCCAGACTGAAACAGAAAAGAGAAGCCAAGATAAACCAAAGATCACAGGGATCCCCGAAGCTCTCCAGGGGCAGGGATGATCCTCCCCAGGGGTCGGAAATTCCCAGGTAACTTTTGACTCTCCAAAAACTTAACCACTGATAGCTTCCTGCTGACCGAAAGTCAATTAACACATATTTTATATGTTATATGTACTGTACACTGCATTGTTATAATAAAGTAAGCTAGAGAAAAGAAAATGTTATTAAGAAACTCAGAAGAAAGAGAAAATGCATTTATGGGACTGTACTGCACTTATGGATGCCGTAAGTTTACTTTCTTTATAAGATGAATCGTCCGTCTGAAATAGCGGCAACCACAGCTGCAGACCTCGATCTACGGTACATACCAAGCATTTCCACTTTTTCTGTTATGTGGTGACGTTTTTCTGCTTCTTGTGGGGGGGGGGGGGTTCCAGCATCACCAGTGGCACTTCGTGTGGGTCCTGTGGTACTATTCAAACACGAGAAATACGTGAGAACTGCAAGAGGTCACTGTTTCCTACCGAACGCGATGTACTGAAGAGACACCTGTTCACATGGAGATGATTAGCGTCACACGGAGTTTTAAGGGATTCCTCAGGATGCTCACGCTCACCATGACAGCTACAGGAGGTGGCTGTAAAGTCTTTGCAGTAGTACAGTACTCACTACAGTTAATTTTTATTCTATTATTATTATCTTTTTTTGACATGGAGTCTCGCTCTGTCACCCAGGCTGGAATGCAGTGGCACGATCTTGGCTCACTGCAAGCTCCACCTCCCAGGTTCATGCCATTCTCCTGCCTCGGCCTCCGGAGTAGCTGGGACGACAGGCACCTTCCACCACGCCCGGCTAATTTTTTTGTATTTTTAATAGACACAGAGTTTCACTGTGTTAGCCAGGATGGTCTCGATCTCCTGACCTCGTGATCCACCCGCCTCTACCTCCCAAAGTGCTAGGATTACAGGCGTGAGCCACCGCGCCCGACACTCACTACAGTTATTTTTATGCAGTTATGACATCACGCTGCATCTTTTTTTGTTATTGTTTTGTTTTGTTTTGTTTTGTTTTGTTTTGTTTTGAGATGAGTCTTGCTCTGTCGCCCAGGCTGGAGGGCAATGGCACAATCTCGGCTCACTGCAGCCTCTGCCTCCTGGGTTCAAGCAATTCTCCTGCCTCAGCCTCCCAAGTAGCTGGGATTACAAGCGTGCACTACCACACCTGGCTAATTTTTGCATTTTTAGTAAAGACGGGGTTTCTCCATGTTGGCCAGGCTGGTCTCAAACTCCTGGCCTCAGGTGATCCACTCCCCTCGGCCTTCCAAAGTGTTAGGATTACAGGCGTGAGCCACCGCACCTGGCCTCACACTGCATCTTCATATTGGTTTACATTTCTCTCAACTGTGAGTGGCACCATGTACAGTCTGTGTTTGTGTGCATACGTTTTCATAAATTTTAACTTTTTATAATCATTTGTGTATATTTTATTTTGGTAAATAATAAAATGGACTGGTATCTACATATATTTTATGTCTTCATGAGATATCTAACCTTTTCTTAATTTTTAAAATATTTCTAGGCTACACATTTTATCTGCAAGTTTTTTCAAATTGTTGCAAATCTCCAAAGTTTTCCAATACATTTGTTGAAAAAAATCTGTGTGTAAGTGGACACATGCAGTTCAAACCCGTGTTGTTCAAGGTCACCTGTAGTAGTTTTGATTTTTATTTATTTTGGATTTCTAATCATTATTTTTATTTTTAATTGATAGAATAATTGTACTTATTTATGGGGTGCAATATGATTTTTTTAATTGAAAGCAAGTTTATTAATAAAGAAATTAAAGAGTGGCTACTCCATCAACAGAGCAGACACAATATGATATTTTGATACATGTATACATTGTGTAATGATCAAATCAGAGTAATCAGCATATTTATGACCTCAAATTCTTATCATTTTTTATGATGGGAACATACAAAATCCTGTCTTCTAGCTAGTTTGAGATATATAATACCTTATGATTGATTATATTCACCCTACCATGCAATAGGACACCAGAATTTATACTTTCGATCTAATTGTAACTTTGTACCGATTGACCAATCTCTCCCTGTTTTCCCCTTACTAACACCCTCCCCAGCCCCTGGTAACTGCTATCCTACTCTCTACTTCTATGAGATCAGGATTTTTAGATTTCACAGATGAGTGAGACACGGGGTATTTGGCTTTCTGTGTCTGGCTTACTTAACATAATGTCCTCCAGGTTCATCTATGTTATTGTAAATAACAGGATTTTGTTCTTTTTTATGGCTGTATAGTACTCCATTGTGTTTATATACCACATTTTCTTTATCCATGCATCTGTTGTGGGATACTTAGGTTGATTCCATATCTTGGCTTTTGTGAATAGTGCTGCGATAAACATTGGAGAGTAGTCATCTCTTAGACATACTGATTTCATTTCCTTCAGCTATATACCCAGAAATGGGATTGCTGGATTATATGGTAATTCTATTTTTAATTTTTTGAGGAACCTCTATACTGTTTTCCATAATAGCTATACATTCCCACCAGCAGTGCACAAGAGTTCCTTTTTCTCCACATCCTCGTCAACACTTATTATCTCTTGTCTTTCCAATAACAGCCATTCTAACAGGAATGAGGTAATGTCTTCTCGTATTTTGATTTGCATTTCCCTGATGATTAGTAATGTTGAGCATTTTTTCACATGCATGTTGGCCATTTATATGTTTTCTTTTGAAAAATGTCTGTTAAGGTCTTTTGCCCATTTTTACATCTGATTTTTTTTTTTTTTTTTTTGCTGTCGAGTTATTTGAGCTCCTTATGTATTCTGGATATTCATCACTTGTCAGATAGATTGTTTGCAAATATCTTCTCCCATTCTATATGTTGTCTTCACTCTGTTGCTTGTTTCCTTTGTTGTACAGACACTTTCTAGTTTGGTGTAATCAAAATTGTCTATTTTTGCTTTTGTTGCCTATGCTTTTGAGTCTTTTTCTTTTTTTTTTTTTTTGAGATGGAGTCTCACTCTGTTGCCCAGGCTGGAGTGCAGTGGCACGATCTCAGCTCACTGCAACCTCTGTCTCCTGGGTTCAAGCGATTTTCCTGCCTCAGCCTCCTAAGTAGCTGGGACTATAGGTGCATGCCACCACGCCCGGCTAATTTTTTGTATTTTTAGTAGAGACAGGGTTTCACCGTGTTAGTCAGGACGGTCTCGATCTCCTGACCACATGATTTCCCTGCCTCGGCCTCCCAAAGTGCTGGGATTACAGGCGTGAGCCACCGCACCCAGCGCTTTTGAGTCTTATTCAAAAAAATCCTTGTCTAGTCTAGTGTCATTAAGTATTTCTTCTATGTTTTCTTCTAATCATTTCATAGTTTTCTGTCTTACATTTAAGTCTTTAATCCATTTTGAGTTGATTTTTGTATATAGTGAAAAATAGGTGTCCAGTTTCATTCTTCGGCCTGTGGACATCCAATTTTCCCAGCACCATTGATTGAAAAGGCTATCTTTTCCTTAATGCGTGTTTTAGCATCTTTGGTCTGAGTGTTTGTTTTTATACCAATATCAGCTTTGTAGTATTATATTTCAAAGTCAGGTAGTGTGATGCCTCCAGCTTTATTTTTATTTAACGCAGGCTCACTTTGGCTATTCTGGGTATTTTATGAATGTGAACTTTATAATTTTTTTTTCTGTGAAAAATGTCATTGGCATAGGAATTGCATTGAATCTGTATATCACTTTGGGTAGTATGGACATTTTAATAATATTAATTCTTCTAATCCACGAACACAAGATATCTTTCCATTTATTTGTGTAAACTTCAATATTTTTCATCAATGTTTTATAGTTTTCAGTGTACAGATCTTTTACCTCCTTGGTTACATTTATTCCTAGGTATCTTTTTTTTTTAGTAGCTATTATGAATGGGATTGTTTTCTTGATTTCTTTTTCAGATACTTTGCTGTTAGTGTACAGAAGCATTACTAACTTGTTTAGGTTAATTTTGTATACTGCAACTTTACTAAATGTGTTTATTAGTTCGTGTTTTGGTAGAGTCCTCAGGGATATATATCAGTGATTGTGTTGCCTGCAAACAGGAACAATTTGAGTAAGTTCAGAAGCAATACTGTGCAAGAAGTGGAGAAAAAGGGTACAGTGGTACAAAGGGATACTAGAATTTTTTAAAACTCTGTATAGTTTGCATTTTTAAGTCATACAAAAATGCTTTCTGTTTAGGACAGGCACAGTGGCTCACGCCTGTAATCCCAGCACTTTGGGAGGCCAAGGCGGGCAGATCACTTGAGGTCAGGAGTTCGAGACCAGCCTCTCCAATATGGTGAAACCCCATCTCTACTAAAAATATAAAAATTAGCTGGGCATGGTGGTGTGCATCTGTGATCTCAGCTACTCAGGAGGCTGAGGCTGGAGAATTGCTTGAACCTGGGAGGTGGAGGTTGCAGTGAGGCAAAATCATGCCACTGCACTCCAGTCTGGGCGACAGAGCCAGACTCCATCAAAAAAAAAAAAAAAAAAAATGCAGGCCAGGCACGGTGGCTCATGCCTGCAATCCCAGCACTTTGGGAGGCTAAGGCAGGTGGATCACGAGGTCAGGAGTTCGAGACCAGCCTGGCCAGCTTGGTGAAACCCCGTCTCTACTAAAAATACAAAAAAAAAAAAAAAATTAGCTGGGCATGGTGGCTCATGCCTCTAGTCCCAGTTACTCAGAAGGCTGAGGCAGGAGAATCACCTGAACCCGGGAGGTAGAGGTTGTGGTGAGCCAAGATCACGTCATTGCACTCCGGCCTGGGCAACAAGAGCGAAACTCCGTCTCAGAAAAAAAAAAAAAGCTCTGTGTGTATATGTAAACTGGATGAGGTCTAGACTCAGAGAATTATAAGGTGCCTGTGCTCCTGCATGAAAGTCCTGGGTGACATTGAAGACACCTAAATGATAGCCGGCATCCCTGGCGCCACTCACTAAATGCCCTTCGACTACTGACAACAGAAATGCCTCGGTATGTTTCCAAAATGCTCCCGGGAGATGCCACCACCTCTGTTGAGAAGACTGACATCCGAGGGTGGAGAATCACTACTGCGAGAAGGAAAACAAAAGGTGTGTCCTTGAATGTGCTGCCGGAGCGTCCAGTGTCTCATAGGGCCCCACGTGTGGGACCCACCAAAGAGAAAGTGATAGGATATCTATGAGTCGATCTCGTCAATGTCCCCACCTTGAAAAGTACAATCCAATGTTGGAACCACTTCCCACCCACCTTCCTCTTCTTTCTCCTCAGCTAGGAAAAGAGGGTGGCGCAGGTCAGTGAGCCCAGGCCAACAGCACGCTCATCTCATCCCAGACAGCTTAGACTTGGCTGCTCACAGCACCATCCACTCCAGTGGCAGCAGCATTACCCAGACATGTTTTAGAACCACGGAATATCAGGCTCTGCCCCAGACTCACTGCATTGGAATCTGTCTTTGCACAACATCTCCTGGTGATTCTGTGCACGTGGAGCGTGAGAAGCACTGCCTTAGAAGAGTCAAATGAGGAGCTACCTTCCTCCTGTGGCAGATGGAGTGAACCCTGATCATCGTTGCTCAAGACGTCCCAGCAGTTAACAAACAGGACACTCTGTTGCATCCCACATCTGGTGGGTTCTCCCTGATAACAAGGCTGAGCGAAGTTCCATCCCACATGGAACCGCCAGGTGTGGTTCTGCATGCATTCTGGCCACTCGCAGCTGGGGCGTCGTCAGGGGCGTGCTGCTTACGTGAACACGGATGTGCTCCCCACCCTGTACATCCTTGGCCTGCAGGAACTTGGTGAACCTGCATCGTTGGCAGAGCTGCGTGTGCACCACCTCCCTCCAGGTTGGGCTGGGTTGCAGGCTGCTCCCTTTCCCTGCACGGGGCCGTGCTCTGCGCTCAGCGCTTCTCCTGGAAGCCTCGCCAAGCCTGCCTCTGCTGCAGCAGGTGCTTTTCTGGTGGCTTCTGCATCACAGGCTTCCCCTGTGATTCTCCTCCAGTGTCTACTGCTGAGTTAAGAGAAGAAATGTTTCTCAATTCTTTCTTCCCAGGTTTAATGTTTCTTCCTGATGTTTGCAGTTTACCAGCTGCCCTGGTCAGATGAAGCAAGTATCACGGCACTAATAAAAGGGTTGTGCTTTATCCTTAAAAATATAATTACAAGTCCCACATATTTTCTTTTTCAGCCTTTACCAAGTAAGTAAGCTTTCCCCGTATGCCCACCATTCGATGCTCCAGTTCTTCCCTAGTGGCAGATGTAACCCAGGTATCATCTGTGGTCTCCCTGCCCTTTGAAATTGCTGAGAAAACTGGGCTCAACCCCCTTTCTATCTTGCTGTTTCCTTCTCCAGATTCAGAAAAACTCTGACAGCTGAGTAAAGCAAGGCAGCTTGTGTATGTGGGTGCGAGAGGAAGCGTGTGAGTGAATGCAGGCCTGTGTGCAAGTGCACTCATGAGTGTGTGTGTAAGGATGTGTGTGTCCGTGTGTGTAAGGGTGTGTGTGTAAGGATGTGTGTGTCCATGTGTGTGTAAGGATGTGTGTCCGTGTGCATAAGGATGTGTGTGTCCATTGTGAGTGTGTGGGAGTGCGTAAGGATATGTGTGTCCATGTGAGTGTGCGGGAGTGTGTAAGGATGTGTGTGCATGTGTGAGTGTGCGGGAGTGTGTAAGAATGTGTGTCCATGTGAGTGTGTGGGAGTGTAAGGATGTGTGTGTCCATGTGTGAGTGTGTGGGAGGCATAAGGATATGTGTGTCCCTGTTTGAGTGTCTGGGAGTGCATAAGGATGTGTGTGTCCATGTGAGTGTGTGGGAGTGTGTAAGGCTGTGTGTGTCCATGTGTGTGTGTGGGAGTGTGTAAGGATGTGTGTGCCTGTGTGTGGGAGTGTGTAAGGATGTGTGTCTATGTGTGAGTCTGGGAGTGTGTAAGGCTGTGTGTGTCCATGTGTGAGTGTGCGGGAGTGCGTAAGGATGTGTGTGTCCATGTGTGAGTGTGCGGGAGTGTGTAAGGATGTGTGTCCATGTGTGAGTGTGCGGGAGTGCGTAAGGATGTGTATGTCCGTGTGTGTGTGGGAGTGCATAAGAATGTGTGTGTGTCCATGTGTGAGTGTGCAGGAGTGCATAAGGCTGTGTGTGTTTCCATGTGTGGGTGTGCGGGAGTGTGTAAAGATGTGTGTGTCCGTGTGTGTGGGAGTGTAAGGATGTGTGTGTCCATGTGTGAGTGTGTGGGAGTGCATAAGGATATGTGTGTCCCTGTGTGTCTGGGAGTGCATAAAGATGTGTGTGTCCATGTGAGTGTGTGGGAGTGTGTAAGGATGTGTGTCCGTGTGTGTGGGAATAAGGATGTGTGTGCAGGAGTGTGTAAGGATGTCTGTGTCCATGTGTGAGTGTGTGGGAGTAAGGATATGTGTGTGTCCATGTGTGAGTGTGCGGGAGTGCATAAGGATGTGTATGTCCATGTGTGAGTGTGCGGGAGTGCATAAGGATGTGTATGTCCATGTGTGAGTGTGCGGGAGTGCATAAGGATGTGTATGTCCGTGTGTGTGTGTGGGAGTGCATAAGGATGTGTGTGTGTCCATGTGTGAGTGTGCAGGAGTGCATAAGGCTGTGTGTGTGTCCATGTGTGGGTTTGTGGGAGTGTATAAGGATGTGTGTGTCCGTGTGAGTGTGTGGGAGCACGTGAGGATGTGTGTGTCCGTGTGTGAGTGTGTGGGAGCACGTGAGGATGTCTGTGTCCGTGTGTGTGTAAGGATGTGTCTGCGTCTATGTGTGAGTGTGTGGGAGTGCATGAGGATGTGTGTATGTCCAGAGCTGTCCAGACCTCTGTTCTGGGGGGGAAAGTGCTGAGATCAGAAGCAAATCAAGCAGGATAGAGACACTAAGAGCAAAGGAAAGGAAAGCCCAGACCACAGTGAGGGAGAACAGAGGAGGCTCATCTCAGAAAGCACGAGGCCATCTTTTCATTCACTTTGTGGACACAACAGAAGTAACAGAAGATGGACCTCTCTGCCAGCAAGTTAGATAACTTAGGTAAAATGAGCCAGTTCCTAGAAAAACAGAAACTGCTAAAAGAGACTCAAAAAGAAATGAAAAATCAAGTAGACTAACAACAAACAGAGGTTTAATTAGTAATTAAAACTTTTCTGCAAAGAAAAGCCCAGGCCCACATGGCTTAACTTGTAAATTCTACCAAACACTTGAAGAAGAATACCAACCTTCACAAATTCTTTCAAAAAGAAAGAAAGAAAGAAAATAGAAGAGGAAGAAACACATTCTAACTCATCCAATGAGATCAGTATCATCCTAACACCAAAATCAGACTGACTTGTGATCAAAGGAAGAGAAAACTACAGGCCAATATCCTCATTGAATATCAGTGCAAAATCCTCAAAAAAATACTGGCAAACCAAATCCAGCAACATCGAAAAGCATTATACAACACAGCCGAGTGGGATTTATCTCAAGAATGCAAGGGCAGTTCAATACGCGAAAATCAACGTAACACAACACTTCCAAAGAGTACGGGACAAAAACCACGTAGTCATCTCAATAGGCACAGAAAGAGCATTTGAGAAAATCCAACACCCCTTCAGAATAAAGCGCCTAAAAAACTGGGAATAGAAGAGAACTTCCTCAGCCCCGCAAGGGGCATCTACAGACAAGCCACAGTTATAGACAAGAATCTGAACGCTTTCCCTGTAGCTCAGGAGCAGAAGGAGGAGGTCTGCTCTCCTGTTTCTATTTAATGTTGTAATGGAGGCTCTAGATAAAACAGTTAGTACAGAATAAGAAGAGAACGAAAGACAGAAAGAGAGAAAGAAAGGCAAGGTCTCCATGCTGGAAATGAAGAAATGAAATTATCTCTGTCTGAAATTTCATGAGAACAGTGCAGACCGAGGCAGGGTGGGCGCAGTCGAAGTGGAGCAGGGTTGGCCAGGAGCTGATAATGATGGATGAACTTTTCCTCTAATTTTTTACATGCTTAAAATTTTATGCAACCTTTGGCCAGGTGCAGTGGCTCACACCTGTAATCCCAGCACTTTGGGAGGCCGAGGCAGATCACCTGAGGTCAGGAGTTCGAGATCAGCCCAGCCAACATGGCAAAACCCTGTCTCTACTAAAAATACAAAAATTAGTCCAGCATGGTGGTGCATAACACCCGTAATCCCAGCTACTTGGGAGGCTGAGGCAGGAGAATCGCTTGAACCTGGGAGGCAGAGGTTGCAGTGAGCCGAGATCACGCCACTGCACTCCAGTCTGGGCAACAGAGTGAGATTCTGTCTCAAAAAAAAAAAATTATGTAACTTTTAAATAAAATTTAATATTGGAAGATGTTTTTAGAGGAGTAATACACATTATCAGAAAATTCAGAGATTTCTAAATCAAAAGAGAAACCATGCCACCTTTTCCTTGTTCTTTTTGAGGCAGGTTAGCCCCAGTTCATGATTGGGGTCTAAAGCTATTGGTAAATTTTACACAAATCAGAACCCATTAACTTTTCATTTAATCCAAGTCTATCACAAAACATCTAGTGAAATATTTACTGATTTTATTTTATTAATAGGGAAAAACCCAACAGTCCGCGCTCATAACAAACAGGTATGTAGAGATGTAAGTTGTTGCCACCGTTTTCCCTGTCATTCTTCCTTACGGAACATAAATAATTCACAAATCCAGTCCCTCTCCTCTTCCCCTAATTAACCTGTAATTAACCCAATGAATTCTTTAAGAACTCGGTTCCGATGTCACTCTCCTGGGGATTGGCTTCCCAGCGCTTCCTGGCTGGGTCTCAAGCCTCTGCCACACGTAGGAGGCTCCGTCACTTTTCCCCAGCGTCTAACTCAGGGGGTTGCCGCAGGCTCCTTTGTAAGATCAGGGGCCACGGTGGGGCTCCCTCACCAGCCTGCATCGTCCTTACTCGGCCAAGGGCTGTGCCTGGCACACACAGGACAGGGGATGAGCCTGGCAGGGCTGAGTGAGAAGATGTGAGAAGGGACAGATGAAGAGACAAACGAACTCACATTGTTACTCGCCAATGCCTCACCCATCGTTATTGTACACCACACAATCTACAAAAAGGAAGTTTCCATGTTTTTCAGTATCTTCTCTATTCCTTTATAAAGTACATCAAACTTAGCCATTTAAACTTATTTATTTGGTTTATGATCCCTCTGTTTTTAATCTTTTAATATTTCCATATACTCAATAGGATACTTCCCTTTGATCATTTTATATTTTTATCCAAGTAAAATTCTAGGCCAGGCATGGTGGCTCACACCTGTAATCCCAGCACTTTGGGAGGCTGAGGCAGGCCAATTACCTGAGGTCAGGAGTTCGATACCAGCCTGACTAACATGGCGAAACCCCATCTCTATTAAAAATACAAAAATTAGCCAGGCGTGGTGGTGGGTTCCTGTAATCCCAACTACTCAGGAGGCTGAGGCAGGAGAATCTCTGGAACCCGAGACCGTGCCATTGCACTGCAGCTTGGGTGACAGAGTGAGACTCCGTGTCAAAAAAAAAAAAAAAAGTAAAATTCTACTTGGCCAGAACTATTATTAGGTTTTTTTTTAATGTCATGGTGTAATTAATTAATTTAATTGGCCCCTTCCAAAAGGAAGCTTATTAAAACATTTAATAGAACCTTAAAGAAAATCCTCACTTGTTGTATTTATTTTGTTAAATTGGTTCGAGTTTAAGAAATCCTCATTGAAGCTTTACTTTCCTTACAGAATGTCAGTAAATTTACCAGGAAAAAACACTTGTACTGTCATTATGTGAGTGAGCCCCAGAAGATGAGGATGCTGCATAATTAATGCCTCCAGCTCTTAACATATGCAGCCATCTGTGCTCTCCCCTACGCAGTCTGCTGGTTTGTTAATAATGTATTCACGTTTGTCTGCAGCCCATACGAGTTGTATGACAGGAGAGATCAGAAAACACAATCCATTTCACGCAGTCTAAGTTACCGGTCGGGTGTGGAGAACAGGTCAGTTTATTATTAACTGTAGTTTCAGGTGAGAGTGACATGACTCAAAACAATGTGACCAAACTAGGAGAAGAACATGAAATCCACGCTCATACAGACAGTGCAGAGGCCAGCAGCCCAGGCTGGAAGTCCTGAGGATCCCAGCCTCCATCCAGCTCACCTTGCTTTGAAGACAGCGCCACCACTGTCCCAGCTCCCAGTGACATGAGAGTGGATGGGGTCACCCTGGCTCCTGCCTGGGTGCCCTTGTTCTACCCCGGCCTCTGCTGCATTTCTTGGGTAATTCACTCTCCTTCCAGGCTCCTGTCAGAGAAGGCCCTGGTGCTGTCATTGCCAAGTTTTTTCTTTTCTTTTTTTTTTTTTTGAGACAAGAGTCTCGCTCTGTCACCCAGGCTGGAGTGTAGTGGCACGATCTAGGCTCACTGCAACCTCCGCTTCATGGGTTCAAGCGATTCTCCTGCCTCAGCCTCCCAAGTAGCTGAGATTACAGGCACGCACCACCATGCCCAGCTCATTTTGTATTTTTAGTAGAGACAGGGTTTCACCATGTTGGCCAGGCTGGTCTCGAACTCCTGACCTTAGGTGATCCACCCGCCTCGGCCTCCCAAAGTGCTGGGATCACAGGAGTGAGCCACTGCACCCAGCCCCCTGAATGTAGTCTTAATAGATTAACAGTCCTCGTTCCCAGATCAGATAGGAGAGCAGCAAGACCGGGTCCAAGTTGCCCTGTGCTGTGAGGAGAAGCCATGATTGCTCCACTGAGGCTGAGAGACGACCTTGGAGTGGAGAGGGTTAGAGGGCAGGCCAAGGGTTGTCGGGTCACAGTAAGAAGTGAAGCTGGCACGATTCCAGTTGCCGTCAACTCCCTGCTGGGATGTAATCTGCATGCAGGTTGGAGTCATCAGAAACCAGAACATTCTCTGACAGAAAACAGGGAAACCACAGAGCACCCGTCTTGTTGACAGTGCTGTCCAGGGCTCGCTCCTGAAGAGGCTGTGAGATCCGGGGGTGCATGTGATCTTCTGGCTGGGGAGGTACCAAGGCCACAGACCCCGATACCTGTGCGGAACCATGTACTCCCCGCCCAGGCTTGGTGCGCTGGAGGGAATGAAAATAAAGAACCTCTTAAAATTTAGTTGGAGAAATAATAAAATATCATTTTCCATAGTCAAACAGAATAGGAAGAAATAATAGCAAATACTCCTCTGACACCGTTTCGAGAGCATTGTGTATAGGAATTCATGCAATCCCACCGTCATCCAGTGAGGCGAGGACTGTCATTGTCCCTGTTTCACAGACAAGGGGCCGCGGGCTCCTCTAGCTTTCCCATGCCTCACAGCTGGTACATGCAAACCCAGGGCTTGAGCCCCAGCAGTGTGGCTCAGGTCTGCGGCACTGACCCATGTCCAAGTCGTTATGTGCACAAGGGATGCTACAGATGTTTATGAGACACACGTGGCGGTGGCTGTTATACATTATCACTGGAGAGCTGAATCCATCAGGGGTCCCAGTTATAAGCAACTGAAACAAATCATGCTATTGCTTTTTTTTTTTTTTTTTATGGAGACAGAGTCTCACTCTGTCGCCCAGGCTGGAGTGCAGTGGTGCAATCTTGGCTCACTGCAACCTCCGCCTCCGGGGTTCAAACGATTCTCCTGCCTCAACCTCCCGAGTAGCTGGGACTACAGGCGCCTGCCACCACGCCAGCTGATTTTTGTATTTTTAGTAGAGATGGGGTTTCATCATGTTGGCCAGGCTGGTCTCAAACTCCTGACTTCAGGTGATCTGCCCATCTTGGCCTCCCAAAGTGCTGGGATTACAGGTGTGAGCTACTGCGCCCGGCCAAATCATGCTATCTAAGAGTCAGAGGGAATTAACTGAAAGGATACAGGAGCTCAAAGAATTGAAGGAGGCCAGAAAGCCAGGATTAGAAATGGCTCCGAAAATTACCAAGAGAGGTGGAGGGGCCGGAGCTGCAGGCAAGTCTGGCTGTCTGAGCTGCAATCATTCCTTTGGGTCCCTGGTCCAAGAATAACATCCGTGCGCTTTGGTCTAACACCACGCACTGGCTGTCCCAGGGAACAGAAAGAGGAGCCTCTCTCCTCACATTCCTTGTAGTCGAAGACCATACTTTGCCCGTTCCACACCAAATGGTCCCCTCCCGTATCAGGTGCCGAAGAAGGGGTGCGTGAGGGAGAGCCGCTCACCTGAAGCAGTAAGGGGCGAGTGGCTGTTGGAACGATCCTCCATCTGAGGCCATGCACAGTGGCACCTCCAGGAGGGAGAGCAAGGCTTTAGAGGCAGGCACGGGTGCCTGCTGGGAAAAATGGAAGCCCAGAAACCATCCCACATCCCCCAGCAGGCCCCACCAAGAGGAGGAAGCTGAGTCCAGCCTCCACAGGCAGAGGGAACGTGATACACAGTTGACG
The DNA here is from genome assembly GCF_000001405.40 of Homo sapiens. Classification (NCBI taxonomy): domain Eukaryota; kingdom Metazoa; phylum Chordata; class Mammalia; order Primates; family Hominidae; genus Homo; species Homo sapiens. Next base: position 112,672,655 of record NC_000013.11, read on the forward strand.
TGTCAGGGGAGCAGCTGGGGTGAACAGGGAGGGCATGGAAGACACCAAGAGACGTGTCCCAGTGCCCCACAGCCTGGGGGGCTCACACCTGCAACAGGGATGACTGTCAGGGTGGGGCTTTGCAAAAAACGGTGGCAACGTGAACGTCCCTCCACCAAAGGAATTCACAAAAGCAGTGCAAGAGGCCATCATAGCATCAGAGAATTACAGTTCTAGCCCTCTCTCTAGCAGAGAAGGCCACACCATGTGCCACAGGATACCTGTCTTTGTTTCTTTCTCTCTTTTTTTTTTCTTTTGAGATGGAGTCTCTTTCTTTCTTTCTTTCTCCCTTTCTTTCCTTTCTCTCTCTTTCTTTCTCCTTTTTGAGATGGAATTTCTTTTTCTTTCTTTCTCTCTCTTTCCTTTCTCTTTCTCTTTTTCTTTCTTTCTCCTTTTTGAGATGGACTTTCGTTCCTTCTTTCTTGCTTGCTTTTTTCTTTCTTTCTCCTTTTTGAGATGGAGTTTCCTTCCTTCCTTCCTTCCTTCCTTCCTTCCTTTCTTCCTTCCTTCCTTCCCTCCTTCCTTCTTTCTTTCTTCTTTTTTGAGACAGAGTCTTGCTCTGTCGCTCAGGCTGGAGTGCAGTGGCGCAATCTCGACTCACTGCAACCTCCACCTGCCGGGTTCAAGCTATTCTCCTGTCTCAGCCTCTGGAGTAGCTGGGATTACAGGCACCCGCCACCATGCCCAGCTAATTTTTCTATTTTTAGTACAAACGGGGTTCACCATGTTGCGCAGGCTAGTCTCAAACTTCTGAGCTCTGGTGATCTGCCCGCCTTGGCCTCCCAAAGTGCTGGGATTACAGGCGTGAGTCACCGCGCCCGGCGCCTGTATTAGTTTCTTTTTGCTGTATAGCAAATGATCCCAGGTTTAGGTGCTTAAAACCACACACGTTTCTCACTCTTCGTTTCCATGGGTCAAGAGTCTGCATGTGACCAGCTGGGTCCTCTCATCGGGGCCTCACAAGGCTGAAGTCAAGGTGCTGCTGGGGCCAGGTGCTCATCCGAAGGTCAAGGTCACCTTCAAGCTTACTGGCTGTTGGCAGCATCCAGGTCCTTGTGCTTGTGGGATTGAGGCCCCTGTTTCCTGCTGCTGCCTGCTGGGAACTGCTCTCAGTTACTAGAGGCCCCTCTGCTCCCTCTCATGTGGCTCTCCACAAAGCACGGCAGTTTCCTCCCTCAAGGCCAACAGGAGCATATCTCTGCAGCCTCAAATCGCTCTAACTTTCCCTATCTTTTATCCAGGTCCACCCAAGATAACCCTCCCTTTGACTAGCTCAAAATTGACTGATTAGGGATCTTAATTCCACTGCAGAATTCCTTCATATTTACAAGAGAATGTAGCCTGATCAGGGGAGAAACATCAGCCTCCGTTCCCACCAAGGAGAGGGGACTGCACGGAGCCCCCGAGCATGGGGTGGGAACATTGTGAGCCCTATCAGAACTGTGCCTCCCGAAGTCCCAGAGACAGAAGCGGCTCAGGAATGAGGGGAGCACGGCAGCACTGAGTCTACAGGGTGGATGCGGTTTGCCCAGCACGGAAGGAAGATGTTCCAGGGGGATGAGACAGCAATGCTGAGAAAGGAAGGAAATCTGGGTAAATATGTAGAGGTTGGCCACATTATGATAGACTGTGACGACCAGTTGGAGAATTTTGTATTTCATGCTATAAAAAGCAACCAAATCTAGTTAATATACGCTAAGTTGGGTAACAGGATCAGATTCTTTACAGTAAAGCTTACAAAAGTAAAATTATTTTATAATTGTATTATAGCAAACAACAGGGTTTAAAAATGGTCCCTTAAAAATGAGCCTTAAAAATAAGCAGCCACTTAATACTCATTTGGGCCTGAAAGCCACAAAGCTATTGACATTTTCTTTCTGCTGAGGAAGTCTTGGTGGTATCGATTCTCATACAGCAGAGATCAAGACAAACATCTTGTACCTCCTCTTCCCCACCTGCCTCTAAAGCAAACGCTGATCTGATGACATTGTCATGAGGCCTGCTCACCCTCAGCAGCTTCCTAGTGTGTCCTGGGTGTGGGCATCCAGTGCCAATAAATGGAGGAAAATGGGCAGACAGGGAGAGGTGGGAGCAGGTGGGAGGAAAGGAAGGGGGGAGGGAGGGAGGCGGAGAAAGGCAAGCTTAAGGGAAAGGTGGGGCATCCTGTCATGCTAGGGTTCACGGAGTGGCAAGAGGTTCCCAGCCCTGCCCGCCGCTGACCCCGGCTCACATGGCCTCACCAGCCTCGCATCAGTCATGGTTCCAAGTCCTCAGGAATAACAACAACAACAAGAGTTAATTTTTTTTATTTTTCCATTGTAATTTATATGGAATTCTGAACAATGGAAAATCAGAGCCCAAACAGGTGACAAAGAAGTTCATTAAGAGCCTTGCGAAACTGAGAGCACATCCAGAATCCCTCTCGCACTTATATCTGTGAAAGACACGACCTCTGGCCAGTCTCCCACAGACACTCCCCATTCCCTATCACGCAATGTGATGTACTCACTGCGACCGCAGGCCTGCTCCTGCTTCCCATCACTTCACCCGTCCTGTTCAGCAGATGCTCCCCTTGAAGAGCTGGAAAAAATTGGTGTTTAGGAAAGGCCTTGAAGATAGAAATGAATGCAAATGCTGTTATTATTATTAATAATATTTCAAAGTGGGCACACGGAACTCGATGACATTTTAATTGTTTGATTTTATTGGACAGGAGGCAAAAGACTTTTTATTTTTATCTTCAAAGTCTAAAGGCGCGTCAGGTGCACAGACTGCAGTAGGGTTTGCTCTGGGTGTTGGGTTCTGGCTGACGATGTTTGCTCAAAAGCTCATTTCTTACAGCTTCTGAAAGTAGATTGAAGAAAGCGCTCCCCACCGTAGCCTCCGTGGTGCAGAGATTCTCCAGGCATTTGCTTGTCATGTGAGATGTTACACTAACCCAAGCACTATAATTTTACTACCTCCTGCTAAGCTAGTCCAGAGATTGATCATTTCTATCCAGAACTGGCAAGCCTCCCTTCCTTTATATTTCAGATTGAAGAACAGGAGAAAAAACTTTCAGAAAATGATTTATAGTGGAAAGGTACTGGTTTAAACTTAACCTACTTGCTATTTGAAACAAGTTCTTTTAATTAAAGTGAAATTCTCTGTGTAAAACATCATTTTAAGAAATTTTCATAATGCATTTTGCTTTTTTAAAGTCTTGTATTTAGTAAAATGCAAAAAGTCTAGTCCTTCTGAAGACTCCCTCATAACATCTCCTCACACACCCACTTGCACTCACACCTCCAATCCAAAGGTTCATGGGGATACTTTGTTATCTAATTTTGTTGTCAATGTGATTCATAGGTTTTTGGTTTTGCTATCTAGTTGTTCTGTTTTAATTTTGGGATTTAGAAAGATTAAACACTATGCCACCACCACGTTTCACTTTGAACATTTTGAAGACAAATATTTCCTACCTGTGACTAACATATCCAGCCAAATTATCCATCACTATAAGGTCAGAAAAATATTTTAACTGCTGATGTTTCATGCACCCTTTCCCAGGAAGCTACTAGAGAATACAGTCCACTAAATTAAACCGATAAATCAAGGAGGAAGAAAAAATCATGGAATGCAGAAAATAAGGGCTTATGAGAGAAGTGGAGGGAATTCCTGATACCTGTGAAGTGTAGCCAGAGTATAGAAGTATGCAGCAAGTTTAGAAACTCACCGTCGATTGCAGCAGGATGCCAAAGGGTGGCAGGAGGGATGTCTCCAGAAAAAAATAGAATGGCACTGACAAATACGAGTGTATGGCTGTGACCGGAGTATAGAAGTATGCAGCAAGTTTAGAAAGTCACCGTCAATTGCAGCAGGATGCCAAAGGGTGACAGGAGGGATGTCTCCAGAAAAAAATAGAATGGCACTGACAAATACGAGTGTATGGCTGTGACCGGAGTATAGAAGTATGCAGCAAGTTTAGAAAGTCACCGTCAGATTGCAGCAGGATGTCAAAGGGTGACAGGAGGGATGTCTGCAGAAAAAAAATAGAATGGCACTGACAAATACGAGCGTATGGCCGTGAACTAGTAGAAACTATACAGAAAGCTAAGAAAATGAGGCCGGGCACAGTGGCTCACACCTGTAATCCCAGCACTTTGGGAGGCCGAGGCAGGAGGATCACTTGAGGTTAGGAGTTCGAGACCAGCCTGGCCAACATGGTGAAACCCCGTCTCTACTAAAAATACAAAAATTAACCAGGCATGGTGGCGGGCCCCTGTAATCCCAGCTACTTGGGAGGCTGAGGCAGGAGGATCGTTTGAACCAGGGAGGCGGAGGTTGCAGTGAGCTGAGATTGTGCCACTGCACTCCAGCCTAGACAACAAAGTGAGACTCTGTCTCAAAAAAAAAAAAAAAAAAAAAAAGAAACCTAAGAAAATGAAAGATGGAGGCAATGATTATCTTCAAGGAAAAAAGGTGGTATAAGAAAGAAGATGCAGTGAAAATGCATGAACAACACAGGGGCAGCGTGTAGCACATGCACGGACATGCAGCTATGAGAATGTAATCTTGTTACCATCACAGGCAGAGATTGAATGGAGACCGGTGTGGCCTCTGTGGGGACACGTGCAGTAGAGAGAGGTAGAGGTAGGAGCACGAATGAGCTAAATATTTATCTTCCTATGTAACTGGTGCTGTTGAAATTTTCAAAATCATGCTATAAGCACATAATTTGGAAATATGGACACAATAAAGGTAGAAGAGCAAAGAGCTATGAGTGATTGTCTCTGCAGGGGGCTCTGGAGTAGGTGATGACAAGGACATCGGGTTATTCTTACAGGCCGGGTAGCACCATTTTCTTTTAAAACTATGCAAATGCAGCCAGGCGCACTGGCTCATGCCTGTAATCTCAGCACTTTGAGAGCCGGAGGCATGTGGATCACCTGAGGTCAGGAGTTTGAGACCAGCCTGACAACATGGTGAAACCCTGTCTCTACTAAAAATATAAAAATTAGCTGGGTGTGGTGGTGGCGCATGCCTGTAATCCCAGCTACTCTAGAGGCTGAGGCAGGAGAATCACTTAAACCCGGGAAGCAGAGGTTGCAGTGAGTCAAGATCACGCTGCTGCATTCCAGCCTGAGCGACAGAGCAAGACTCCAACTCAAAAAAAAAAAAAGCATTTCTTTGGCTAAAATTAAAATAAAGTTGTTTTTTTTAATTTTAATTTTAATTTTAATTTTTATTTTTTAGTATTTATTGATCATTCTTGGGTGTTTCTCGGAGAGGGGGATTTGGCAGGGTCACAGGACAATAGTGGAGGGAAGGTCAGCAGATAAACATGTGAACAAAGGTCTCTGGTTTTCCTAGGCAGAGGACCCTGCGGCCTTCCGCAGTGTTTGTGTCCCTGGGTACTTGAGATTAGGGATTGGTGATGACTCTTAACGAGCATGCTGCCTTCAAGCATCTGTTTAACAAAGCACATCTTGCACCGCCCTTAAGCCATTTAACCCTGAGTGGACACAGCACATGTTTCAGAGAGCACAGGGTTGGGGGTAAGGTCACAGATCAACAGGATCCCACGGCAGAAGAATTTTTCTTAGTACAGAACAAAATGGAGTCTCCTATGTCTACTTCTTTCTACACAGACACAGTAACAATCTGATCTCTCTTTCTTTTCCCCACATTTCCCCCTTTTCTATTCGACAAAACCGCCATCGTCATCATGGCCCGTTCTCAATGAGCTGTTGGGTACACCTCCCAGACGGGGTGGCGGCCGGGCAGAGGGGCTCCTCACTTCCCAGACGGGGAGGCCGGGCGGAGGGGCTCCTCACTTCTGGGACAGGGTGGCCGGGCAGAGACACTCCTCACCTCCCAGACGGGGTGGCAGTTGGGCAGAGACACTCCTCAGATCCCAGACGGGGTCGCGGCCGGGCAGAGACGCTCCTCACTTCCCAGACGGGGTGGCGGCCGGGCAGAGGCTGCAATCTCGGCACTTTGGGAGGCCAAGGCAGGCGGCTGGGAGGTGGAGGTTGTAGCGAGCCGAGATCACGCCACTGCACTCCAGCCTGGGCACCATTGAGCACTGAGTGAACGAGACTCCGTCTGCAATCCCGGCACTTCGGGAGGCCGAGGCGGCAGATCACTCGCGGTCAGGAGCTGGAGACCGGCCCGGCCAACACGGCGAAATCCCGTCTCCACCAAAAATACAAAAACCAGTCAGGCGTGGCGGCGGCGCCTGCAATCCCAGGCACTCGGCAGGCTGAGGCAGGAGAATCAGGCAGGGAGGTTGCCGTGAGCCGAGATGGCGGCAGTACAGTCCAGCCTCGGCTCAGCATCAGAGGGAGACTGTGGAGGGAGAGGGAGAGGGAGACGGGAGAGAGGGACACGGGGGAGAGGGAGACGGGGGAGAGGGAGACCGGGGAGAGGGAGAGGGAGAGGTAAAGTTTTTACAAAGTTTCATTGTAATACAGAAAATAAACTCTTGGTGTACCCTTGTAGAATTACACAGAAGAAAACCAACCATTCGATGCCTTTCTTCTTCCATTCCCAATCAGAAGGTTGTTTCTGACCCATTGAAATATTACCTACAAAGAAGACGGGAGCCTCCTGCAGCAGCCTCTAGTGATCTGAGAGCTGAACCAAGGTTTGAGGCCCATCTCCAGGTGGTCCTGAATATCCGTGCATCCTGGGACCTTGTTAGGATGAACTCACCAGAGGCGAGGCTCTGCGTTGCTCAATGCAGAGACTCTTACCCAGGGTGTCAGCCTCTGAAAGATACACGTGCCTGGGCCTCTTCCCTGAAGATGGACCCGGCAGGTCTGGAGGGAGGCCCCCGTGATGAATCCCGTGATGAGCCGCCGATCCGAGCTCAGGCTGCGTCATGGGACCAGCCACAAGGTTGCCTGACCTATAAAGGTCGCAGGAGTGCCTCAGGGACACAGAAGCAGTTACAGCTGCCAGGTAGGGGCTGGGGAGGGCTCCGAGCTGTGGCTGCAATTTGAAAACTGTGCGGAACCTCAGCAGGGGTGTGAGCTATCAGGAACCTGCCGCTGGACTACAGCGACCAGGAGAATACGGGTTCTGTGCATCCGATGTGGGGGACCAAGCAGAAAGGAAAAACCCTTGCTGAGCAGACTGTGCATTGGGCAGCCTGCCGGCCACTTTATACAGATTCTGTCATTCAGCTGGGGTCTCTCTGCTCCCTGATACTAACCACACCCACCAGACCATCTTCCCTCCAGCTGGGGAAACGTGCCACAGAGCCCTTTACCTTCCAGAGCCTCGGCCCATCTGGCTCTCCTCATCACCCTGGGCCAGGCCCATCACTCCTGTTTCATGCTTGAAGGCAGTGAGGTGGGTGCCGGGCTCCCCTCTCCCACAGGGTGCCAGCGTCTCAGGTGGGACCAAGCCCAAGCCCGTTTGTCCTCGGTCCATGCACTTCTCAGCCCAGCCCTGCCTCTCAACACCTTCCACTGGATGGAGAGCCGCCGCAGTGCTTAATAAAGGGCAAGGGCGGAGACGCGTGGAAGGGGAGGACTCTCCCGGACCTGCTTAAACCTCTCTCCGTTTTTCCCAGACTGATGCTGCCAAGTGTGGAGGAACAGCAGGGGTGGGCGATGCCCTCCTCCCCTCCTGCATCTGCCCTGCTCACTGCAGCAAAGGGTGGGCGGGCCAGGGTCACAGGAGAGGTACCCTGGAGGCAAGACCAGTGCTCGTGGGCATGAGGAGTCATTGAGTGGTGGGGAAATGCAGGGCCCTGGGACCCAGGCCGGGAGCCACTGCCATCCTGCTTTCCACATCCACAGGAGGGCAGCAGGGCAGGAGAGTGTCCCGCCCTGGACCTGAAGGAAGAGATGGACCTGGGCCAGGGCCTTCTGTGGACAAGGTGGGGAAAGCCAGGGAGACCCAGCAGGACGGGTGAGAGGAGTGCGCTTGGGGAAGGTGGCCCCTAGTGCCCGGCCTCAGGCAAAGTCTTTCTCTGTGGATCCAAGAAGTAGGTGGCATGATTGTGCCCAGTTTACAGACAGGCAAGCAGGGGCCTCGGCAGGCTGAGGCATTGCTGCAGGATGCAATGGGCCCTCCCCTGACTGCACAGCTGATGTTCTCAATTCCCTCTTGTTCCATCTTAGCAAGATGGGCCTTGGAGGGAAGTGGGGGAGTGAGGGAGAAGCAGGTGTGTGCCAGAGACCAACAACACCCACTGTGGGTCCCAGCCGTCCTGAGGTGGGTCAGCCCAGCGGACCGCAGGGACCGGGCTGGGAATGGCCGTGATTAGGGGACAGGTGATCCAGCCACAAGCCTGTGGTGGCCTTGGGATCCAGCTGGCCCAGGGGTGATTCCTGCCTTCACTGTCTTCAAGCAGTGGGATTTTGGACTTAGGTTTCCTCATCAGAAAAACCGGAGCAGTGGAGCCCACCACTCGTGTTGCCATCCTTTTACAGAAGTGCACAAAGGTGGGTGTGAGATTCCTGGCACATGGCCAGGTCTCCAGCGCCAGCTTCCATCTCCTCCTTAAAGTTATCCAAGCTGAAGCATGTACCGGTGCAGCCTGTATCACGACATTCAACGTGGCGAGGTTGTGGGCTGCCAACACAACTACGGTGGCATCAGAGTTTTTCTTCACGTGTGTTACTAAGGCAGAAGTCGGTCTCGTCGATGTTGTTTTGTTTCTGTGGTTGTTTTGAGACAGGGTCTTGCTCTGTGGCCCAGGCTGGAGTGTAGTGGCGTGATCACAGCTCACTGCAGCCTCAACCTTCCAGGCTCAGGTGATCCTCCCACTTCAGCCTGCTTCGTAGCTGGTGCCACAGGTGTGAGCCACCACACCCAGCTAATTTTTTATTTTTTGTAGAGACCAGGGTCTTCCCATGCTGCCTAGGCTGGTTTCGAATTCCTGGGTTCAAGTGATCTGCCTGCCTCGGCCTTGCAAAGTGCTGGGATTTCAGATGTGAGCTACTGTGACTGGCTGTTTTTTTTTTTTTTTTTTTGAGACAGAGTCTCACTCTGTCGTCCAGGCTGGAATGCAGTGGGGTGATCTTGGCTCACTGCAACCTCTGCCTCTCAGGTTCAAAGCGATTCTCATGCCTCAGCCTCCTGAGTAGCTGGGATTACAGGCACATGCCACCACACCCGGCTAAAAATATATATATATATATGTACTTTTAGTATAGATGGGGTTTCACTATGTTGATCAGGCTGGTCTTGAACTCCTGACTGGTTTTGGGAGTCTTTCTTCTTCTTGAGCTCTGTCTTCTGAAGTGGAACTCAGAATAATTGAACATTAACATAAAAAGTTATCTCTAGGCCGGGCGCAGTGGCTCACGCCTGTAATCCTAGCACTTTGGGAGGCCAAGGCAGGTGGATCACGAGGTCAGGAGATCGAGACCATCCCGGCTAACACAGTGAAACCCCGTCTCTACTAAAAATACAAAAAATGAGCCGGGCGTGGTGGCGGGCACCTGTAGTCCCAGCTACTCGGGAGGCTGAGGCAGGAGAATGGCATGAACCTGGGAGACGGAGCTTGCAGTGAGCTGAGATTGTGCCACTGCACCCCAGCCTGGGCGACAGAGCAAGACTCCGTCTCAAAAAAAAAAAAGTTATCTCTGGTTCTGGAAACAGCATTTTTTTGTTGTTAACATACAATTGTTGTAACATACAATTTGCCATTTTAACCATTTTAAGTGCACAGTTCAGTGGCATGAAGTATTAGACACTCACATTGTTGTACAAGCACCACCATCCATTCCATGACTTTTACATCATCCCAAACTGAAACTCTGTGCCTATTAAATACTTACTGTCCAATCCTCCCTTACCCCAGCCCCTGTCAGGCCCCATTCTATTATACTTTCTGTCTCTATGGATTTTATATCTCTGGGGATCTCATATCAGTGTAATCTTACAATATTTGCCCCTTGAGTCTGGCTTCACTGAGCAGCATATATTCAAAACCATTTTTTTTCATACTTTTTTGGCTTTTTGAGTAGACTGAGATAATTTCCAGTTATCTAAGAATATTTAAGTATTCTTATAAGTTACAATAGATGAAAAATATTTTAAGGGAAACCATTTTATCTTTCTCTTTAAAAAAGTAAAGGGGTGGCCAGGCGCGGTGGCTCACACCTGTAATCCCAGCACTTTGGGAGGCCGAGGCACGTGGATCACGAGGTTAGGAATTCAAGACCAGCCTGGCCAACACGGTAAAACCCTGTCTCTACTAAAAATACAAAAATTAGCCAGGTGTGGTGGTGGGCGCCTGTAATCCCAGCTACTCGGGAGGCTGAGGCAGGAAAATTGCTTGAACCTGGGAGGCAGAGATTGCAGTGAGCCGAGATCGCATCATTGCACCCCATCCTGGGAACAGAGCAAGACTCTCTCTCAAAAAAAAAAAAAAAAAAAAAAAAAGCAAAGGGGTGAGTTTTCAGTTTTGTAGAAAGTAAACAGTTTAGTTTTACCTTTAAAAGTAAAAAGTTTGATTTTCATAAATTGAACATTCATTAAAGTGATGTTATGTAATATCCAAGCAACTTGCTTGACCAAAGGTACGAATTACTTTGAATAATGCTAAATTTCTAATTATCATCCACCTCTTATTTCAGATACCCTATCATCTTTACTCTGTTGGAGAGGAGCTATAATGGTCTATATTAAAGTTACTGTTCAGACAGATGATTCCAACAAATTGCTTTCATTACTTTATCGGTAATTTTAAGCACTACACAACTTAGTTGTTTTTTTCTGGAAGAAAACTGGAATTAAAATCATTGATCCTTTAGAGAAATAAAACAAAGGAGAAGGGAGTGTACAAAATAAATAAGAAAAGAATTCTTACCATACTTTCCTGTATTCTTACTGAGAAATAAAAATGGGACATTGAGAAGCAAAATTAATCCCGATTAGGCTCGCTTTGGGACAAGCAACCACTTTGCATGATTACCCATCGTTAGGTGTGAAACGGAGCCAATGATCGCTCATTGTCGAGGAGAAAAGACCTGGAGACCACGGCTTATCCAGTCTCGCTCCTGACCTGCATCTGAACACCTGAAGGAAGAAACTTTAACAAGAAAAAGACTTCAAGTGACAGAGGAGACAAAAGTCTCAAAGGTGCAGAATTCAAGAACTCATGGTGTCTCAGGATGGGTGTGAAAGTAACAAATATGAGATCCCCTGACAACTAAACCCAGGCATGTCCAGGAATCCCGGGATGCGGTGAAAGTTTTCACAGTGGAGCTCACAGGAATCCCCAGATGCCGTGAAAGTTTTCTCAGCGGAGCTCACACCAGCATTGTCTGGAATATTAAATGTTGTTATGCTTTGAGATTGGCACTTATGCCATTCAAATTTTTTTATTAAGAAGTACAATGAAATTTAACTTATTCCATTTTTGACACCAATGTAATGACCAAATTAAACTAGATTTTCAAAAATAATCAGAGGCCCTGCCCCACAAACTCCTCCTGGGCACAGGAAGATGTGGGGCCAGTCAGTAGTGACTCCTCTTGGGTGCTGATCCACCATGCTGAATTCAGACCGGCGCCAGTCCCCTGAGCGCCTCCCAATTCCTATGTGATTTCCTGTCCCTAGTATATGAACATGTCAGCCTTGATGTGATCACACAAATTATGGGCCATGACGCATCTACCACTCTTGCCTGTTCTGAAGGGCTGCCTTTAGTTGTCTTGCAAAGAGCACTTACACCTCTTCCCTACGGCACAGAAGCCCTGGGTCTGGGGTGACAGGGGCAGAGACCTGCCTGTCCTCCAGCCACCCAAGACCATGCTTCTGTCTGTAGGTTCCCCCAATAAAACACCCTTTACTGACAGATTTCATTGGTCTGGCTTATTCTTTGGTTTCTCAGCTCCTTCGGCGTTTGAGGGCCATGTTGCATATGTGGCCCTTTCCCGGAACAGGAGACAATGTTCTACGTCACGTTCCAGGACAAATGGCCTGGCAGAGCATGGCAGATGATCTCAGGGGGCGTTTGAGCAGGACCTCACTCTCCATAGCTCTCCTTCCCGGTGACAGGAGTCATGCGGGATAGATGGCCTTGCACGGGGCACTTTTCACTCTGCGAGTGCTCACGCCTTATGCTCTTCATTTTGTTAGTGCTCGTCAGCTAAAATAGCAGGTTAACTAATTCTTTCAGCATCTGCTGAGCACCACGCTATGCCTGAGGAGAGAAAGGTCGATAACTGATGATAACTGATCATCCAACAGGTTCACGTTCAGGTGGGAGACAGACATTGAGATGAACGACTCAGAAACCTGCTACACTGGGAGCTTTTACAAAAGCTTGGACCCCACTCCAAACCAACTGAGTCAAAATGTCTGGAGAAAGGCTGCCTGGGAAGTGCTATTTTATTAGTATTATTATTTGAGACAGTCTCACTCTGTCACCCAGGCTGCAGTGCAGTGGCATGATGGGAACTCATTGCAGCCTCAACCTCCCGGGCTCAAGCAGTCCTCCTACCTCAGCTTCCTGAGTAGCTGGGACTACAGGTGTGGGCCACCATGCCCAGCTAATTTTATTTTTTTGTGTTTTTTTGTAGAGATGGGGTCTTGCTATGTTGCCTAATCGTCTCACCTTGGCCTCTCAAAGTGCTGGAAGTACAGGCGTGAGCCACCACGCCCAGCCTGGGGAAGTGCTATTGGTTAAAAAAAAATTCCCTAAGTGAGTTTAATCTGTAACCGGGGTTGAGAAATACTGCTGTGGAAAAATAACTAAGCTTTACTAAGTGGTGCCATTAGGAATGCTAAGTGGGGGAGTGATTAGTGATAACCGAGCCGGAACCCAGGCAGGTGTAGGGAGAGATGGCATCTGAGAATGACTAAGAGGGGGCCAAACATGGGGTGGGGCAGAAGATTCCAGACCAAGGGACCAGGGAGGTTAGAGAATGGCCTGCGGAGGGGCAGAAAGTGACGTTTCTGCCATTGAAGAACTCTAGGGGCTGGGTGCAGTGGCTCACACTTGTAATCCCAGCACTTTGGGAGGCCAAGGCAGGTGGATCACCTGAGGTCAGGAGTTCAAGACCAGCCTGGGCAACATGGCGAAACCCCATCTCTACCAAAAATACAAAAATTAGCCAGGTGTGGTGGTGGGTGCCTGTAATCCCAGCTACTGGGGAGGCTGAGGCAGTAAAATCACTTGAACCTGGGGGTCAGAGGTTGTGATGAGCCTGGATCACACCATTGCACTCCAGCCTGGGAGACGGAGCAAGACCCTGTCTCAAAGGAAAAAAAAAAAAAAAAAAAAGAACTTTAGGACCAATCCCTGGGGAGATGGTCACCTAGGTAATTCTGGACCTGTGGGGATAGCGACTGAAGACACGTGTGCACAGCATGGGCCAGTAACTTGGAGGAGCAAGGCTGTTTGCCCTCGGAGGCCCAGCTTGAGTCACCACCCTCAGGTAATAGCTCTTTCTAGCACCAAAATGACACTCATTAATAATTCACACTTCCTGGTTCTGTGTCTACAGCAGTTGGCTCTGGCTTTGGGTTTGTCATTTCAGGTCTCGGTGCAACAATTCTTCTGAACTGTCTTTGCAGGAAGACCTCATTTTTTTGCCCCCACTCCCTTATTTCCCCCCAGTTTTTTTCACTTAGGGGCCAATGAATCCAAGATTTCTTTGGAAAGAAAGGTGGAGGGAGGAATGCAGGATAGGTGTTTATGAGTCTGTGTGTAGGTGAGGGTGTGGCCAGGGTGTCACCTGAAGCACCCATTTGCAAACCCACAATTTCAAGTCTTGGGGTTGGCCTCCTAGCTGTTGCCTCCTCCTCATTCATCCCATCCCTCCAGCACTGTGAAGCAGCTGTGCTCGCAGTGGGTCAGGGGTAGGTCCTGGTTATTTGAGGCGAAGACAATTTCATTCCCCTTGGACACTTACTAGTTTGGTGATGTGCACTGACCTCGGGCCTAAGCCAATCATCTCAGGGACTCTGCTACTTGCGTGACAGACTGGGCAGGAGTGGGCACGTGACTTAGCTGGCACGTCACTGTGAAGTCTCTCCTTCTGCTTAGATGTGAAGGAAGAAACTTGCAGGCCCTGGAGTTCTGGCAGTCGTTTCACTTTTGAATGCACTGGGAGGGGCACCAACACATTACATTATCATTTATTCAGTCTATGGTAGATTATTTCCAAAGATAATCCCCCATAAATTCTCTGTATGATAATCCCTCATAAGGATTAGGAGTTCTCATAATCCCTCATAAGGATCCCTGTCTGTACATGGGATCCTCCCATCAAGGAGTGAAATCTACGTTCTTATCCCTTGAATCTAGGCTGGCCTTGGAATTTATATTCACCAGTAGAACATGGTAGAAGTCATATTCTTGGACTTCCAAACCCGGGCCTTACAGGCTGTATAGCGTCCACATTGACCCTCCTGAGCTGCCATGTAAAAAACTCAGGCTAGACCACTGAATGATGAGAAGCCAGAGAGAGACAGCAAGGCCGGCCTGCCCCCAGTGTTCTATCACCCTAGCTGAGACCCCAGCTGTGTGACTAGACCACAGGAAGCTTCCAGCCCCAGCTGACCCCCAGAAGAATGCAGCTGCAGGACAATCCCAGCCAACAACAGGTGGAGCAGAAGCACCATCGCACCAATTCCGCAGGGTCCTGAGAAATGGTAACCCACTCACTGCCGTTTCAGCTCCTGCACTCGCGGTCACTCGTGACACAGCCAAAAATAACTGACTCACAGGGTGTCTTAGTCTGCTCAGGCTGCTGTAACAAAATCCTTTAGATGGCTATTCATACACACAGAAGTTTGCTTCCCACAGTTCTGAAGGCTGAGAAATCCAAGATCAAGGTCCCAGCAGATCTGGCATCTGAGAAAAGTTCTCTGCTTCATAGAAGGCCTCTTCTAAGCATCTTCATATGGCAGAAAGGGCAAGCAGGCTCCCAAAAACCTCAGTTTTAAAGGGCACTAATCCCATTCCTAACCACCTCCCAAGGCCCCCACCTCTTAATATTTGGGATTAGGTATCAGGTATTTGGGATTAGGTTTCCACGTGTGAATTTGGGAGGACACCTTCAGACCATAGCACAGGGTGAGTTGGACTTTGTTTTTTAATAGCCCTGATTTTTTTTTCTTAGATTTACCGTGAAGATGCTGACATGTGTTAGAAACAGAAAATCCAGCTCATGTGGTTTAAACGGAGACGTCTCTCATAGCAGGAAATTCCAGGTGAGGGCAGCAGGATTTTGGTGAATTGCCTGGTTGTGCCACCAAGGACTCCTGCTCTTCTCATCTTCCCAGGCGGCCACCCCAGGGTGAAGATGCTCTTCCGGCCACCTTCTCTTATAAGTGCAAAGGGCTGCGGAGCACCAGGCATTGCATCCAGACAGGGAATGCAACATTCACCAGGGAAAAAGGAGCATTTCCTCTTTATGTTCCTGTAGGAGTGAGAAAACCTTTGCCAGACAACCCCCAGCAGGCTTCCTGTTGGGACTCATTGACTTGAGCTTGTTTGAAGCCAATTGTTGGAAAGAGAAATGGAGTTACCAAGATTTTCTCAAGAGACAGAGTTTACCCTTAGCCACACAGAGTGGATACCTGAACCAGCAAGGATAGAGAGGGCATGGCTGCTGCATTGTCAACCAACAGTATTCACAACAGAATGAAAAACAATTCACATTTACTACTGAATAAAGCAGACACTCCTGACAGACAGGCAGCCTTGATCTAGTGCCTTATACAACCTCTGATTGCGCCTCGACCCCAATCCCACAGTCACGGTTTACAAGGTAGAAGCTTAGTCAAAATCCGGCTTCAGCAGTCAGGGTTCTTGCAGGAAACTGAAGGTGTTCTTGGGAGGGGATTTGGAAGCGAGTTTGATGAAGGACTCTTTGTTGCGGTGTGGTCATGGTTCAAGGATCCTTCAAAGGGTGCTGCTATTTAGGGACCAGCAACAATGGCAGACCGACAACATGTCTCACCCTAAGAGGCTTGGGGGCGGGGAGAAGTTCTGTTCGTAGAGCCTAGAGGAGTTGTGCAATGGAAAGGGCACCCAGGAAGAATCGTAGCCACAGAGTGAAACCAACACTGGTGGGTGTGGGGCCAGGCCAGGAAGGAGAGGGGAAGAGGCCCCTGCCTCCCTCCTACCCGGTCTGCAGCAGGTTGTCCCTGTGGGTGAAGATCCACTGAGGGGGACCGCCAGCTTCCTGAGCACAGGGCAGGCCAGAGCAGGACAGGCTGGGATGGAAAATGAAGAATCAGTGCTTTAGCCGACAACAAATGGGAGCCGTTTACTGTTTAGTCACTATGATTAGTGTTCACTAGTACTCATTTCTCTTCGTCTAAAAAGTGGCCAACACCATCTCTTTTCCACAAGCACTCGGGAGAACATTCATATTCAATTGCCTTCCTAAGACCCAGACGGGGCAGCGCTCTCCACAGGCCACCAAAAGGTGTTGCCTGTTTGGTTTCATCAGTGATTATCTGTGGCAGCAAGACAGGAAGTTGGAAATCAAGTACCTCAATTAAGTCAAGGCTGACCGTGGAATTAGAGAACAAGTGTTTGTTACCCCGGCCAGGTCACCCTAGGGAAAACAGGCATTCTCCGGGATTGAAATGGTGGTGTTTGTGTGGTAAATAGTTCTCAGTCCAGTTCAAAGCCAGCAGCATTAAGGACACGCCACCGCCACCGGGAGCTGGAGACCAGGCGAAGCTGAGCTCCTCTGTGGTTCACCAACCCCTCAGGCCGCCTAAGTGTCTTCTGCTGTCGCAGCTTTGGGGACAGAGGGGTTTCGGAAACAGGGGCCTCTTGTCTGCACCCTCCCCTCCCACTGACAGGCTGGCAGCCCAGGGCAGCCACCTGAGGAGCGTCCCTGTGTCTCTCCATCTGCAGAGCAGGAAAAGCCTGCGGGTCGGTGGCGCCACGCTGGGGCGAGACCCAGCTTCGGCTCAGGAGATCTCCCACCCAGCCGGACTCCCGCTCTCTGCCCGCGGCCCCCTCCCACACTCCCACCTCGCCCCGCGATCTCACTGCCCCATCGAGGCTTCCGGGCGGAGGAGAAAAGTTTTCCGGCAGGAACCCGGGAAGGAAGCCCTGGGACCCTGGCTGAAACTCCGGGTTTCCCCAGTGCCGAGTCCCTTCCCCGCCGCGCCCAGCGCCTGCGCCCCGGGAGGCGGAAGCAACAGGGGGGTTCCTCCCCGCGGCCTCTGACCTCTGCCCTCTGCCCTCTGCCCCCAGGGTCTGGGGCCCGGGCGGAGGCGCGAGGGGGCAGGGCCGGCGCGCGGGTGCGAGCGCGGGTGTGGGCGCGGGGCCGGCGGGGGCTGCGGCCGCGGGGCGCATGCTCACTTGCGCCGGTGACGTGCGCGCCCGGAGCAGGGGCAGGAGCCAGCGGGGCCCGGAGGCTCCAGAGGGCGGCGGGCAGGGGAGGAGGAGACTCGGGAGGAGCAGAGCGCAGGCTCCGCCGCGGCCGGGGTGCTCCAGCCGAGCCCAACCGAGCGGGCGGACCGACGGGGAGAGAGAAGGCGCCAGAGCGCGCGCGCGCGGCCCCGAGCAGCAGCCTTGCCGCCAGTGGAGCAGCTGCCGACGCGCGGGGCCGCGGACCCAGCATTCGCCGGCCGGGCCGGGCATGAGCGCGGAGGGGCCGCGGCCGCCCCCTGCACCGCCCGGCGCGCCGAGGCCGTGACCGGAGCGGGGGGCGCGGCCGCACTAGTACCCCGGAGCCCATGGGCGCGCCGAGCCGGGCGCGGGGGCGCTGAACGGCGGAGCGGGAGCGGCCGGAGGAGCCATGGACTGCAGCCTCGTGCGGACGCTCGTGCACAGATACGTGAGTGCTCCCGGCGCGGGCTGGGGGACCCGGGGACCAGACAGACGCGGGCCGGCCCCGCAGCCCGGACCCTGTGGCCGGTCCAGCCCCGGGGTCCCGGGAGGTCTCCGATGTCTGGGACTCGGACCGCCCCCGGGGACGAGCGGGATGCTGGGGAGGGGCCTCGGAGTTGACACCCTGGGGCTTCCGACGGGGTCTAGGTGGGCACAGCGCGGGGCCCCAGCCCCGGGCGGCCACCTGCTCCCTGGCCGCGGCCGCCTGGCGCCCCCTTCCCGCCCGCAGCGCCCTGGGGGTCCCTCGGAGAGGCTGGCTGGGGTTCGAGCTGTCCCGGCGGACCGGGCGCCCGGAGGGAGCCAACTTCGACCCCGCCGGGGCCCGGGTCTGGGGAGGAACCTTCAGATGCGGCTTCCGCGCAGCCGTGTCTGTAAGATTAAGGGATTGGGAGGAAGCGTTACACTTCTGCAGAAAAAGGTAGCAATTGTGTTTGTTCTTTAACACCCCTGGGGGATTCAGAAGCGGAGTTTGGAATCTTTTTATTTTTTACCTTAAAGTAACCAATTAGATCAGAAGTCCGGGGTCTTCTTGGGTTCCTCTGGAATTTGCCCCTTCAGTGATAAGCAAGTGAAGAGCTCAGGAGGGAAGACTCGGAAGGGGAAAAGTTGATTTTGTTTTACACCAGAGGAGGGGAAACCGGAATCCCTGGCGTTAGGTGTAAAAAGGGGTGTGTGGCCGGGCGCGGTGGCTCACGCCTGTAATCCCAGCACTTTTGGAGGCCGAGGCGGGCGGATCACGAGGTCAGGAGTTTGAGACCAGCCGGACCGACATGGTGAAACCCCGTCTCTGCTAAAAAATACGAAAATTAGCCGGGCGTGGTGGTAGGCGCCTGGGATCCCAGCTACTCAGGAGGCTGAGGCAGGAGAATCGCTTGAACCCGGGAGGCGGTGGTTGCAATGAGCCGAGATCGAGCCACTGCACTCCAACCTGGGTGACAGAGCGAGACTCTGTATCAAAAAAAAAAAAAAAAAAGGGTGTGTGTGTGTGTGTGTGTGTGTAGGAGAGGAAGAAAACTGTCCCAAGCACAGCGTTTCCTGCCACTGTCTTGCACAAGAGGCTTCATTGTTCCATAGAGGCTGGCGGTCACTGGTCAATCACAGGTTCGAGAAGTCGCATGCACCGGGTTTGATACTAGAGAGGGCAGTATTATGGGAACTTTGTTCTTTCCCGGCATAGGAATTACCTCAGGCAGCCTTTCATATTTATGAGCCTTCTTTAAATAGGAGACCTTGGCCAAAGATAGATAGGTTTCTTTTCAGTGGGGGATGCCAGATCAATGCTTTCCCCCGGATTTATTTATTAACCAAAAACCTCGGAGAGTCAAGGAGACTTGAGTGCACCTTACATCGTTTCCTGATCTCGGGGAAGCCTTAGGAAGGTCAGCCTGACTTACTTAAGTGGAGAGAACTCACCCCTGGTGATTCTGATGATTCCGATGCTAGATCTTGAAAGGCTTGGCTCCAGGAGCCTTGTGTTACTCCCTCACTGGTGCTCGAGCCCCCAGTTCAAATCCTAATGTGAGTGGTAAACCTGTGTTTCACTGTGGTAACGTTATAGAAGACCCAATCACAGTGACTATAGGTAACCTGCAGTGTAAGAGAAATGCTTTATTGGGCGGAAGCTTCTGTTCTCAGTTGTGTCGCTCAGAAGTGTGGGTCCCTAGACACCTTATTTTCCTGCTTTGTTTCCTTCGAGCGAAATGGAAGAGGGAAGGGACTAACACTCACTTTGCCCGCGGTGTTCCCAGTTCATTCCGTTCCCTTCTAACACTCAGTGTTAAAAAGGAGGGTCACGTTGTGGGGCTAATGTGCAGCCTCTTTCCATAGAAATGAGAGATGGATGGGCCAGCCCGGCTCACCCTTTGGAGAATCCCCCCTTCCCAGCCGGTTTCTGACCCCTTCATCTTGGGAGGGGGACAGACAGACGTCCAATTTTGATGCTTGACTCCCTTTCTCCAGGCCTTCAGCTGTTTTCTGTTATATAGATCTATATAAGTGTTTGCGTAGCTTGCATTTTTAATTCCCCTTTGCTGTATTATTACGCTTATGGCATCACATTTTCTTTTAATCTAAGCGGTAAATATTCTTTAGTGAACTTTTCCAGCATATACATTATTGGATAACGTCTCGGGAATACGAGTTGTGGGATAATATTATTTCTGTTTTTCTCATTCCACCTGTGTTTTTTGCAGTGTATTCATCTGGCTACCTCACCCATATTTACACACAGAGCCATTCATCTCTATCATTTTAAGTTCATGTCTATGGTATTAAACTAATTTGACTTTTTCCAGAAACAGTCATGATCTGTTTTCTTGTAATTGCGTTATCGTCCACTATGTAGGACTAAATTATATTTCCTTTTGCTACAGAAAAAAGAGTCTGGGATTGAATACTCATATTTCCTCATGGTTTCCTTATGTGACTTACTTTATTAAAAAGGATAGATAAATAGACCCTGTTCCTTCTTGGTGTTCACATAGTCAGAATTCCTGGGACAAAGAAAGCTTTCCAGCTCCTTCTGATGTGTGAGGGTGGCTAAAAGATAAAGAAGTCCTTGGAAAACATTGCTGTAGGCATTTTATTGTGGATTAACCCTGGAGAGATAGCAGAGGCAAATGAGTGAGAGAACAGATGAAGGTTAGGCCAGGGTAGCCAGGTACTCCACACTGTGTGTTACTGGTGGTTTGGGTGTTTGGATGGACCGGAGCCATGCAGAGATACTTTGTATTTGTAAATGGTGCCGTGTTTGTATACCATGAGGAGTGCTTGTGCTTATGGGGTAGTGTATGCTCCCTGGGGTGATGTATGTGCTCTGGGGGGCGTGGGGAAAAGCGTGTGTGCCGTGGGGTAGTGTATGTGCTGTGGGGTAGTGTATGCTCCCTAGGGTGATGTATGTGCTGTCGGGGGCGTGAGGTGGTGTATGCTCTCTGGGGTGATGTATGAGCTGTGGGTACGGGGAGAGGGGACGGGGTGGAGAGTGTGTGTGCCGTGGGGTGGTGTATGTGCTGTGGGAGCCATGGGGTAGCGTGTGTGCCGTGGACTGGCGTATGTGTTGTGGAGTAGTGTATGTGCTATGGGGTAGCATATGAGCCATGGGGTAGTGCATGTGCCATGAGGTAGTTTGACCTCCATGACGTAACACTTTAAAAGCACTTCTAGGCCAGGCGCGGTGGCTCATGCCTGTAATCCCAGCACTTTGGGAGGCCGAGGTGGGTGGATCGCCTGACATCAGGAGTTCAAGACCAACCTGGCCAACATGGTGAAACCCTGTCTCTACTAAAAATACAAAAATTAGCCGGGCATGGTGGCGGGTGCCTGTAATCCCAGCTACTCAGAAGGCTGAGGCAGGAGAATTGCTTGAGCACAGAAGGCGGAGGTTGCAGTGAGCTGAGATCGCACCATTGCACTCCAGCCTGGGCAACAAGAGCGAAACTCGTCTCAAAATAAATAAGAGTATTTTTAACAGCATGGATGGAGAGCGAGTTCCATTTCCTCTTCAGAGCTGTAAGGTGAGCAACACCGATTCAGGTAGTTTAAGTTCCGAGAGGAACCAGGGCAGCCTCAGCGGGTAGCTTAGATACTTTTCTTAGATACTCTCTGGGCAGTGGCCTGAATGCTGAGTGGGAGCCTCCCTGCCCTTCTTAGCCATGTGGCCTTGGGCAAGTGGCTTAATTCCTTCTGCCTCAGTTTTCTCCTCTGAGGGTAAGAGCAGTACTCATTTCATAGCTATTGTGAGGGTTGAATGAGGTAATCTGGGTGGAGAGCCAAGAATGGGGAAGCTCTCAGTCCGTTTGTCATGCCTGGCTGTTAACATAGCTGAGTCCCTGGGTAGGGTTGGCTGGGGAGAGAGCAAACCTATGGGCTGCCAGTGCTGCTGCTCAGCTACCTGTGGGTCCCGGCCTGCTGGCGTCGTGGGTCACAGGAGAGGTAAACCGGGCACCCTGACACTGAGCATGGTGTGGAGCTCAGGTAGGATTCAGAAAGCTTTACACGCTGTGGTAAAACAGCCCTTGATCTCTGTAAGGCTGAGCATCCCGGCGTGGGCAGGATGCTTCCCTCCCTCTTCCCTTCCATGCCTCTATGTAGGGCATTTGATTTTTCTTCAGAGTTCTGTGGGTCAAGAACTCAGTCTTGTTATGGTCCTATAATCTTCTTTCAATGATTCAGCCCAGATATTCCTTGTTAGTTTTGTTCTTTTGCCTGTCAGAGCTTCTGCTTGTTTCTACCTTACCATTCTTGCTTCTTAACATTCTAAGATAGAAAACATTGAAGGATCTGAAGGATTTCCTTGCTGACAGTAGATAATTACTTTCAACACAAACTGTTATAAGTTTTTTTCTAAGAGAAAAATAAACATTTTTGCTTCCCGAGAACTTGAAGCAGTGCTATATTAGAGTGTGTTAAACCTTCTAGAAAGTCCAGCTATTTATATGCATGCATACATATCTGCTTCTTTTATTTATTACCGAATGGTGTATAATGTGAACATCAGTGTTCAACTGTGAGGTTGCCCCTTCTGAAAGACAGACTTATTTATTTAACTCAGTTATGCCAGCCCCTGTTTTAAAATTTTAGAAATGCCACATAATTTTGGAGTTTCTTTTCCTAATCCAGGATTAGACGATCCAGTGGGACCTTGCTGTTGTTCAGCTGCTGGAGTCTACACCACAGGAGCACTAAGTTAAGCTGCTTTAGCTGCCAAGGTCTTCAGGTATTTGAAATAAGTGAATCCTGAGGCATAGAATCCAAGACTAATAATCTGTCTCCAGCAGTGTGGTGGCAAGCCTGCAGTACAGACTCGTAAAGTGTTCATAATGAACAAATGTTTAACCAGGCAGCTCATCACACGAATTCACCAAGCACCCTTCTTGTCTTCAGGGCCTCGTGTCTTCCACCTGGACATTCTAAAGCAGTCTGCCCAGATGCATAATTTCACCTTTGTGTCTACACAAAGGTTGAATCATTTCCATTGCTTTTTGGAACCCTGTTGAATATCTGCTTATTAGGAACAAGCATCTTGAGGTGCTTTTATTTCTTGCCAGGGAGTGAATTTAATAACCTAGAGGGAAAAAAGTTTGTATTATTAGGTTTGGCTATAGTCAGCTAAATTTCTAGGGATAAGAACACTGTCTTCAGTTTACAATTAGTTAAAACTGTGTTGAATCCATGAATAAAAATACATAGTTGCTTAACTACACATGAAATCCTCTATTTACAGATGTATTAAACCCTAAAACCCAAAATACAAATTGTTCTCTGGTGCTTGGAGCATATGTTCAATAGAAACAGGGTTAATAAAAGATTCTCAAGTCCCAGACTTATCAATGTTTTTTTAACCAAGTTAAATGCTGGTAAAAATGCTATTTATTTGCAATAAAAATCAATAGCAAGCAAGTTTTACAGAGTAGAAATTCAAGAAGATCAGATAAGGGATGATTTTCTCTTTCACTTGGATATTATTATCTGAGAAGAACAAAATGGTACATCCCAGAGGTGCCGAGGTTAGGCGTCGGAGTCTGACAGACCCACATTCAAGTTCCGTCTCGGCTGACGGCTGCGTGGCCTTGGCAAGTTGGTTGCCCCCTGTACGCTTGGTGCCCCATCTGCAAGGTGGGGACTATGATGGTGCCCACCTGGTGGGTCTGTGCAGTGACGGGACAGGTCACGGCGCTCGTGCACGCTGGGTGCCCAGTGCACGGGGCGTCTTTGTTGCGCGCATGGACCTGCGGCTGCATCACCGTCCATGCTTCTGGGCTTCTTAAGGAGACCGCCTCTCACCTTGGGCTTTCCGGAACCTTCTCCCCGCACTCCTCTTCACGTGGAGAGTGGGTGACCTTGCCCTGCTCTCCCGGGGAGAGCGGTGGTCACTGGTGGGAACGCCCCTGCCACGCCCAGCAGCCTTTCTGCCTCTGCGCTTGCCTCCTCCGGTTGGAGCGAGTGACCCGTTCTGCCGAAGTCCAGTCCCGTGTGTGCTGCGGCCCCGTCTCTCTCCCTCTCTGAGTGACACTGTCTGCCCTGCTGCTTGCCGTCCCGCTGTTGGCACCGCTTTAGACCCCATATTTCCCAGCGGTCACCGTGCTCATTTTTGGCTTCCAGCTACCGTTTTTCTTAGGTTACCCCGCGTAGCTGGCCCGTCCTTCCTTCTCCTGTCTCTTCTGTGCCTACCGCGGGGGGTTCCCTTACCAAGGTCTCCATCACCCCCAGGCCCACCTCCCTCGGGCCCCTCTCTGCCCTTGCCCTCCACCTCAGCGACTCCGTGGGGCTTTTGTGATCCCAGCTGCAGTTAGCGAGCGCCCCTGTGTGCTCAGAGACACGCCAGTGAGCCGGGAAGGACAGAGACCCAAGTCCCATCCCTCTGGGGCCCCCTTGGAATGGGGGAGGCGAACAGGAAACCACCACAGTGAGTGTTGGGGTGCCCCGCAGGCGACGGTGCTGAGAAAAAGAGAGTGGGGTTGGGGGCAGTGCGTGCGCAGGCTGGCGGGTGGGCGAGGCGGGTGGAGGATGCGTGGGGCGCAGTGCTTGCGCGCAGTGGGTGGCGGGGTGGACGAGGTGAGGGCCTGGCCAGGTGGGTGCCTGCGTGTCCAGCCTGAGGGGCGGCCCACGCAGCAGCCTCTGGGAGCCCTGGGGCCTTCCGTGGGCTGCTTCCTGTGGCGTCCTGCGGGCTGGCCGCCCCTCGGTGGGCTCCGGTGCTGGCCTCTGCCTTCCCCAGGGCCACGGTGGGCTCCTAGTGGCCTTTCTTCCCTCTCCATCAACATCCTTGTCCCAGGAAGAGGCGTCCACTGCCTGCTACACGCCACCCAGCCGTGTTCATTTCCGTGTTCCAGTGTCACCCGTGTGCCTAGAACGTTCCTGGCACAGAAAAGCCACGCAGAAAACAGCTGCTGGGCCAACACCGAGACCCCAGGTCATTAGTGTTAATCAGAGTGATGAAGAGGTTGCCATTGGCAATTCGGAAGGGAATTCAGGGAGAGCAGCCGCAGTGCCCTGTCCCCAGAGCCTGGTGTCCAGAGCCAGAGTTCCGAGGGCCTCCTCATAGTTTTAAAACTCTTTATTTTATTTTTATTTTTTATTTTTGAGACAGAGTCTCACTGTGTTGCTCAGGCTGGAGTGCAGTGGCTTGATCTTGGCTCACTGCATCCTCTGCCTCCTAGGTGCAAGCAGTTCTCTTGCCTCAGACTCCTGAGTAGCTGGGATTTGTGCCACGACGCCCGGCCAGTTTTTTTTTTTTTTTTTTTTTTTTTTAGTAGAGATGGGGTTTCACCATATTGGCCAGGCTGGTCTCGAACTCCTGACCTCAGATGATCCGCCCACCTCTGCTTCCCAAAGTGCTGGGATTGCAGGTATGTGCCACCACGCCCAGCCCTGAAACTACTTTCATTTTAAAACGATGAGTTCCTAAGAACTAGACTCTGATCCCTGGAAACAACATGCCAACCTCTGGCATGCAGGACCTTTGCTTTCCAGGCAGGCATTTCCCAATTTTGTTAGATTCTCAAGGGAGCCCCTGCCCCTGCTAAAGTTAAGACTCCTGTGCTGGGACAGGCAGGCTCCTCTGATGTGGCTGCACGGGCGCACTCAGCAGCCTCGATACAATTTGAACTTCTTGCTGACATTTGAACACAGAGGACGGCACATACATCCCCACATTTCCCCACTTTTTTGGAAGTCTCGTGACTCCTGGCCTGCTGGTTTCCCGAGGACCGCTTCTGCTGGAGCGATGGCCACTTGGGGAGGGTCGGTGCTCTCCACTGGCCTGAGTTGCTGGGCCCATCACTGCTGCGTCGAAGCCTGAGACCACCCCACCCGGTCCCAAGGAGGACACAGGCTTTTCTGGTTTGGTTGAGACTTGCAGAGCCTAAAGAAAACTGCTGAGTTGTTTTTGCGAGTTACCTAATGGTGCTTTAGCTGCTGCATGCTTTTGTCCCATGGTGCGTTTGTTTGTAATTCACCACAGCTGTAATTGCAGCAGAGCCAGAGAGCTTTCTCCTTATTACATATCCTGAGAAGGAAGCCCTGGCAGCCCGACCTGAGAGAGGGTGATGTGGCTCACTCATGCAGGGATGCTGGGACATCAGGCTGGGAGTCAAGAGATGGAATTTTAGGCTTTCTCTGCCACCTTTTACCTTTGTAACTAGGGTTGATGTGTGAACCCTTTGGGCAGATTAATCATTAGTTGCCTCTTTAAACCAATCTTTTATTTATTTATCTTTATTTATTTATTTTTGAGACAAGGTCTCACTCTGTCACCCAGGCTGGAGTGGGTGCAGTGGCGCTATTTCGGCTCAGTGCAACCTCTACCTCTTGGGTTCAAGTGATTCTCATGCCTCAGCCTCCCAGGTAGCTTGGATTACAGGCGCCTGCCACCACGCCTGTCTCATTTTTTAATTTGTATTTTTAGTAGAGACAGGGTTTTGCTATGTTGGCAAGGCTGGTCTCGAACTCCTGACCTCAAATGATCCATCTGCCTCGGCCTCCCAAAGTACTGGCATTACAGGTGTCAGCCACCGCGCCTGGTCTTTAAACCAATCCTTTAAATCTTCTCCATTTTCAAAGTAGAGTGGGAAGAAACTGATTTTTCTATGAATAAAGATTGTGTAAGTCGTTCTTTCAAATGTGATTTGTGTTCACATTCAGAAATTTGTTAGTGACATATTTTCACTTATTTGCAAGTGCCTTTCCTTACAGTTTTTCTGCCACTCAACTCAGATGAGTTATTCTCAAGGATAAAGACCACTTAGATGAATATATTTTCAAATTCTTACTCTGAATGTGTTTAAGTAACCACCCTCTACCCCGTTTGGCAAAATGTTTCCCATTTTTCTGTGGTTTTTATTTTATTTTTTGTGGCTTTCAGAACCAGATCACTTCTTGGAAGGCATATTAGAAGTTTGCAGTTGAGACGATAAAATAAGTCACTTTTTCCTGGGAGGTGGTATTATGTCACACATCATTTGGTATCAAAATTTCCCCCGGCTGTGGCTGCAGAGTTGAAGGACATCAGCTGGCTGCGCTTGGGGTTGGTGGTCCGTTGTGAACTCTGCACCGTATAGTGTGTGTGCTTTATGTGCAAACGTTTTAACAAAGACAGGTTGCTGCGGGCAAGAAGGGTTTTAACTTCTGTTCGTGTTACTTCTGCTGAGTTGGAAGGAGCACATTTCACAGATGATGTCATTGGTGGAGGCCGAGCCTGCCAGCACCTTGTCTGCGTGTGCTTTGGCTGGACGATGGTCTACACTGGGCCCCTGTGCAGCCTCCTGCCGGGGAGCCTGTGTCCCACCTGGCTCTGCTCTGAGCCATTCATGTCGCCTCCAGTGGCAGCTGTAAAATGAAACTCATGGCCTTTGCTGTCTCTCTTGTCCTGGGTGGTGAGGATCAAATGAACCTTTATTAATGGACATGAAAATAACCTTGTAATTTCATACACTGAAATTACACTTTTCGTACGCTTTTCAATGTAACACATTGTAAAGCGCTGTAAAAATATCTCAGGAAAGGGCTGCCAATTTTTGTCACATCTCATGTGACAAAGGTAATTTTTTTTTTTTTTTTGGCTTGGAAAGGGAACGAAAATAAGATCATTTTTCCTGGTAGGAAGGTAAAAGATTTTAAAGAGAAGGTTTGTTACATGTGAAAAAAACGATTTGATCAAAGGCATAATTGGTTGAATTATGCATTCGACAAGGATGGAAATTACACGTTCAACAAAGATGTGAAGAGCGTGCAGCCTGGCAAGGCATCTCTGTCCTTAGCGTGCCCACCCCCAATACGGGAAGGGCAGGAGAGGCTGGCATGAGGCACCCGTGGTCCGTGCTGTGGGCACCTCCGGGAGGCAGCCTGGGACAGGCGGGTCCTGCTCCAGAGAGAGAAGGGGCTGCCGTCCGGCATGTCTGGGAGGCTGGGTCCTTCCTTCCCCAAGGGTTGTATCCACAGCCCCTCTCGATCCTCACAGCAGCCCTGTGAAGGAGCACTGTGCCATCCTGTGACAGGGCAGCCAGGTCTCATTGGCACTGGGTGCTGAGGGTGGTGGGTGGGCGCAGGCCTTGATGCCTGACTCTGACCTTGTTCTCCCCGGCGTGGTCTGCACCCTGTGAAGGGTGAGTGAACGCCCTCCTGGCCCAGTTCAGCCCCAGGTTGTGCCTGTTGTCCCCACATCGTTAATAATTATCCATAGCGTCCCCTTCACTCGCAGAAGCGTCCGAGCTTAGACAGCAGGTTCCACGGCCACTCCAACATGCGGTCTCAAACCCAGGGCCTGCAACTCCCGCCATGTGCCCCGTTCTGCTTGTCACCCGCCTCGCCCTGAGGAGCCTCCAGCTGCTTCAGGACTTGTCCCTGTGTCACACATCCAGGGCAGTTGTTCACTAGCATCCCCGCTACCCCTGAATCCATCTCCACGTGCGTGGGCTTGGACCTGCTTCTCTCGCCCACTTATCTGTGTATCTCTGAGTAGTGAGACTTCCACGTTAGCGCTGTGGGGAAGAGGCTGGGCTTGGCTCAGCTGCTGAGGGATCAGCCGACCCCAGGTCGCTGCGGCCCTTTCAGGAGGACGTTGGGGGGCAGGAGTGGCCGGCGGCCACCTGAGAATGGGAGTGGCACCCGAATATGTGGAATACACAGAAATTCGAGTCCGCCTGTGGCCGTCTCCACGGTCCTTTCTACCATGATTTCTCCATGTCCCCTGCAACAGCGACCCATCCCAGCCAGGAGAGGAGAACTCTGGGAGGTTGCCTGGCAGTTACAAGTGTGTTAAGTATTGTTGCTGCGTGCTTATCAGTTAGGCTCAGGCACAGCTACTAACTTCCAGGCATCTCGGCAGTGTCTGGCGTTTGGCAGTCAAGTTGTGTTTAGTTTTGACTTAAAGATTAAAAGGTTATAGAATACAGGAATAATCTACCTTTTGAAGGAAAACTTGCCAAGTTCGCCTGACCTTTGAAATGCCAAGAATCCCAGAGATGTTGAAGGAAGTGCCCAGAGGAAGATCTGGTCCACAGTGGGTATTCAGCACACTGATTTCTTTCCTATAAAAAATTATCTGTCAGGGCCGGGCGCGGTGGCTCATGCCTGTAATCGCAGCACTTTGGGAGGCCGAGGCGGGCGGATCACGAGGTCGGGAGATCGAGACCATCCTGGCTAACACGATGAAACCCCGTCTTTCCTAAAAATACAAAAAAATTAGCTGGGCGTGGTGGCGGGCGCCTGTAGTCCCAGCTACTCGGGAGGCTGAGGCAGGAGAATGGCGTGAACTGGGGAGGCGGAGCTTGCAGTGAGAGGAGATCGCGCCACTGCACTCCAGCCTGGGCGACAGAGCAGGCTGTCAACACATTTATAACCCCAGCAATGGACTGAGGTGTGAGTAGGTTCCGCGTCGCCCTTTTCCTCCCAGTGTTACCCCCGGCACTGTGCTTGTGTCTCGGCATCCTGTGGATGGGGCCTGCGGTTATCCAGCTGGTGGTTCATGAGCACACACATGCCTGAGGAGATGGATGGAGACAGGCGTTGCTAGTAGCAGTTCCTCCTCTTGTCACAGAGTGTGCAAAAACACTCTTAAGTACAGCCTGGTGCGATGGGTCAAGCCTGTAATCCCAGCACTTTGGGAGGCCGAGGCGGGTGGATCACCTGAGGTCAGGAGTTCGAGATCAGCCTGGCCAATGTGGAGAAATCCTGTCTCTACTACAAATACAAAAATTAGCTGGGCATCGTGGCGGGCACCTGTAATCCCACCTACTCGGGAGGCTGAGGCAGGAGAAGCGCTTGAACCCAGGAGGCAGAGGTTGCAGTGAGCCGAGATCGCACCTTTGCTCTCCAGCCTGGGCAACACAGTGAGATTCTGTCTCAAAAAAAAAAAAAAAAAGAAACCACTGTAAGTACAGACACCGTAGCAACCACACGGAGGCCCCCCGCCCCGCCCCCCGCGTGTTCCAGTGGGAAGCAGAGCCTCGGAAGGCGTGCACACGGGGGGTGCGTGATGGTGTCTCCCTCTGCCCTCAGATGGCCAGGCCTCGGGCCCGATGTGCCAGGGTGGGTTCTTGTGTTCCGCGGGCTTCTTGTCCCTTCTGTCTGCTGTGTTGTGCGTGCGTCTCTCTGGGTGGCCTTGGCCGGGCTTCTCTCTCTGTGAGACAGGCGCATCTCTCAGGGCTTTCTTCGTTCTGCTGATATCTATCCCCTCTCAGGACCACTCGGTTTCAAAAGCGGTAACTAAACTTGTCTAACACGTGTGCATGAGAGGAAGGCGGCCAGAGGCATGGGTCTGAGGGCTTTGCTTGAAGAGCGGGCGGTGTGCGTGTCTCGCAGCGCCCCCACCTCGGTGTCTCAGGGCCTTGCTGTCTTCCGCCTTTTTCCCAGCGTCTCACCAGCAAAGTGAGTTTATGAGAATCATGTTAACACACAGGCTTGATGATTGAGAAAGCAGATGCTGAGAATGTGACTATGGAATGAATAATTTTCATTATGAAAAACTGATACATTGTTTACGACATGATTCTCTGAGATGCTTGTTGCTGAGATTACAAACTTAAATGGTTTTATTGTTATGTAAGCACCTAGCATCTTAGTGTGGAGCTGAACAGGTACTGCCTGTGTTTCAGAGAGCTCAGCCGCTGTTACAGAATACTGCAGGCTGCATGGTTTACGCAATAGAAATTTATTTCTTGTAGCTCTTGAGGCTGGAAATCAGATCAGGGTGTCTGCATGGTGAGGTCTGGTGAGGGGCCCTCCTGGGGGGCAGGAGGCTGTGTCCTCCCAGAGGCGGGGAGAGAACTCTCTCTCTTCCTCCTCGTAACCACACACCAATCCTGTCTGATTAGGACACAGACCTCATGATCTCATCTAATCGTAAGTACCTCGTAAAGGCCCAATCTTCAGGTCCAATCACATTAGGGGTTAGGGCTTCAATATGAGATTTTTGAGGGGATCACAGTTCAGCCCACAGCAGTGTCCTGGTGACCGAGGCACTATTTAGATGGCGAATATTCAGACGGATCGGAAATGGCAAAGAGGACAGTCAGAAAAACACATTACGCCTTGTCTGTTGCTTTATGAAATAGATGACAGAAGCATGTTCCACGAAGTCTGGAAAGACAGAACGTAATTACTTAGTGAGAATGGGTTATTTTTTAAGTTGTGGAACAAAGTTAGGTAATTTGACCCTTCTTAGATGTAACAGACCGCAGTTCCCGTGGTTGGTTCGGATCTAAGGTTCTGTGTATTTATGTCTTCTTTTTGCTTTTTTTTTTCCCACTGGAGAAAGCTGGTAGGGGAGAGGTGGTTGGTATTAAAACAATGCTATAACATATTGTTTTGGTGTTTGCATTACAATCCAAACACACAGCATCTGGCTTATTGACAAGACAGATGTTAGGGTTTACATCACAAAACGGGATTGGGCCTGTCTGCTCAGTAAACTCAGAGGCTGCTGGATCATGATCTGGTTCTTCCAGTAAATGGAATTGCTTTTTGGAGCCCATACTCTGTTCACCTGCGTGTGTGGAGGAGGACGTCTTACCGTTGACAAAATTGGACCGTGCTAGTTGGAAGTTGCACTTGAAATGCAGGTCAGAACAATGGGATACGCTGGTCCTGCTGTCCCAGGCGGGGGAGTCACGGGAGGGCTCGAGTGCCACACCACCCACACGTCAGCCACCATGTGGGTTCCCAAGGCAAGCAGTGAGTTCCCAAGCCAGCTGTCGTCCACCTTTCTGGGTTAGTGTCTTTTTAAATAATCAAAGGTCTTTACCATCCATTAAGTACTGGCCCAGTTGTTGTACGCACAACTCAGAGGTGATTGTAGGTTGTGACTGCTCTCAGTCGGTAGTTAGGGTGGCCTCTGGCGATTGTTGGAGGAATTATGGGTACTTTGCGCTCTCTTTCACTGAAAATGCAAGGCCAAGTGGCTCCAGCACTCAGCAGAAACCATAACTGGTTTTGATGCTCTTGGGAGCCCAAGGCCACAGTGGCTGCTCTGCCCCCGCGTTGTCTTATCTGGAAAGGTCTGTGGGAGGCGAGGCTCTGACTGCGGCGTGCGTCTCAGGTTTGTATCTGGAGCACGTGAGAGTATGAGATGGGCTGGGGGTGTCCCCCTCCCTCTGTACTTGCTCAAGTACAGGAGCAGCTTGCCTGAGTCTGAGATGGGCTGGGGGTGTCCCCCACTCTCTGTACCTGCTCAGGGACAGGAGCAGCTCACCCATTTCCTTCATTCTTTCTGGCTTTGTTGCTCACCATTGCCTGGGAAGGAAGTGGCTGCCTAAATAATTAAATAATCTCCTGCTTCAGAGAAAAGAGGATTTCCTCCAACCTATTTTCAGCAAAGGATTAGGGACAATGAGGTCCTGCCAGTAGAATGCCATCTAGATTTTGGTGTGGTTTTCCAAGGTCTCAGATTGCCCACGAAGACATGGAAATGGCTTTCAGACCTCAGCGGGACCCCTGGTGTGGGGGATGGGAGGTTTGCAGGCAAATGGGACCACAGATTCTCCTTCACTTTCCGATAAAATGCCTCACAAACGTGGAATAACGGGCATCTCCTTTTCTCTCTAGAAAGTGCAGTGAGGTGACGTGATTTCACTCAGATAAATGGAGACAAACCATTAAAATATTAGGTAACCATCAAGTATACACGTGCTTTTTTGTTTTCAGTAATAAATGACTTTGGTATAAATCTGAAAGCAACATGTAAAAAGAAAGCTGGAGCGACTGTCATGGTGGCTGGAGTTTCCTTTTGTCCTCATTTCTGATGTTATTTAACTCCTTTTACCATTTCTCGGATGTAATGTGGAAACAAAATGTGCAGGCCCTCGGCAGCGAATGACACGTAGAGAGGGAAACCCTGGGATTCTCGTAGGGGAGGGTGTGTGATGTCCTCAGCACGCGGGGGTGCTCAGCAGTTGATGTTCATCCCGCACGCACTGAGCAGCTGCTGTATGCGCTGAAGATTCTGTGGGGAGCAAGAGGTACAGGCGCCCCAGCTCTCCTGGAGACTGGGCAAGGATGGAAGGCACATGGCATGTAGCACACCCGCTGTGAGGAGGCGCCAGGGACAAAATGAGAAGGGAAGGGTGTCCGGGACGGGGCATGGAGGACGGGAAGCCGGCAGGGACCATCAGAGGACAGCTCCAGGCAGAGGAAGCCCCCCAGGAGGGATGAGCAGAGGCCTAGTCTGAGACCTAAGCAGGTGTCGACTGCCCCTTTAGTTTTCTTGCTCACAATACAGAATGTATGTGTTGCTTTTCAATAGTGTTTTAAGCTTGTTTAATATTATACGGCCAAAGGAGGAAAATGTTACATAGTAGGTAAATTTGGATGATTTTTAACATTATAAAGATGTATTGCTTTATTGAACGAATATACAATACATTGATTTATAGGTAATTTTTTTATTGTGGCAAAACATACATAAACTTTACCATCTTGTCCATTGTGAAGCGTACAGTTCCATGGCGTTAAATACACTCAGTGCTGTACGATCATCACCGCCAGGTACTTCCAGATCTTTTTCATCATCCCAAACTGAAACTGATTAGGGGCAATTTTAAGTAGTTTCTGCATCTACTATTGTGTAGCTTGCTTTTTGGGCAACACTCTTTTTTTTCATCAGTGAAAGAGATCTTAACGGGTGAAGAGAAGACATTGAAACACAAGTGCTAGTTACGTTTAAATGCAGGATGGACCGAGATAGGAGGATTTTTTTCTTTTAAATAATTGGCCATAGTAAAAGGTAAAAAGGTAAA
The DNA here is from genome assembly GCF_000001405.40 of Homo sapiens. NCBI lineage: Eukaryota > Metazoa > Chordata > Mammalia > Primates > Hominidae > Homo > Homo sapiens. The sequence goes on from NC_000013.11 coordinate 112,706,234, forward strand.
AACTTGAATGTGAGGACTCATTTGCACTTCATATTTTGCTTAATATGCTGAGAGCTGCAAGAGAGGAGGATCTGGTGTTTCATCTTAGAGCAAATCATACTTGATAGTAAGAGACAGAAAGTCATAAAAGCGTGATGTTCAGCAGGCAGGACATTTAAATCATACAGCTCATAATGATGTTAGTTGATGGTGTTACATGGTTCCATGGCTTTTTCCTAAGTGTGTTTATAAGAAATTGGAACGAGGATGTTTTCTGTGGCATTTTCTTCCAGGAGCTCGGTTCTGCTAATTGCTTGGTTTGAATAAGTGCTCTCTTTCCAGTTGGTCTATAACATTTCTTTTACTATCTAAGAAATTATGAAGAAATAGATTGATTAATTTGAAAATTACATTTAAGAGTATTTTCCTGTAAAATTGTTGGTTCTGTGAAAAACAATTCCTGTTATTTCTTCTCTAAATACAATGAGAATTTTTTTTGTTCTTATATTGAAATAGCTCTTTGATTTCCTAAATTGCTGTGCTGCTTTTTAAAGGACGGCATGGTTTCAGAAGCTATTAGGTTGGTGCAAATGTATTTGCGGTTTTTGCATTGTTGAAATTTGCTGTTTGATATTGGAATACACTCTTAAATCAATGTGGTTATGCCACACATCATTTTAATGTGAATTTCTCACTTTATGCTTTTTTGCGACTGAGTTATTACTTGCCGTTTAAGTTTATTTTAGACTGTGGAAAAGACGTTAGACAAAAAGCAAATTCGAGCGATTTTCTTATTCGAGTTAAGAATGGGTTGTAAAGCAGTGGAGACAACTCGGCAACATCAGCACCACATTGGGCCCAGGAGCCGCTGGGAACCACTAAACGAGCATACAGTGCAGTGCTGGGTCAAGAAGTTTTACAGGCTGGGCGTGGTGGCTCACACCTGTAATCCCAGCACTTTGGGAGGCCGAGGCAGATGGATCACCTGAGGTCAGGCGTTTGAGACCAGCCTGGCCAACATGGTGAAACCTTGTCTCTACCAAAAATACATAATTAGCCCTGTGTGGTGGCACACGCCTGTAATCCCACCTACTCAGGAGGCTGAGGCAGGAGACTTGCTTGAACCCAGGAGACAGAGGTTGCAGTGAGCTAAGATCACACCATTGCACTCCAGCCTGGGCAATAAGAGTGAAATTCTGTCTCAAAAAAAAAAAAAAAAAAAGAAGAAGAAGTTTTGCAGAGGAGACGAGGGCCTTGAAGGTGAGGAGCGTAGTGGCCAGCCTTTGGAAGTTGACAACGACCAACTGAGAGCAGTCATTGAAGCCGATCCTCTTAAAACTACACGAGAAGCTGCTGAAGAACTCAATGTAGCCATTCCACAGTCGACCGGCATTTGACGCAAATTAAAAAGGTGAAAAAGCTCGGTAAGTGGGTGCCTCATGAGCTGAGCGAGAATCAAAAAAATTGTGATTTTGAAGTGTCATCTTCTCTTATTCTACACAACAAAAACAAACCATTTCTCGATCAGATTGTAACGTGCGCCGAAAAGTGGATCTTATATGACAACCAGTGACAACCGGCTCAGTGGTTGGACCGAGAAGCTCCAAAGCACTTCCCAAAGCCAAACTTGCACCAAAAAAAGGTCCTGGTCACTGTCTGGTGGCCTGTGCCGGTCTGATCCACCACAACTTTCTGAATCTCCACAAAACCATTACATCTTGAGAAGTATGCTCAGCAAATCCATGAGACGCTTTGAAAACTACAACGCCTGCAGCCGGCATTGGTCAACAGGAAGGGCCCAATTCTTCTCCATGACAAAGCCCAACCGCACGTCACGCAACCAACACTTCAAAAGTGGAAAAATTGGGCTGCGAAGTTTTGCCTCATCCGCCATATTCACCTGACCTCTCACCAACCAGCTACCACTTCAAGCATCTCGACAACTTTTACAGGGAAAACGCTTCCACAACCAGCAGGATGCAGAAAATGCTTTCCAAGAGTTTGTCGAATCCCAAAGCCTGATTTTTATGCTACAGGAATAAACAAACTTATTTCTCGTTGGCAAAAATGTGTTGATTGTAATGGTTACTATTTTGGTTAATAAAGATGTGTTTGAGCCTAGTTATAATGATTTAAAATTCACGGTCCGAAACCGTAATTACCTTTGTACCAACCTAAGTCCCCTTATTATTAGTAAGAAACTTAATTGTAAAATGGAGTAATTATATATTTTACATCGTTAGACTCATTTAAAAACCGCAAGTATAGCATGAAATTGACTAGAAACCCTATTTGTCAGGTAATCTTCGCAGTTGACAGAAAAGTAAAACGTAAAAGGAGTATTAATGGCTTTTCCTTAGCACCCTCACTCACAATTTTAGTTCATTAAAAAATGGGTTGATATTGATTTCTATCAACATGTCACCCTTGCAAACCTCAGAGCGACTGAGTCTGATGGACAGTTTCTCGGCTTCCCTGGCTGTCACTCAGATGTGGCCTCTCACTGTGGGCCCCACGTGGGCTGCGTGTGGCCCTGTGAGTTGGTCCCACCCCTGCCCGACAAGCCTGTAGCTTTGGTCGTCTTCCAACGAGTGGCTCTCCCGCCTGTGTTTTGAACTCATGGAGGGGGAGGGGGAGTTTGTGCAGAGAATCTAGGATCATGTGCATCTGATTTTATGTTTTTAATGGGCCTGGCCAAGGAAGAGAGAGTGATTTGGTTCCTGTCTTAACTTGAAGACCCTCTGGGGCAGGCACATGTTCCAGGGTAGACTCCGGGAGGGATGGGTGTGATGTGTCTGTAGGGTTCCAGGCGGGAAGGGGAGTGCCGGAAGCAGGTCTGGGAGGGGGAATTGGGTGTCCCCAGCCAGCCTGTCTCAGGGGCCCATGTGGGACTCTTGGCCAGCCCTCTGTGCCCCTCCTGGCTGTGTCTTCAGGACTAAGCTCTGATTTTTTTTTAAATTTACCCAAATTCCTTTCTAAGGGGTCTGGGGAGTCATGCCCTACAAATCATAAATTCTCATCAGATGGGTTTTATTTAACCCTGTATATCATGACTTACTTTCCAATCTGACTCTGGCATAACAAGGAAGAAAATCAAAATGTTTTACCCCAAAATATATTTCCTTGTCATACCTTGAAATTGCCCTGCAAGGTCACTTGTGGGAAAAATCCACATTCTGTAGAGAATCCTCTTCCCCCTTTGTTTTCCTTCTTTCCTTTCCAGGTCCAGGCAATAATCAACTAAGATCCAGGCACCCTTTTAAGTCTGATAAAAAGCAATTTACAACCTGCCTTCTCTGAAGTCCGCTATCTAAGAGCTTCCTCTGCACAATAAAACTTGGTCTCCACAATCCTTTATCTTAACCTGAACATTTCCTTTCTGTCATCCCAGGTCTTCAGATAAACTCAACCAATTGTCAACCAGAAGATGTTTAAATTTACCTATAGCCTGGAAGCCCCTCGCTTTGAGTTGTCTCGCCTTTCTGAACCAAACCAATGTATTTCTTAAATGTATTTAAGTCTCATGCCTCCCTAAAATGTATAAAACCAAGCTGCGCCCGACCACCTTGGACACATGTTCTCAGGACATCCTGAGGGTTGTGCCACTCATATTTGGCTCAGAATAAATCTCTTCAGATATTTTACAGAGTTTGACTCTTGTTGTCAACTGTCTGCAAATAGGAGCTGCGCCCATGAGGGCATAGCCCAGTTAGGCCGCGCTGCTCCCTGCTGCTGACCAGCCCCTGTTGGAGCTGATGCTGCCCACATCCCACAGCTGAGAGCAAGGGTCTCAACAGCACAGGTCCTCTGCCTGCACTCTGCCCTGGAGCTGGGCATCAGCCATGGTGAGGGCCTGGAACTGCGTGACACCCGGGTGTCAGGCGGCCACTCTCAGCATCCACATTCCCTCAGCATCACGGGGAGGCCGGCTGCAGTCGGGAATCACGAGTGTCATCCATGTGGTCCTCCCTCTTTGCAGACGTGTGTGTGGCCGTGGTGTTTAAGTTGTGTCTGCTGCCTTGGGGGCCCTTTGGAAAGGCTCTTTCTCACAAAGAATGCATCGTGTTCGCAAAGCCAGCTCATGCCTCCTAATGTAAACTCAAAACCCAATTCACCCCTAAGCAAGTGGCCCACACCGTGTGTGACTGGAAAAATCAGTGTTTCCCGACAGGATGTGACAAATGGGGCTGTAGCAGGGCAGGGCCGCTCCCCAGAAAACAAGCGCCCCAGGTTTTCCCTTCTCCTGTACCACTGCCCTGGAAGAGTTCTACCCATGAGGGCCCTTGGAGCCATCTCGACTAGAACGTTAACAGGAAGGAAGGAGCCTGCGGGAGAAGACAGGGCTCCAGGAGGCGGCGGAGGCCTCTGTGGTGGCCAAGCAGGCCCCGCAGGGCTGAGCTGCTGGGTTTTCCTGGGCCTGGGCTGCTCTCTGGTTCCAGGGAGGGGTTGTAACACTCCCGGCAGAGCTGTCTCATGGGGAGGGCGTTCACAGGTGGTGAGTGTGGACAGTGAGGGGAAGACCAGTTCCAGTCTTTGGCAAATGCTGATAGTAATGAAAATCATTTTAAAAATCATAACAGGGCAGACAAGTCACAGCTCTGGTTGGTCTTCACCTGCCGTCACTATCATCCCTGCAGGGAGAGAAGGTTCGGCTCCCTGGGGCTCTCCCAGCCCCGCGTCATGTGAGGGGGCACTAGTCACAGTGCGGGAGGCTTCAGAGCGGAGGGCAGGGCCCCTGCCAACCACCCGGAGCCACCCACCCACCCACCCACCGCTGTTTGAAGCAGGGACTCGGTTCTCAAAGTGCCGGGGTCAGAGGTCACCAGAGGCTGCTGAAATCAGGGTTGGAGGGCTGGCATGTTCGTATTTGGGGGAAGGAGGCAGGATCCCAGGGGACCCGTCCTGCGTGCTGACACTTTACCACGAGGCAGCTGGGCCGCGTGCGGCTCTTCCGACTTTTCATCATGCTTCCTGAGCCAGAGCCATTTAAAAAAAAATGCTGAAATTTAGAAGGTAGTATTCGCTCTAAAATTTTGTCGCTTAAAAAAGTGGCTTGAAGTATTCAGCAGGAAAATTGTCCCAAATTACTTGTTAAAACTAAAAGCTGGGCCAGGTGTGGTGATGCACACCTGTGGTCCCATCTACTTGAGAGGCCGAGGTGGGAGGATCAGATCCCCTGAGCCCAGGAGTTCGAAGCCAACCTGGGCAACATAGCAAGACCCTGTCTCTGATACATACGTAAATAAAATAAAAGTTAAAACTCAAAGGGGAGGAACCTGAGATCCAATTTTAAATCCACCTGATGAGAAAAAAAAAAAAGCAGCCCAGGGACGTCACCGTAAACAGGCACCGCATCCACCAGGGGTCAGGAGTCAGGTCAGGGCTCTGGACTGGGAGGGGCACTGCAGGGACATCCCGTCAGCGGGCACCGTGCGTTGAGCCAGGGGTCAGGGCTTTGGACCGGGCAAGACTCTGTTTTGCTTCCATTTTTTAAGCCTCTGGAAGTCCTGGCTGTTCAGAATTCCAGGCTTGAATTGCTAGTGTTCCCGGGACTGGGAAACAGCCCGGATGTGTGGAGTAAGAGGCAGCTCTTGGATTGCTGTGAACGTAGGGGAGCAAGGCTCCACGCCCTCTCCCAGCCTCTCTGCCTTCTGAATACAGCCCAGGAGCCTGGATGACTCACTTTCTGGAGCACATAGATAAGGAGCGGGTGGAGGGGAGAGGCCTTAGTTAATTAACATTCCTAGGAATCTGAGGCTCCTTCTCCCAGCCCTGTTGTCTGGGTAGCAACGTGCTGAACCCAGAGTGAGAACAGCTGGCTGCAGTGTCAGGGGCAGGACCTTTTGTCGATGAGTTTAAAAAACAAAGCAGAAGCTGCCAGGTGCCTCCTTCGCATGTTGGCTCCCACGTGTTTTCCCCGTTCTCCCTCCCCACCCTGAGTGACACACGCTATGCTGCTTGAAAATAGCACAGATGCATTTTGCTTCACGGTGAAATGTGGCCGGTAGTTCCCCAGGAGTAAACAATGTGGTGGTGCCCACGGGGGAAGAGCAGCTTAATTATGCACCCAGCCCCGCATACAAAACGCTCCCTCCATGGTTAGAATTTGCTGGGGCTAAGGGAGTCAGGGCTGGTTTTCTCCAGCAGCCTTGGAGCTAGGTGGTGTCATTTAAATGGCCCTCAAAGCCCTACCTGGATGTCTTCATTGTGCCACACCAGCCTTTATCCAAGCTCACTGGGCCCCACAGTGTGGCTGATAGTGAGGGTCTGGGGGTGGGGGATCGTGAGGTGAGGGACAGCAACCCCGTCCTGTCCTTGTCTAGGCCTCTGAGACAGGCCCGAAGGACAGGCTTTTCTCTCTACTGTGGGTGATGGTCCCGGCTGGTCAGCTAGCGTCCACAGCCCCTCGACTCCCTGCGCAGAGCCCCTCTCACTGGACCGGCGTCAGTGCCCCACAGAGACTGGAAACCTGTTTCCAAGGTGTGGCTCTATGGCCGGACCACAGTCGGTGAGGTGAGGGCCAGTTCCAGCCAGGGTGCCACCTCTGCCTTTTCTTATGTCCACTGGAAAAAATAAAGAGGGTGTTTGTCATCCCCTGTCTTTTGGGACTCGGGGTTCAGTGCAGGCCAGGGGAGGTTGTGTCTCTGGTGTTTGCTGAACACAAAGCGTATGAAAGTGGTAACACCTCGGAGGTGAGGGCTTTCTTTTTATAGCAGCCATGCTGGAACTCAGTGTCTGAGGAGACCTAGAGTATTTGTTTGAATGTTTGAAAGAGACGTATCTGGTTAATGTGAGCAGAGGCTTGGAAATTTAGAGCACGCTCGACTGTATTTCAGTAGACTTATGACAGCAGCTACACATCCATCCATTTTAGCATTCTCAGAGTATTCTAAAACATGGAGGGCTGGGCACGGTGGCTCACACCTGGAATCCCAGCACTTTGGGAGGCTGAGGCAGGCGGATCACAAGGTCAGGAGTTTGAGACCGGCCTGGCCAACATGGTGAAACCCCGTCTCTACTAAAAATACAAAAATTTGCTGGGCATGGTGGTGGGCGCCTGTAATCCCAGCTACTCAGGAGGCTGAGACAGGAGAATTGCTTGAACCTGGGAGGCGGAGGTTGCAGTGAGCCAAGATCATGCCATTGCACTTTAGCCTGGGTGACAGAGCAAGACTCCGTCTCTAAAAAAAATAAATAAAAACATGGAGTTCACAAAGTGGCATGAATAATCATGAAACGAAGTGACTTCAAAGTGTAATGGTTCTCATGCATGTAAGAATTCATGTTATTAAACAAGTATAAATAAAAAAATTGTGCACTGCATAAGTGACAGATAGTTTTGTAGTATTTGTTAAAGTGCCATCATAGCCGCCTGTGAAAGAGGTCTCAGTAGGTGTCTGATTCTTGTTTAATGCCACAGCTTCTGAGACTCCATTTGTTTCAGGCAGAGTGGACATTTCACTCGCGGTTTAATTTGCGGGAAGATCACATTCTGGCCGTTTAATCTTCTGATGACAGACAGCTAACTGTTGATAAGGATAAAATGAAACCAGACATCGGTTTGCATGTGTCCAGTTGAGGGGAAAAAGGCCGAGGATGCTGTCAGGACGCAGGCAGGCAACCTATTTAGGATGGGGAGTAGCAGTTCAGAGGGTGTAGCTTCCATTCCTGGCCCCAGCCTCCCTTCCACTCCTCCCACCCCTGATCCCAGCCTCCCTTCCATTCTTCCCACCCCAGATCCCACGCCTCCCTTCCCACCCAGCTTCCATTCCTGGCCCCAGTCTCCCTTCCACTCCCCCCCACCCCTGATCCCACACCTCCCTTTCACTCCCCCGACCCCTGATCCCACGCCTCCCTTCCACTCCCCCGACCCCTGGTCCCAGCCTCCCTTCCACTCCCCGCACCCCTGATCCCACAACTCCCTTCCACTCCTCCCACCCGGCTTCCTTTCCTGGCCCCACGTCTACTGGAATTCCACTCCTCCCAGCTGTCTTGCACCCGCTCTCTTTCCCCTTGTTTTCTCTTTTCCTTCCCAATTAGCACCGATTTTCCTTCCCCGATTAGCACCTCCCGCTGCCGCTCCAGCTGTGTTCTCCATCTCCTGGTCTGGGGTGTTCCGCTGCAGCCACAGGACCCCACTGTGGGAACCCACGTCTCTGCAGGGAAATGTTTACGGTGACTTTCCTATGTGTGTGGCTGGCTCGTCAGGGAGCGGTGTGGAGGAGACCTGAAGGACAGCCCTTCCCCTTCCCTTTCTCCCTCCTCACTCCCCGAACCCTGCCCAGCTCTGGGCCTCCCCAGGGCTGAGGAGAGGTGGCGTCTCCACTCCTGACCTGGAGGCCCGTCTGGCTTCTGGCTCCAGCCCCCTCTGCTGCCTTCTTTGTGTGTCTGTGATGGAATACGCGTTCTGCGTGATGAGACTGTTATGGAGACGCAAGAGAATGTGAAGGTGAAGCTTCTCGACCTTGGGCTGGAGCGGGTGGGGTGCTGAGAGCACCGAGAGCCCCTTGCCACCTCGGCTTCTGGCAGGTCAGTGAGGCCACTGTGGATCAGGCTTTTAAGATCATGGGAAAACACACATAACAAACATGCAACATCTTGTCTAGATTTATGTGCACAGTTCAGTGCTTTAGCACGTTCACCTTGTGTCACCATCACCACTGCCCCCCCGCAGAACTTCCGCTTCTTCCCAAACTGAAACTCCGTCCCGCTTAAATTCTCTCCTCCTTCCCCCTTCCCGTAGACCCTGGCAGCCCCATTCAACTTTCTGTCTCTAGGTATTTGTCAGCTCAAATGAGTGACTCACACAGGATTTGTCCTTTTGTGACCAGCTCATTTCACTCAGCACAAAGTCCACAAGGGTCCCTGTGTTGTAGCCTGTATGACTCCGCCGTTCCTTTGCATGGATATACCACGTTTTGCTCACACATTCACCTGTTGAAGGACACTTGGGTTGTTTCCTGCGGCAGCTTTTCCTGACCGAAAGCTTCTCAAAAGGACTAGCCCCCTCAGGTGCCCCAAACTCGATTGCAGAAGACTGTGTTGTCACCTGCCTGCTTCTACAGAGAGGCACCAACCTGGGGTGACATGTGCACTCTTGGCTTTGTAGTGTCCTGGCCCATCCCCGGTACCTGGCCAATCCCCTACACCTGGCCCACCTCCCCACACCTGGCCGATCCCCCCACACCTGGCCCACCTCCCCACACCTGGCCCACCTCCCCACACCTGGCCCACCTCCCCACACCTGGCCCATCCCCCACACCTGGCCCATCCCCGTACCTGGCCCATCCCCTGCACCTGGCCGATCCCCACCCTTCACTTGGCTGAGGCCCCCCCCCACCTGCCTGATCCTCCCCACCTGGCTGATCCTCCCTACCTGGCTGATCCCCCCACCTGGTCACACTGCCCCTCCTCCCCAGAGGGTTGCCCCTCTGTATTTACAGTTGATTAAAATCTTACTTTCTCTGGGAATTCTTTACAGATTAATCTTCTTCCAAAGACAACCCTAACCTGTGCCTTTTCAGCAGTTGTGCTATTTTGCAGGACGAATTCGCACCTGTTTCTGTGTTGCTCTGTGATCATTCCCAAGTGGCTTGGGCTTGGAGCCCTGTTGCTCACACCTCTGGGGGCCGGGGAAGGTGTTTGCCAGAGAGACAGAGTGTATGGCCTTGAGGGCACCTTCTCCTTAGAAATCCGATCCCATTCCTTTCCCCTTCTCCCACTAAGGGCTCTCTGAGGGATGGTAGTGGCTGGGTGTGGAATTGGGTTTTGCTTTGCTTTCTCTCCCCAGCAGCTCTGGGCAGGCTGGCTCTGTGGGGGCCTGGGGGTGGCTCCTGCCTGGACTTTGAGAATTGGAGAGGCTTGGAGCTCATTCTCAGTGGAGTTCCCGGTGGCTGCTCCGTCTTCTGAGCCTGGTCCTCTGGCCTTCTGCAGATGCTGGGAGCCACAGCACCCTGTGATAGACCTTTTGCCAGAGCTCCCATGAGAAGCATCCACCGTGGTGGGGCCAAGTCCCTAGGCCCCAGGCATTCCCCATCTGGTGGGAAGTGGGGGCTTTAGCAAGTCGCATCTCTCTCTGCCCCTCCTGGTGAGCTCTGCTCCGACAGCTGTGGGAACCCGTGGGAATGCCCACCTAGGTGCGTGTGGCCTGGCGTCTCCCCAGATTCACTTCCTAGTTTTTCACTTCACGTGGCCCAGACACTCAGAAGGAACCACCAACCCAGTGGTCTGTGGTGGCTCTGGGGGCCTGTGGGGGCCACCACCTCTAGTCTCCTGGTAGGCATCCCCTCCGCCTCTGGGAGGACGGGAGCCGGGACAGAGGGGGCAAGGAGGCCTCCTGGGACTGGGGCGTTCCCCACCTTCCACTGTGCCGGTCTTCATGCAGGGCCAGAGCCTGGCTCGGGGCTGGGTTTGCACTGAGCCAGGTCCTGACTCTCACCCATGTCTTGGGCACGTCGATGGGGCCGGGCCGCTGGAGAGGGTGTGAGAGCAGGTTCCTCCCCAGGTCTCAGCCAGTGACGGGGCCCATCCTGGACTTGGGGGCTCTGCGTGAGTGGGGCAGTGGCAGCTCCTGCAGGGCCCAGGTGGGGTGTGGGTAGGTCGGGGAGGCTGCTGGCCTCCCAGCCTCCCTCAATTTCTGCGTTCTAAAGATGGCTATGTGCAAAATAAAGGTGAAATGATGGGGCAGTACTGGATCAGGTGGACATCCGGGAGCTGGAGGCCCGTGCACTTTCCCTGGGACGGGCAGAGGCTTGTGGTGTCCACCCACAGACGCAGACCCACTGGCCTGCAGGGCCCATAGAGGCTGTTGTTGGCCCTGGTGATGAGTGGGGGACACGAGTATGTTCTGAAATGAGGGGGAGGCTTCTGTTGTGACCTTGACCAGGAAGAGAAAGAGAAGCCAGGAGGAGAGCAGACACGCTTCCGCCTTGAGGACGGCACTTGTTCAAGTGTAAAGAACGGAACAATCGGGACAAAATTTAAAATGCAAATATGGTCTCATTTATTTGTAATAAAAGGCTGCTGGAAAGTAGGTGCAGGAGTGGCCCAGGTTAGCATAATACTTTTTCTCCTAATCACATCCAACTTGTTTTTCTACTCTTATTTCAGAACATGCCCCCCCGCCATCCCAGGAGAAGCAGCAGCTCTCTGCCTCCTTGACTGAGCTCCATTACCTCCAAGCTGAGAGGGTTGTTCAAGAGGGCGTGTGGGATTCTTTTGAAAACACATTTTTAGAAAGCACCCTTTTAACAACTGAACATGATTTGGTTGAAAATAAACATCCCCGGGTACTCTTGTGGTACATGTTTATGATTTTGATGCTTCTGGTCTGAATGTACAACCTTCACATTGTACATTACAAACACTACTGTCAAGTTTATAGATTTTCATTTTATTTGCTAATTCATTTTTCAGTTCTCTGCACTGCTTGTAAATCAGGCAAACCTGATAAACTGTCTAAACATATGATGATACTGAATTGATTAAGTTATGGTCGTAGGTGAGAAAACAGTACATGTTGTGTGATGCCATTCCGAAAAAGTTTCAAACACACATCTGTGCATTAGAAATGATTGCCACGTGGCCAGGCACGGCGGCTCACGCCTGTAACCCCAGCACTTTGGGAGACCGAGGTGGGTGGATCACCTGAGGTCAGGAGTTTGAGACCAGCCTGACCAACATGGTGAAACCCCATCTCTACTAAAAATACAAAAATTAGCTGAGCGTGGTGGTGCATGCCTGTAATCCCAGCTACTCGGGAGCCGAGTCAGGAGAATCACTTGAACCCAGGAGGCAGAGGTTGCAGTGAGCCAAGATTGCACCACTGCACTGCAGCCTGAGTGACAAGAGGGAAACTCCATCTCAAAAAATTAATAAATAAATAAATGATTGCCACCGCCCCCTGCCCCCCACCCCGCCAAGGCGTGAACAGGAGTTGTCTCTCCCCCTTTGCTGTGTGATAGTCTTTTTGCTTGAATTTATTTTGCTTTTCCGTAAAGAACACTCATTGCTTTTACCATTGGATAAAAAGCATAAAAACAATATAGATATTAAAAGCACCTGGATTTTTTTGACGCTTTAACAATTTTAAATTTCTTTTCAGGTGACAATGTTCAACTCTGCTTTTTGTTTGTGCTCATGAAATTTTATTTGTTAGCCAGCCAAAGCCAAGTGTTTCCAGTTAAATTTACAACTCTTCTGTCTGTTCCAAACACAGCCTAAGCAAGAAGACAACTGTGCCGCCTGCCGCAAGTTTCATGTGAAATACCCCCAGAGGGCAGCCGCCTCCGCTGGGGGTCCTCCCTCCGAGGTGTGTGCGGTGGGGATGGGAACCCGCAGAGGCAGCACCCAGCTACTTGCCACTTAGGTTCTTCTAACTGCCCTCGAGAGATTGTCACTGGGTCCTGGATCCCTGGGTTTGGATTAGCAGTCGGACCAGGGTGGGCTTGCAGGCTGCACTTTTTTTTTTTTTTTTGAGACTGAGTTTCATTCTTGTCACCCAGGCTGGAGGGCAATAGCACGATCTTGGCTCACTGCAACCTCCGCCTCCCAGGTTCAAGGGATTCTCTTGCCTCAGCTTCCTGAGTAGCTGGGATTACAGTTGCACGCCAACACTCCCAGCTAATTTTTTTTTCTTTTGTATTTTTAGTAGAGATGGGGTTTTACCATGTTGGCCAGGCTGGTCTCGAACGTCTGACCTCCGGCTATCCACCCGCCTTGCCCTCCCAAAGTGCCGGGATTACAGGCGTGAGCCACTGCACCTGGCCTGCTTTTGAAATAGGACGTAGGGATTGAGGGAGGGTTAGGATTTCAACGATGGCTTTAACAGAAGAAGAGAAGATGCTGAAAGTCCGGCTTATTTGAACTGTGTGTGTGTGACTTTGAATTGCGTCAAATGCCATCTTGGTGAACAGTTGGAGGGGCCCTCAGGATGCCCTGTGACGCGCAGGTGTGACTTTGAATCGCGTCAAAGACCGTCTTGGTGAATAGTCAGGGGCCCTCAGGATGCCCTGTGACGCGCAGGCAGGAAATTATGATGGTGTGTTTCAGGTATGCAAACTGCACCAGAGGCAACACAAAAGCAAGTCAATATAAAAAGACTCAATGCCTTGCATGCCTTTGTTATATTCTCACGTAATCTTCAATCTTCTGTTCATGACTTTGTTTTGAAACACTTTTAAAATGTAAGATTAATTAACTTGTAGGCTGTGGGAATAATCCCATTTGCCGAATCAAAATAATGTATCCTTGATTCCAACTGTCAGAAGACAAAATTACAAAACATTTAGTTATAGATCTGATTGGATTTTAATTACAATTCCTTAACGGGGCAGCGTCCGTTCTACATAATGAGAGCTCCCACTGGGCAATGGCAGAACAGTCAGTTTTGTAAGGTGGAAGCAAGGAAACAGAATAAGAAGCTGATGGTGAACTTCAGGTTACTTCAGGTTACTTCAGGTTACTTCTTTGTAGAGGGTAAAGCAGAGGGGACTTTGTCACTTGCTGACTCAGGTCAACAGAATCTCCTATTTTTGAGAAAAACCGGTCTGTTTTGGGACCTGTCACTTCTTTAAAGTTCCATTTTGGTGACGTGGCATTGAGCAGGAGCAACTCCATTCCTGTTTGGTCTGGTCTGTTGGGGCCTAGTGCTGGAGCTCAGTCCAAAACAACAGTCTCCCATAATTTAAAAAAAAGTATTTCCATTTCATTTCTGGAAATTCAGCCTAAGAAAGTCATATCCCAAGTGCCCACAATCATATCAGAATGTTCTTTGCAGCAGTATCTGTTGTAGCAATGAAAACATCTCAAGTCTGTGGATAAGGGATTGATCAAATACATTAATGACCATTCTGTTAATGGAAAGACCAAAGTCTGTAAACTATTTTAAAGAGGTTTATTCTGAGCCTGTCTAAGTGACTGTGGGCTGGGGAAACAGAGTCTGAGAAGGTGCACCTGAGGCAGTCAGATCACAGTTTGGGTTTGTATATTTTAGGGAGACAGGACTCACAGGCAAAGCCACAAATCGGTACATGGAAGGTATACATTGGTTTAGCCCAGAAAGGTGGGATTTCTTGAAACGGGTGTCACAGGCCATAGGTGGAGTCGGAGATTCTTCAGTGTGCGATTGGTTAAAGCAGTAAAGCTTTGTTGAAAGCCTGGAGCCAGTGGAAGGGAGTGTTTAGATGAGGAAACCCACGCCCGACGCGCAGGGTCAGGGTTACCTGTGGGGTGCGTTCACCTTCGTCTGCTGTGGCCGCGGGTCCCGTGAGCCTGGGTTGAGGCAAAGAGGTTGTGGAGACCGGGGCTTTATCACGCAGATGAAGCCTCTGGGTAGAGTCTGTTTGTTTTTTTTTTAATTTTTTTGAGACGGAGTCTCGCTCTGTCGCCAGGCTGGAGTACAGTGGCATGATCTCAGCTCACTGCAACCTCTGCCTCCTAGGTTCAAGCGATTCTCCTGCCTCAGCCTCCTGAGTAGCTGGGACTACAGGTGTGCACCACCACGCCCGGCTAATTTTTGTATTTTTTGTAGAGATGGGGTTTCACCGTGTTGGCCAGGCTGGTCTCGATCTCTTAACCTTGTGATCCACCTGCCTTGGCCTCTCAAAGTGCTGAGATTAGTCTTCCGTGATGTCTACTTTGACATCAGTACCTAAAATCCAAATGGGAGGGGCCAGGCGTGTTCAACCTCCCTTATGTCGTGGCCGAGAATTCAGTTTTGAAGTTGCCTCTGGGGTTCCTTTGGCCAAGAGGGGTCCATTCTGTTAGTGGGGGCCGAGCTGGAATTTGGCTCTTGAAGTCAGAAGGTGAACCACAGGCCACAGTCCGCAGCCTCCAGGAGCTACTGCCGCCAGCTGAGGGCCACAGTTGCTGATCGGGAAAGGGTGTATGTAAGGCCAGTCCTCTGTCCGGTCAGAAGTGGAAGGGTCTGGGTTGTAAATCAGAGTTAGGGTCCGATTGCTCCTCTCATTAGGGAGTTGGAGTGTGTTTTTTTCTTGTAGCCTTAGGAATTTAGGAAGTTGCTGGAACCCTCTGCCCCGCAGGTAACTTTTGTTTCCTTAGCGTTAGGGTCCATCTTAGTCAAGAAAACTGTTTGTTTTGGTCTCTTAGATCACAAATGTTACGGGAAAGAAGCAGGAAGGAAGGCTGAAAAGAGAAAACGTACCTTTGCTCACTAAGCACTAAGAACAAAGAGGCTTTGTTCTCTTGCGTGTGCATTTGGATATGTCGAGGGAAGCCGGGTACTCCAGGCAGGGCCCAGAGGTGGTGTCACCCTGGCAGCACACTGCAGCGGTCACTGCTGAAGACACAGAAACAGCTTCCCGTGTTCTTGGACTTGACATCAAAGATGGAACGGGGATGTGGCCTGGGAACGAGGAACGTGGAAGCCAGGAGTGAGGAAGTGGGAGGGTCCCACAAGACAGCAGAAGGGCCTGGGGTTAGTCCCGGGGTCAGTTGTGGGACGCTGGTGCTCCCTCTCCTCCACGGCTGGGCTTCCCGGGGTCATGAACCTGTCTCCTGCCCGCCTCTTCTGGCCCCCAGCGAATGACATTGCATATAACTGCTTTTTTAGAGTGTTAAGAAAAAGGCTGTTTCCCAAATTCAGATTAGTATGAGCAAAAAGAAGGAGACCACATAGGAGCCAGGATGTGAGGGCGACCAGGAGGTTCACCAGGCCGTCAGCACCGCAGCCGCTGGAGGCGCCAAGTGCAGGCCGTGGCAGACAAGGGGAGGCCGGCACACTGCCCACCATGGGAGCTGCTGGGTCATTTTAACTTAAATATCCTGGGGCCACATAACCCTGCAATCTGAAGGACGCTACAGTTTGCAAAAACCAAACTCTGTATCAGTGAAGGGTCCAACTCACAATATTTGAGGAGATTTATTCTGAGCCAAATATGAGTGACCATGGCCTGTCACACAGTCCTCAGGAGGTCCTAAGAACAGGTGCCAAAGTGGTCGGGGCACAGCTTGGTTTTATACATTTTAGGGAGACATGAGACATCAATCATTGTACAATGGTTTTGCCCAGAAATGCAGGACAGCTGTAAGTGGGCCGGCGGGGGGTAGGGGGACCGGGGAGGAGGGTGGGCCCGGGGAGAGGGGGGCGGCCAGGGGAGAGGGTTTCCAGGTTATAGGTAGATTTAAATTTTTTCTAATGGACAGTTGGTTGAAAGACTTATCAGTAGAAAGGAATGTCTGGGTTGGGGTAAAGAGGTTGTGGAGACAGGGCTTTATCAGGGTAGCGAGTTTCAGGGAGAATGAATAGATTGTAAATGTTTCTCAGTGGACTTCAGGTCTGTGCCAGCGTTTGTGCTGGTCAGCCTTTCCTGAATTCCAAAAGGAAGGAGGGGGTGAGGAGGCATCCGAGTCCCATCAGGGCCGGAAGCAGGTTTTCAGGATAACTTTGGAGTGCCCTTGGCGGAGAGGAGGGCTCCATTCAGATGGGTGAGGGCCCTTCAAATTTACTTTTGGTTTACATACGTAAAATACTTTAGAAAGATTTATTCTGAGACAATATGAGTGGCCGTGGCTTGGAAAAACACAAACCTGAGAACCATCGAGGAAGTGGTCCAAGGTGGTGGGGCTGGTTGGATGTTACACATTTCAGGGAGGCAGGAGTCATAGGAAAGACGTAAATCAATGAGTGGAAGGTCGACGTGGCTCAGCCGGAAAGGCAGGATGACTTGAAGTAAAGTAGGCGGATTCAGAAATGCTTTACTTTTTTCTTTTTAAGTATTTTTTTTCAGAGATTCTTTAATTTGCAGTTGATTAAAGGAGTAAGGTTCTATCTAAAACTTGGAGTCAACAGAAAGGAATGTTTAAGATAAGGAGGCCCTGTCAGAGTCAGCCACAGGGTCAAAGAGCCCTGTTTAGCAGGTCTGACGCCCGCAGGCGGGACTTAACCCTCATCTGTAATGGCACTGGGCCCTGTTTATAATTTGGCATCTTAGTGCCACAGAGTCTGGTTTTTTTTCTTCGATCCTGTGAGCGTGGGTTGAGGTAAAGAGGTTGTGGAGACCAGGGCTTTATCACGCAGATGATGTCTTATTGGTGTCTTATTGCCACAGAGTTCCCCACCTCCCCCCGCCCTCTTGTCATTCAGGCTGTTGTGCAGTGGCGCGATCTCGGCTCACTGCACCCTCCGCCTGCCGGGTTCAGGCTATTCTCCTGCTTCAGCCTCTTGAGTAGCTGGGATTACAGGCACACACCACCACACCTGACTAACTTTTGTACTTTTAGTAGAGACGGGGTTTCACAATGTCGGCCAGGCTGGTCTCAAACTCCTAACCTCAGGTGATCCGCCTGCCTTGTCCTCCCCAAGTGCTGGGATTACAGGCGTGAGCCACCGTGCCTGGCCAGAGTGTATTCTGTTTGTTTTATGATCTCTGTATTGATGTTAATGCTGGTCAGTTGTGTCTAAACCCCAAAAGGGAGGGGGTAGAAGGAGGTATGTGTAACCTCTGTCATGGCTGGGAGCTCAGTTTTTAAGATTTTTCTGGGGTTCCCTTGACCAAGAAGGGATCCATTCAGTCGGAAGGGGCTTAGGATTTTATTTTTAGTTTGCAAGTTGAATGTCTAGGCAGCTGACTGAAGGTTATTTGATGAAGCCAAATGCCTGGATGCTCCCAAAGTGTGCATATCTGGTCCTCTGTCTCGCCCGAAACCCGGAGGCCCTCAGGGCCTGTGGATTCCCGGGAACGCTCGTGTCACACGGGCTCGGGTGGCATGTGCGGGGACATACCACTTAATGTACATACAAGCCTGTCGTGTGGCGCAGTTGATCTCAACTTTTAAATAAAGAAGATGAGCATCGCCCCCTCCATCATCCCTGCCCACACCTCTCACCAGCGCCCACTGCCTGGGTGTGGACCAGCCCCTATCGTCCCCATCGCCCCCTTCGCCCCCTTCTCCCCCATCGCCCCCTTCACCCCCTTTGCCCCTATTGCCCCCTTCTCCCCCATCGCCCTCTTCGCCCCCATCGGCACCATCGCCCCATTCCGACACTGCATGCCCTGAGTTCAAGTGGACCCCACAGGTTATGGGCTCTGTCCCCCAAGACGGCCTGCTTCAGACACAGCTACAAGTCTCAGGGACCACCTACACTTCTGAGCACCTGCCATAAACGTCAGGGAGGGCCCTGTGACTCAGGGTTGACGATTTACTGGAAGGACTCGCGGAACTCAGGAGGTCACTGTGCTGAAGACAAGGGGCTTATGATGGTGGGAGCAATGTGATGGGTCCACTGGGAGCCCCCTGTCCCCGTGGAGCTGTCACGTGGCCCTCCTCCAGAACCGTGTATGTGCGGCAGCCAGGATTCGTGCATCCAGAGTTTCATCAGAGTCTCATCACTGCTTGGGGGTCTCATCACACTATTGGCCAAGAGATTGAGTTCAGTCTCCAGTGTCTCCCTTCTCCCCACAGGTCAGAGGTCAGGCTGGGGATGGAAGCTGCAGCCCTGTCCTGGGGTGAGGCCGGCCCCCCCCCAGGAAGCTGTTTGGGGCCCATCTTGAGTCTCCTCATTAGCATAAACTCAGGTGTGGTCCACAGGGGCTCTTGGTGAGCAACAGAAACACTCCTGCCATGTGGGAAATTCCAAGGGTCCTGAAGCATGCTGGGCACCGGAACAGAGGCCAGGTGTGTTCCTCATTCCACCACGGAGCCAGGGTCTGACCCAAGTGTTTCTGTTTCCAAAGGTGATCTGCCTTCCTCTGCTCCAGCCACCCCTGCGGCCATGCCTGTGGTCCCCTGTGTGGGCTGGGCTGTGGCCTTGGACCTGGTCCCCACGTCATTTTCTTCTCCCTTGGGGTGGATTGTCTGTGGGCCCGGTGTGGGACCAACAGCTGATGGCCGACGCCTCTTGCCGTAGGTTGCCGGCCATGCATACCTGGGGGAAGACTTGAACTCCATCCCTCTGTCAACCCTGTTCTGAGTCACAAGAGACACTGCAAACCCCCCTTGTGGGAGCTGACTCAGGCTCGGGCTGGGCTCAAGGCAGTGGGGTGGGGACAGACAGGTAAACCTGTGATCATGATACGATGTGGACCTCCCATGGCCAAGGTGAATCCCAAATGCTTTGGGAGCAGAGTGACCAAAAGAAGACCCCTGGGGAGCAGACGAGGTATGGGCAGAGGCATCACCCCCTCCACTCTCTCTGCTCTCAGCCCTCACCAGCCCACTGCCCGGGCATGCACCAGCCTCCTTCGCCCCCATCGCCTGGCCCCTGCCACCTGGGTTTCTCAGCCGCTGCCTTCACTCACCCCTCCCCACACCAGTCTGGAGTGATAGGCTGCGTCTGCACGCGGCTGGCTCTGCCTAGGTGCCCAGGAGTGACTGGCACAAGTGTGTGCTCTATGTGCTTAATGCCTCTAACGACCAAGTGTGGGAAGCTTTTCTCGTGTGTAGTAATGAAATAGCTCAGATGTAAGCAGAACAGATGCACCAGCCCTCCCATGCCCCAGCCAGTGAGTGTGTGGCTACAGCTGTGGCTGCAAAGTCCCCATCCCTGGAGTTCCTTGGACAGGAGAAGCTTCTATTTGTGGAGGATGACTAAGGACAACGTCCCTGAGGGTGGCCTGTTGGTTACAGGAAGCTGAGGTTTGGAACAGATCCCTGCGTGCAGGTGAGAACGATAGAAATGGGTGAAGGAGGCTGAGAGAGACTCAGGAGCCCCTCCCCGGCAGCTGAGGTGACGAGGGTGCCCCTGAAGGACGCCCTCAGAGCAAGGTGCTGGGGAGGGGGCGGGAAGCGGTGGCCCTGGGGCCTGCTCACCGCACCTCTGTGCCAAGCAAGCTTTGTGCTTTTAGTTTTCACCGACTCTGCTTCTGTAAACGCAGCTGGTGTCTAGGGAGTCACAATCGGTCCTTGAAAAGAGGAGGCTTCTCTGAAGGGAATAGTGTGTGTCACCAGGAGGTGTATGCCGGGGATGGGGCACGGCGTGCGTGCAGGGAGAGGGGCCAGGGGGCACAGTGTGCATGCAAAGAGAAGGCCCAGGGGGCACTGCATGCGTGCAGGGAGAGGAGCCAGGGAGGAAGCACGTGCGTGCAGGGAGAGGGGCCAGAGGGCACAGTCTGTGTGCAGGGAGAGGGGCTGGGGGCACAGCGTGCATGCAAAGAGAAGGCCTGGGGGGCACTGCATGCGTGCAGGGAGAGGGGCTGTGGGGAAACACAGTCTGCATGCAGGGAGAGGGGCCATGGGGCACCATCTGTGTGCAGGGAGAATGGCCGGGGGCAGTTGATAGGTGCTGGGGGACAGGCCTAAAGGCAGTTGTACTTCCGAGAGCTTTTCCCGGCAGATTCCCAGATCTGCAGGTGAATGAGGTGAAGGAGCCCAAAGGGGCCGTCTGGATGGCAGCTCCTGACCTTCTCCATCTGTGCTGCTGCCATGTCCTCTCTAATGCTCCAGCCGGGGGTGCTGCAGATGCTGGGGGACAGAAAACAGAGCCAATCAAATGCCTGGCTTTGCAAACTGGAAAAAAAAGTCCATTGCTTTTGCAATTTGAAGGGCTCACAGGAGCAGAAAATTAGTGGTGAAGAGTGTTATAAAATTATTGGATACAGTGCCTTAACCTGTAAACTTGAAGCTGAAAGTGTGCCATGAGAAAGGTACAAGCAGAATAAAAAATGCACCACCTAATGCTACTGTAGGTCCTCTGAATAAATAATTGTAAAGACATCTTCCTTGGGACATGGATAATAGGGAAAAATCTCACAGAAAACTGGGGACATTGCAAATTTTTTTTCTCATATACAGCTTTACAATTCTTGCATAGCTTATGCGAATTTCTTACTATAACTTGGGGTTGTAGGTAATAGTAAATCTGAACGCTGCTGCTGCTGCTTCTTTTTTTTTCTTGAGACAGATTGTTGCTCTGTCGCCCAGGCTGGAGTGCAGCAGCACAATCTGGGCTCACTGCAATCTCCGCCTCCCAGGGTCAAGCGATTCTTCTGCCTCAGTCTCCCAAGTAGCTGGGATTACAGGCATGTGCCACCATGCCTGGCTAATTTTGTATTTTTAGTAGAGATGGGGTTTCACCATGTTGGCCAGGCTGGTCTCAAACTCCTGACCTCAGGTGATCTGCCCGCCTTGGCCTCCCAAAGTGCTGGGATTAGAGGCGTGAGCCACTGTGCCCTACTGAACGCTGTTTCTAGTGATAACTTGCTGCTCTATTTTTAGCAAGTTTACTATATTTATTTACTTTATTCAACCAGCAATTACTGAGAATCTGCTATAGGCAGGTTCTGGGAACACAGGAAACAAAGCAAACAACAGAAATAAGAATTGGTCTTTTCCTGGTAGGAATTTAAAATCTAATGGGAGCAGCAGCAGTCTCTTTCCAAAAAAAAAAAAGATAAATGCCACAGGTGACTCTAGAGAACACTGCTTTTGTTCTTTGCACGTGAAGGAACCAGGCTGCCTGAGGTGTAGAGGCTCCACACACCATGCAGGGCCCGCACAGGCCCCATTTGGCAGGCAGAGGTAGTCCCTGCCCGTTTTCTTGAGGGCTGGTGGCTGCCTGGGAAATTCACCTGACACCAGATTGAAATGCAGATCGGCTTTCATCTGTTTCTGGAGCTAAACTCTGGCTTCGTGCAGCCTGCCACGCAGCTCGGGGACTCCGGCGCTGGGCGAGGAACTCGGCTCCAGGTGCATCTTGTTAAAGGCTGAGCCCCATTTCTCACATGCGTTGCGGAATCGAATTCTCCGTGTAACTCAGAACTCAGAGTGAATGAGAGATCGATACATGTAGGGTTCCAGCAAGGGCCGTGTCTGGTGAGCAGGGGAAAAACACCCCTTTTTCATAGACCAGGGACTGGCAACCTTTTTCTGAAAAGGGCAGATAGTGAATGTTGTAGGCTTATGGGGCCTTGAGGTCTGTGCACCTGCTCACATCTGCCATTGTAGCA
The DNA here is from genome assembly GCF_000001405.40 of Homo sapiens. NCBI lineage: Eukaryota > Metazoa > Chordata > Mammalia > Primates > Hominidae > Homo > Homo sapiens. The sequence continues at coordinate 112,728,118 of NC_000013.11, forward strand.
GGAAAAAGGCCACAGAGAAAATGGAATGAGTGAGTGTGGCTGGTGCCAGTTAGCTTAATTTACAAAGCCAGTCACTGACCTTTACCCAGATAACTGGACTGGTGGACCCAACATGGAGGGGCCATGAGACCATGCGGCCCACCTCCCTGTGTTACCTGTATGTACCACGTTGTCAGTATCCACGCGTGGATGGGCCATGAGACTGCGGCCCGCCTCCCTGTGTTACCTGTATGTACCACGTTGTCAGTGTCCACGTGTGGAGGGGCCATGAGACTGTGCGGCCCGGCTCCCTGTGTTACCTGTATGTACCACGTTGTCAGTATCCACACGTGGAGGGGCCGTGAGACCGTGCAGCCCGCTTCCCTGTGTTACCTGTATGTACCGCGTTATCAGTATCCACGCGTGGAGGGGGCCGTGAGACTGTGTGGCCCGCCTCCCTGTGTTACCTGTATGTACCGCGTTGTCACTATCCACTCGTGGGGGGGCCGTGAGACCGTGCGGCCCGCCTCCCTGTGTTACCTGTATGTACCGCTTTGTCAGTATCCACGCGTGGAGGGGCCGTGAGACTGCGGCCCGCCTCCCTGTGTTACCTGCATGTACCGCCTTATTAGTATTCATGGACCTTTAACTACAAATATTCTGTGATCGCTTACCTCTGCTGTTCCTCTTCTCCTTGTCTATCTTGATATAGTTATGGACTGATTGGATTTATGGAATGGATATACAAACAGTTCAAAATTCAAAGCTAAGAGAAGAATACACAGTGGCTGCTGACCTCTGCTAGCGGCTTCCCTCCTGGGGGTGGCCCACTGCAAACTCCACCGTGGCCCTGGTGCATGTGACAAGCAAATGCAGTGATCAGAGGCTTGACTAAAGCAGGTTTTCACGTTGGCGACATTTAGGATGGTTAGTTTTTTAACACATTTAAAGCAAAGGCTTTGTTCTCTGTTGAGAGTCCAGGAAAGGATCCTGACGTCTTAAGAATCTGAGTGACAAAATCGGTGAACCTGAGTGAAAATTTAGAATTGGAAGACATTTCTGTTAGCGTATCATCCCGGGTGCTCCTGGACGCAGGACTCTCCACACGTCTGGTTGGCGGTCAGCTCATTTATGATTGAGCCTGACCTTATGACAGGCCACCTCGTTAACGATTGGATGTTGTTTTTATCACTCTTTACTACGTTTGCTTTCCCACCCCTGCTGTTTCCATGGGTTTATCCGACTCTGCCCACTGAGGCAGCACAGTCCCCTCGCCTTAGCATTGCGGGCCCAGAGTATCTAACGCGTCCGAGTGCGAACAGTGTCAGAAGGCACTGAGGCAGCGCGGTTCCCACCTCGGCATTGCAGGCCCAGAGTATCTAACGCGTCTGCGTGTGAACAGTGTCGGAAGGCACTGAGGCAGCGCAGTCCCCACCTTGGCATTGCAGGCCCGGAGTGTCTTACTCATCCGAGTGTGAACAATGTTGGAAGGCACTGAGGCAGCACAGTCCCCCCACCTCGGCATTGCGGACCTGGAGCATGTAACACGTCTGAGTGTGAACAGCGTCAGAAGGCACTGCCGCAGCGCTCCTGCTATTTTTAGCGTCCTGCTATCTTTAGCTGATAGAGTCAGGCCACGGTGAGGCCAGCAGGCCGCTGAATCTCACGGAGGCTTCAGAAGTTGTGATGCTGGCCCCTCAGCTTGCGGGAACTCTTCGAGGAAAAAAACGCGCAAACTGTTAATGTTGTCAGTGATTAATCTGATTGAAGCAAACGGGGAATGGTTGTTACTTTTAAATGGCTCCTGACAATGGTTTGGCCAGGGCTTAGATGTAACAGTAGTACTTACTTCTTCAATAGCCAAAGCTTGAACTTAGGAAAATGGGCAGCATAATTTTTAGTTACAGATTTGGGAGCTGGAAGGGTGCAGAGTCTCATCTCTGTGTCCATGCTAAGTGCAGCTTCTCATGATGGTGGAGGACGAGTTTCTTCATGGGAAATAAAAGAGCCCGTGGGAACCCTTCGCAGCGGCCCACATAGACCACGGACCACATGGGAGCCGTGGGGCTGGTGACCTGGAAGGGGGCATCCTGCAGTCACATGGCAAGGGCGACCTCGGAGGAGTCCAATCTGCCAGGACATGGGCAGCCGCAGAGCTTCTGTACCGGAGGCGATGCTGTTATCTTTATTTGTGTGGATCTGTGATTCATGTGGATCTGTGAAGCCTCATGGAGGCCGGAGGACGGGCATTGATGAGGGAAGGTGAGGCTGGCAAATTCCTGGCATGGAACAGTTTGTTCTCAAAGAGCCAGCTGAGCCCACAGCAGTTTTGTAATCTGGAACCTCGTGGCTGGCGTGTGATGTGATGAACTCCCCTGCTGATGCGTGAATAACTCCTGACACATCCCTGTTCTCTAGTAACACGGTGCTAGGCATGGGACACACAGCCGCTTCCCAGGAAACTCCACAGCGTGAGCACCGGGTGCCTGCGCAGGTGCGGGAGGATGGGGCTCCCGTGCGGAGTCTGCGCAGGGCCTCCTGGTGAAATTGCGCCCTTCTGGACACACTGCTGGGTCCATCACATGAGCCTACCATGGCAGATCATATATTTGTAAATGAACCTTAAAAGGTGAGGTTTTTAGGCTTTCAGATATTTGGGGGGAAAGGGTAGAAAACTGCCCCCAGGAGGCCTGAATGAATCAAGTCGTGCTGCAGAGCAGGGAGGATTTTCGGAATTAGATGCCGCTGTGACGGCAGCAGGTCGGTGGCAGGGTGGGAGGAAGTGTGTCTTCGGGCAGCACTTTCTCATGGGACAGGTGTTCTTTCCGTAGACAGTCTATTTATTTATTTATTTTTTGAGACGGAGTCTTGCTAAGTTACCCAGGCTGGAGTGCTGTGGCGCGATCTCTGCTCATTTGAACCTCTGCCTCCTGGGCTCAAGTGATTCTCCTGCCTCAGCCTCCTGAGTAGCTGGGATTACAGGTGCCCACACCACGCCCAGATAATTTTTGTATTTGTAGTAGAGACAGGGTTTCACCATGTTGGCCAGGCTGGTCTGGAACTCCTGACCTCCAGTGATCCACCCTCCTCAGCCTCCAAAATGCTCCAGTGATCCGCCTGCCTTAGCCTCCCAAAGTGCTGGGATTACAGGCATGAGCTACTGTGTCCGGCCTCCTATACAGTCTTTCTTAGATAAAACAGGAAGGGTTAGCTTTATTACTAAAGAAAACAGATTAGCTTTATTACTAAAGAAAACAGAAATGCCATCTAAGCAGAAATAGAAACTAAGTATCAGAACTCCCTTGATGACTGCGCCACACACTTCATTCCCACTCCATTCCCAGCCAGGAGTCCACAGCCCAAGTCTCATTCCAGCCAGCTGAGGTTCTGTAGTTGATAATCAATTGCACGGCACTCACTAGTTTTCTGTTTTATTTATGAGTAAAGTTTTAAGTGTGACGATGTAAGTGAAAATTCAAGAGTGGGAACTGGATGTGAATCAACTCATTGCCTATCGATGGCCCAGCAGGTACTGCTGTCCCCAAGGAAGGTGCGGGAGGAGACAGTAGGTGTCACTTATGTTCATGGCTGTCCCACGAGGCCTGTCACGTCCTATCCTATGAGATCCATCACATCTTATCCTGTGAGACTTACAACAACCTATGCTACGAACATATCACATCCTATCCTTCAAAAAATATCCCATCTTGCCCTACAAGCCTCTAGGAGCAGGTGCAGAAGTGCACGTGAGGAAGGGAGCAGTGGCCTGAGGGGTGCATGGGACAGTGGCAGTCCCAGCAGTGTGTGGGGTAAACCTACTAGATGGTGGAGAAATGGGGGCGGGGGGGGGCAGGTGGCCCATGTTCCGGTGTGGGAAGGCATAGCGTGCGGGCACTGGCCTCCCCAGGTGAGACAGTGGCCCGCAGCGGCATCCTGTGCATACCTGCACCTACGGTGTTGTGCAGTGAGTAAAAGGCTCCGGCATGAGTTCGGTCCTGTCGGGAAGTTGGTTGGGAGTTTTAGGGACGTGGCAATAACTGCGTCCCAAGCAGCTCCTCCATTCAGGGCCCGTGACGGTCTGGAGTCGGAGGAGCCACAGACCACCTTCTGGTTCCTCCATTGCACTCAGGTGGGCAACTTTAAACGTTTCTAAGTTAAAACAAAGTCTAACTTACTGTAGAATAGAATGAAAACTTGGCATAAAAATGTAAGAATATATACAAAAACTAAAAGAAATAATGTGTTGTAGTGGGTGATTAGAGGTCCTGGGCCAGTGAGTCTCTCTCTCCCCATCCTCTTCTTTCCTACTCCCTGCTTCCCTCTCTCTCCAGCTGTGTCTCTCTCCATCTCTCTCTCTCCAGCTCTGTCTCTCTCCAGCTCCATCTCTCTCCAGCTCCATCTCTCTCCAGCTGCATCTCTCTGCATTTTCTCTTCTGGCCTTTGTGGTTAAACTTGAGAATAAAAATAAAAGCACTTACAAATTTATTTTATGACCATATCTGCCTCTAGTTTGTTTGTTTGTTTATTTATTTTGAGACAGAGTCTCGCTTTGTTGCCCAGGCCGGAGTGGAGTGGTGCGATCTCGGCTCACTGCAACCTCCCCCTCCCAGGTTCAAGCGATTCTTACGCCTCATCCTCCCGAGTATCTGGGACTGCAGGCGCACGCCACCATGCCTGGCTAGTTTTTATATTTTTTTGTCGAGATGGGGTTTCGCCATGTTGGCCAGGCTGGTCTTGAACTCCCGACCTCAGGTGATTCACCTGCCTCGGCCTCCCAAGGTGCTGTGATTACAGGTGTGAGTCACTGCACCTGGCCTCTGCCTCTAGTTTAATTAGTGCTTATGTTTTATTTAGGTGGCAGGTGTTGAATTACAGTTTTGATTAAAACCCTTCTATTTTAGAGTTGGAGCAATAGACACAGGTTTACAAGTTATTTATATAAAGATTTCTGTACATGTTTTTGTTCTAAAAATACATTTCATTGTTAAATTGGGCATTAGAAGCACAATGATACATTTCTTAAAGAACTAATTATACAGGCAAACACTATTAATATTTAACAAGGCATCTGTTTTTCTCCTTGTCCATGCGCTTCCCCACAAAAGCAGAGAGGGGAAGCTGAATATGGCTTGGGGGCACACGGCGCGGGGCACAGCATCTCCACTTTACTTAAAGATGAGCAGTGGGTGGAGGATTCAGGCGCACTGAGCATGCAGGGCACTCACAGGATCCTGCTGTGCAGATGCAGGATCCGCAGTGGGGACAGGATGGATAGGACTGTAGAGCTTGTTTGATGCAGAGATTCTAGGCAGGAATGTGAAAGCCTCAGGTGTTAAGTTTCACTGTTTTTACTAACACTGGATATTAACAATTTAAAACACCTTTGACATATTTTCATTTGTATTTCATGTCTTGATGGTTAAGAGTTGAGCTGTTGAGCCTAGTTCTATTGTTGACTGGCTTTCTGCTGAAAAGCTAACAGGTTAAATGGTTTGTTAAATCCAGAACCTTCGAGGTAGGCCCACATTATCACATTAAACTCACAAGTGTGGATCACAAGTGAAGGAGTATTGCACAGAATGTTTTTTCCTTTCCTTATAAAATGCATTAGTCTATGCAAATACAACTTTAGGGGAAAAATAATATATTTAAAATATATTAAGTTTATCCTATATTTATATATTTTGGTTTCTGTTTTGTCTAAGAGCTCCAGAAATTCCTTGCTGACATTGTCCAAGTCAGTGGACAGCCAAATCTCATTTTTCTGACTCAATTCTGTGATTCTTATCTTCAGAGCTGCTTGGATTATTTAGCAGTGGTTCTCTCTTTCCTTTTCTTTCCAATCTTAAATTAGCAGTTCTATGTTTCACTGATCGGTCATTTGTCAAACAAATACTCATTGAGTTTCTATTAATACCATTACACCAGGCTTTTGTGTTACTTAGTTATCGAGAAAATGATTTCATCCGGGTTAATGAGCTAAAATGGCACAGTAGACAGTGAGCCACCAGGAGAGTGAGTGCTCCTGGGCTTCACTAACTGTGCTGCTTCCAGCTGATAATGAGGTTTTGTTTGAGAAACTAAGCCCTCTGGACGTGGCCTCCCAGCAGGATGGACATGCGAGCTCAGCTGTTCCCCTGCTTGGCTTTTAATTGGTGCTGGGATGAGGCAGGTGCAGGGGGCGGGGGTGAGGGGCAGGGAAAGAACCTTGAAATACTTGAGAAAAGGGCCTTTCCTGCAACTTGGTTAAGAAACCGTTGCAAGCACAATAATATTGGGCTGAAAGAGGTTGGTCTTCATGGAATTTTAGTAACCCAAAGTTTAAGACAGGAGTGAAATTTCTTGTCTTTATTTCTAATTTGCAAACTGGAAAAGTGAGTCTGGGCAGAAATTGGGTTTCTAGTGCCTGTCAGTGACCTCAGCCATCAACCGCCGAGGAACTGCAGGCTGCCCGGAGAGTCAAACCCTGACTGTATCGGACTCAAAAAATAAATATCAGTGACAAATGCAGACTTCGAAAATGTGACCCAATGCTTTCACACTCCTGTACTTTTCATAAATTAGTGGTTTTCAAAGTGGATAGCAATATGAATATTTCTCTTTTTCAGTGATACTGTTTTTCTCGACACCACAAAACTATCCTATACCCTGTACTTGGCTCACCTGCCCTCATAGCCGCACTTGGGGGGGATCACTATGGTGCCTGGTGGGGTGGCAGGTGCCTCCTCCTGAGGCAGCAACCCCAAAAGGTAAGCATGGTTCTGCCCACGCCCCCATTTCCAGCAGGCCTTGTCAGCGGTAGGACCATGAATACCGACTGGTGAGGGGGAGTGCCAGGAGACAGAGAAGACGGCTGCCCACTGGGGCTTCTAGTCTCCCTTCCAGGAAGGATTTGAAGTAGCTGACACAATTAAACACAACATAAAAGAGGACTTTTTTTAAAAAAAGAAAAAAGCTGAGAAAAATGTTAGCAGACGTCTGGGATGGATTTAGCTGTGCATTTTCTGGCAGTGAAGGTAAAAAAGGAAATCTCCATCTGGGTCTAATAAAAGGCACTCCATAGATACACTGGGGAAAATAAACTTTTTCATTCAAGGGAGAATTAATTATAGAAGGACACTGGGAAATCTAAATACCATAAACGGGTTTTGCTAACGTTTCAAGAATGTTGAGATTGAGTTTTTTTCCGTTAAATAAAAAGTTGATTTCTTTGAGTGCCCCGAAAGCCGGGCATTGCATGGCAGCCCAGCGATATAGCCTTCCGCGTGGCTGATGGAGGCTGTTTCCAATTGCCTGAGCTCACACAAGGGCAGGAATTACAGAACCCACAGCCGTGATTTCTACGGGTTTGTCAACAGAACTCCTTCTCAAAGCATTTTATTTGTATAAATTTATAAATTCCAAGTCTTAACATTACTTAGTATGAATTCAGTGAAAAAGTAAGACTTTAGTGAACACAAAATCTGAAGCGAGAGGTTGTGATGCTTGCTGGAGTCAATCTGTTCATTTCCAGGTTCTGTTTTGGTTGCATTGTGTAGAGGAAACCTTCACTCGCGCAGATAAGAAGTGCTAAGTGGTCACAGGGCTTAGAATCCTGCACCGTGCATCCTCAAATAGCTCCAGAACCTTGACAGAGGCATTACAGAGTTGAACTCACCAGCCATTGCGTGATTCACCTAACATCGCTTACATTTCTCAGTGTAAAGTTAAGCAGCGCACCAAACCTTTCAGCAGTCGCTAAGTTGGGCTCAGCACTAAGGAGCACCTGACTTTTCCGAGGTGCATCCATAAGTCCCATGGTCCGTGTGCTCCTCCATGCCTCCGTGTGCGCATGCTCTGCTGCCGGGCCACCTCCCGCACCTCCGTCTGCACATGCCCAGAGCCTATGCAGAGCCTCCGTATGCGCATGCTCAGAGCAGGTGCAGGGCCTCCTCCCGTGCCTTTGTGTTCGCGTGCCCAGAGCAGGTGCAGAGTCCCTTTGACCTTGCTTAAGGAGCGCACAGGTGTGGACCATGGTGCCAGGATGCGGGTTGTGAGGGTAGCATGGACAGAGGGTGAGAACTCGAGCCCTGATCCAACCACACTGTTTGAACTTGACCCTATCACTTAGCACATGTTTTAACTTTGGCACGTTATCTATTTTTTCTTAGCTTCAGTTTGCTTGTCTCTAAAACGGGGATTATATGGCACCTTCATGGGAGTTGCATGATGATCAATAAGAAACCCATATAGAGCTGCTAAATAGTGTCTGACACATAGGAACACACACAAAAAATCAGCTAACTTTATAGGAAAAGATGTTATCACTGTGTTTTCTGGGGTGGCCTGGAGCTTTCCTCCTGCGGTAGCATCTCAGCAACGAAGCGTTATCTTACATGTGCTTCACGTTCTACAATATAAGGGGGCCTGAGCCACTGATGCTGTTCAGCCAGGAGCACCAGGCAGGTGAAAGAGAAGAGAGCTGCTGATGAGAAGTCCTGATCTTTCTCCTCCCAGTTAAATTAAAATGTGTGTTGTTTCCAGCATGCCAGAATTATATTTATAATACAATTGAGTGTGCAGGTTTTCTATATTGAGTACATTTTGGAAATCTGTCCCCTAGTGGCATGCATCTAATGCACTGTCCATTTTAGGCAGAGATGACAACAAACAAATATATTACTAAACTTACATTGAGACTAAAATTAAAATTAAACTAGATTTAAATTAAAAACTTTTGTGCTTCAAAGGACGCCATTATGAAATTGAAAAGAAAATCCACAGGACGGGAGAGAGGATTGGCAGAGCGCAGGTCTGGTCAGGGATTTGTATCCAGGGCAGCGTTGGAAGGCTGTGGAGCTGTGGGAACCCATATGTGCCTCTGGTGGGAGCATTCAAAACCATTTCAGAAAACTGTTTGGCAGTTTCCAGTAAATATATGCTCCTGGAAACAACCCACATGTCTATCAACAGTAGAAAAAAACAAAAATAAATCGTGAAATGTTCACATTAAATAAAATGAACAAACAACATGGGTGACTTTTGACAGCCTAAACAAGGAAAAGAAGCCAGACAGGAAGAGTATGTTATAAGATTCATTGATGTGAGGTTCAAAGCTGGGCACTCCTGGGGGATGGAGGCAGAGGTCAAAGTGGATGAGACCTTGGCAGGTGGGAGGGTCCACAGTCACAACAGGGGCATCTCAGATGCTGGTGATGCTGTGTTTCTTGGCCCTGATGACAGTGGTTACCCAGGTGAAGGCTGAGCCGCACACCCAGGGCAGGTTAGGCACTTTGTGAGCAAGTTATCCTTCGGTGAAATGTTCGTTAAAACAGATCATGACTCATGTGGCGTTAAATATTACAGGGAAACCTCCAGAAGGGATGGGCTTCCAGGGACGGTTTGGCAAGGGCCAGCTATGCTGAGCTGCCGTGGTCATAAAGACCAGAAGGAGAGGAGGGAAGGGGCTGGGCTGAGGAACAGCATGGGCAGAGGCCCCAAGACAGGACTCAGCTTGGCTGTGTCTGAGGAGCCATCAGACAGGGAGGTCACCGAGGGCCTCGTCTGCCTTCTCCTTTTATCTGAGTGGATGGAAACCTCGGAGGGTTTTGAGAAGAGGACAAAACAAGCAGGCTGTAAGGTTACATGGTCACTCTGGTTTGTATTGAGAATAACTGCAGTGGGCTCAGTGGTGAGCTCAGGTGGAAGCAGCTCCGTGTCTTGGATTGACAAACACAGGTTTGCTGCCAGTGCTACAGCGGTCAGCCTGGTCCTGTGCCTCCATAACTGGCCTCTCTGCTTTTTCGTGGTGCAGGGAAATGCTGCTTCCGGAAGCCCATTCATAGTCTCCTCTGTAGCCTGGAATTGACCCTTGAAGAGTTCACAGGTCCTCTCCCTCAGCCCTTTTACTTTTTTCTGAACCCAAGCTATGGTCAGAAGCACTCAACATTCCCATATCTGTTCAGCGCCGGCTTCCCAAAGCTCTTTGCCTCGGGTTGAAATAGCTCCAACTTGGGCTGGGCACAGTGGCTTATGCCTATAATCCTAGCACTTTGGGAGGCTGAGGCAGGCAGATCATTTGAGGTCAGAAGTTTGAGACCAGCCTGGCCAAACATGGTGAAACCCCGTCTCTACTAAAAATACAAAAATTAGCCAGGTGTGTTGGTGGGTGCCTGTAATCCCAGCTACTCGGGAGGCTGAGGCAGGAGAATTGCTTGCACCCAGGAAGCAGAGGTTGCAGTGAATTGAGATCACGCCACGGCACTCCAACCTGGACGACAAGAGTGAAACACCGTCTCAAAAAGAAAAGAAAAGAAATAGCTCCAACTTAAAGTGTTAGCGACTCAGAAAAGTATTTACCCCTCTGCTCGTAGAGTATTGAACGAACCTGAGATTATTGCCATAATTTACTGCAAATAGGAAAAGCAATGTGAGCTGGGGACATTTTGCTTGTTTCTTCTCACCAGAGCAGTGCCGCAGATAAGCCGACTGGCTTCATGCAGCGCAGAGCTCCTTTAAGCATTGTGGGACAGGTGGATCTGCCAAGCAGGAGCTTTCTGTGCTGGCCCAAGGCAATGTGGCTCAGTTCTAGCCCCTCTGACCCTATTCTGCTGCCGGTATGCCCCCACCCACCTGCCTCCCCGTCCCCCTCCTCCTCCCCCAGGTCCCAGCCGTCAGCCGTGTTGTTTTGCTCACTGTGGGATGACTGTTCCCATAGAGGCTGTTTCTCCTGCCCCGCCCCTACAGAGCCTCCCTTCTCGTGTCCCACTGTGAGTCTAGGTTGGCCCATGCAGTTCTGGGGCCTGCTGTATGTCTTCTTCCCCTAGTGAAACAGCAGATTCCTTGGGGTAGGAAGTGGCGTCTCACCTGTCTCACCTACTCCATGGAGCCTAGCAGAGGACTAAGTATACTGCAGATACTTAGGACTTACTTTATTGAGTTGACTGCAGAAAACACAGGGACAAATCATGGTGACCTTGGATTAGGCGATCTTTTCTTAGATATGGTATAAAAAGCATAAGCAACCAAAGAAAAAGATAGATAAATTGGACTAGATTAAAATTAAAGACTTTTGTTCCTCAAAGGACACCATTACGAAAGTGAAAAGAAAATCCACAGAATGGGAGAGAAGATTGGCAGAGAGTGGCTCTGGTCAGGCATTTGCATCCAGAAGACACAAAGAACTCTGTCAACTCATAACAAAATGATGCTCTAATCTAACCGTGGGCAAAAGATTTTAATTGGTGTTTTACCAAGGAGGAATACAAAGGGCCAGCCAATGAATGAAAAGATGGTCAACATTATTTGCATTTATTTACATTAGAGAAATGCAAATAAAAACTTTATGCTTCATACCCACTAAGAGGGCTGTAATAAAAAAGACAGACAATGAAGAGGTGTTAAGGAGGATGTAGAGGAGTTGGAAGTCTTGTGCATTGCTGGTTTGGAATGTAAAATGGTGAAGCTGCTCGGAAACACTTGGCAATTCCTCGAAATACAGGAATATGAAGAGTTACCAATATGCCCTGCAATTCCACGCCTAAATATGTCCTCAAAGCATTGAAAACACGCGTCCACACGGAAACTTTCACACAGATGTTCTTGTGTTCTTGGCAGCATTATTCATCATAGCCAAAGAGCGGAAGCATCTCAGATGCCCATCAGTAGACGAATGGGTAAACAATGTGATTTATCCTTACAATGGAGTAGTATTCAGCCACAAAAAGGAACGAAGTACTGATTTATGTACACCATGAATGAACTTTGAAAGCATGATGCTAAGTGAAGGAAGCTAGAAATAAAAGGCCACACGTTGTATGATTCTATTTATGTGACATGTCCAGAACTGGCAAATTTGTAGGGACAGAAAGTAGATTAATGGTTGGCAGGGGCTGGGGGAGGGGGCGTGGGAGCGACTGTAGGTCTTGTGCCTTCTTGGGATGATGAAAATGCTCTAGAATTAGATGGTGGTGACGATTGTGCAATTCTGTAAATGAACTAAAAAACCACTGAATTGTACATTGTAAAGGGTGAATTTTATAGCATGTGAATTCTCTCTCTCTCTCTCTCTCTCTATATATATATATATATATATAGATATCTATATGTATATATATTTTTTTGAGACGGAGTCTCGCTCTGTTGCCCAGGCTGGAGTGGAATGGTGCTATCTCGGCTCATTGCAACCTCATCCCAGGTTCAAGTGATTCTCCTGCCTCAGCCTCCTGAGTAGCTGGGATTACTGGCGCACCACCACACCCGGCTAATTTTGTATTTTTAGTAGAGACAGGGTTTCGCCATGTTGGCCAGGCTGGTCTTGAACTCCTGACCTCAGGTGATCCACCCACCTCAGCCTCCCAAAGTGCTGGGATTCCAGGCATGAGCTACTGTCTCGGCCCAAATCTTTCTTAAGTTGTGTCTGGCCTTTGGCAGAAATAGCCACAAAGCCAGGGTAGGAACGTTTTACTCTTCAAGTGATGATGGCATCCGATAACCTTTTAGAGGGAGGTTTTAAAATGCAACGTAGCCCAGGGCTCCAGAAAAAGACCTGCACGGAGAAGAGAGGGCTTTGTAGCTCTCAGCAGACAAGGCGTGCTGCCCAGGGAGCTCAGTTTTCACTGTAACTGGGTTGCACTGTCACCACCGGTCTCCTCCCCACAGATCCCACGGGAGGACTTCCTGTTGTGTAACATCCAGAGAAGCTTCTGGAAGCTGGGGAGCTCTGGCTGTGCAGGAAAGATCTAGCTGTTTTGTTGCAGAAGGCGCTCGCCATCAGGGTCCCGGGTCGTTGACCCACCCACTTCCGCTGCTGACGTCATGCTGCGCTCAGCGTTATTCAGGGCGGAATTTTCACTCGTCAGAAATGGATTTGGGAGCATTTTAAAATAGTGCGTTTTCAGAATTTTTGTGGTTGTCTGAGAACCAAACAAGCAAGGCACAGCACGGGTCTGAATCACTTACATGGGCCTTGTTTGCTTGTTTAGGTCAGTGTTTCTAATACTTTATATTTCTAATGTAAAGCCAAAGAAAGCCACAAAGAGATTTAAGATGTGGGTGGAAGTGCTCTGTTTGCTGTGTCTGTGTTTCCACAGAGCTTTATGTTTTTTTGGGAGGCTGGGGACTGGGGAGGTGAGGGACATGGAGCTGTAGTCGGGAGGGTTGGGCAGCCACACTGGGGGTGGAGAAGGTGGCCCGGTCCCTGCGGGGCTGTGGGGCAGGAGCTGTAGTCGGGAGGGTTGGGCAGCCACACCAGGGATGGAGAAGGTGGCCTGGTCCCTGCGGGGCTGTGGGGCAGAAGCTGTAGTCGGGAGGGTTGGGCAGCCACACTGGGGTGGAGAAGGTGGCCCGGTCCCTGCGGGGCTGTGGGGCAGATGAACTCTCTGGGGGCACCTGTCATGGTGGAGGGCAGAGAACAATGGTCCAGCACCATTACCCTGGCCTGGGCTGCTCCAGGCTGCCCGTTGCATCAGCGGTGGAGGGTGGAGGCACTAGCCAACTGGGGCAGGCCATAGCCTCACTGTGGGCTGGAGACTCCGTCCCTGTGCTGATCTGGGACAGGTGGGCTGCAGGGAGACTCAGGGGCCCGTGCTCCTTAGTCGTTTGTTCCCGCCAAGCCACCTCTCTCTCTGCCCATATTCAGTGGATGCCGGCTGTTTTTGTTTGTGGCTCTCTCTGCACTGTTTTCCATCTGCCTCTGTGCATCAGGGCCTTTAATGTTTTACCGGGTATTTTGAGCCTCACAGTGACTGTTCCGGGTCCAGGGGAGTAAAGAGTGCTCTGCTCCCTGTGGAGGTGTACTTCTCTTCCCCCAAAGATTGCTCCTCTTCCCCAGAGCGCTCCTCTTCCTCCATAGACTGCTCCCCTTCCCCACGGAAGAGCGCTCCCCTTCCCCACGGAAGAGTGGTTCCCCCACCACAGAAGAGTGGTCCCCCTCCCCACAGAAGAGTGCTCCCCTTCCCCCACAGGGGAGTGCTCCCCCTCCCCACAGTGCGCTTTTCTCACGTGTCCTAAGTATGGGTGGTGCGGGGTGAACGCATTGTCCACAGGGAGCAGCCACCCCTGGAGGCAAACAGGAACACTCATTCTTGATCTAGATGGTGCCAGGTTGAAAGGAGGTTTTTAAAATAAGTGCAGGCTCATGTAGAGATGGCTGCTGCCTGGCCTGATGTTGCATGGGAAATGCAGCATGGGAACCCTTGGGGGGTGGGGGAGACACCTCCTGTGGAAGGGGGTGCTGTCCTGTCACCTCCCATGTCGAGTTGCGCCTGAGACACTAGTGTCTGTGCTGCTCAGCATGTGGTCCCACGGAGGAGCCCCTGCGGGCGCTGGTCTCTGTGGGAGACTGGGGTGTGAGCACGCGGTGTCACAGGTCGTGTGTGGGGGGACTTATGACAGGTGCTGTCTGATTTCGTAGTCTGGATGTTCATTAGCATTAATTTCAGGCACTGGACGACCAAAAGTGAGAAAAGGGAAAACCTGAGAATTTGCTCAGCTGTGTAAAAATGATGCCACTTACGATAATTCTGCGAAGCTACCGCTTATGCCAGCTACCTGTGGAGCGCAACATCGGCTTCCTGAGGCAGTCTCAGCCTGCTCCATTTTATTTCACTTAGATGGTATCCCCCGTGTGTGACGGCCGGCCTTCGCCCTGTGCCTCCCCGCAGTGTGGCTGGATCTCAGGGGGCTCGGACACGTGCTCAGACTGAAGGTCAGAAAGAGCATTTTCCATTCTGACCCCTGACAATGGCAAGACTTTCCACAGGTAGACACCTGTTTTTCCAATCCTTACTGTGTAGCGAGACTTTCTGCAGATAGACACCTGTTTTTCCTTATTGTGTACGTGGGCAGAGGGGAGAGGCACTCACTCAAGAATTTCCTAGATGTCTGATACAGAACTCACCCTGTGAATCTAGTTAGGTTTCTAAGCATCAGTAGCACAGTGTATGACAGCACATGTGCCAGCAGACCTCACCTGTGCAGAGGGTTCTATGGAGAGGCGAAGTCGTTAGCCTGCTGTGGCTTCTCTGGGGAAGATTCAGACTGGCAGACAGTTGCTCCAGTGCCCTCATCCTTGATCTGCTTACTCCCTGTGATGAACACATGTATTTTGTGAGATGTCTGCCACATGGGTGGGAAACGTGTATTTTCACCATCGTGAAAAAAATATGGCTGTATTCAATAGCATTGCTGGAAAATAGAATGGGCTGAGGGAGGTTTTTAAGGGTGTGGTTATTGGGCAGATGTTGCAGGTTCCTGCTACAGTGTGATGATCTGTGCAGATGTTGTAGGTTCCTGCTAGCACTGACGGCATAGGCAGGTGTTGTATGTTCCTGCAGGTTCCTGCTAGCACTGATGGCATAGGCAGGTGTTGTAGGTTCCTGCTACAGTGTGTGATAACCTGTGCAGATGTTGTAGGTTCCTGCTAGCGTTGACGGCATAGGCAGGTGTTGTAGGTTCCTGCTACAGTGTGATGACCTGTGTAGATGCTGTAGGTTCCTGCTAGCACTGACGGCATAGGCAGGTGTTGTAGGTTCCTGCTAGAGTGTGATAACCTGTGCGATGTTGCAGGTTCCTGCTAGCACTGACAGCATAGGCAGGTGTTGTAGGTTCCTGCTAGAGTTGACGGCTTAGGCAGATGTAGGTTCCTTTGAGCTCAGGAATGTAACACAGTAAGCTTAAGGTAACCTATACAGCTTCAGGAAAAGAGGATTGGTTGTTTATTTCCTGTGGTCTCAGGGTGTCCTTCCCTGGAGTTTAGTATAGGCCCATCCACCATCCAGAGGCTTCATTTTGAATTTGGGGAGTTTGCTAAGAACTTTAACCAGGTCTGAAGGAAAAAGGGGAGTTGTGCATTTGTAAAGTATTTGGTTTTGATTGAACCAACAGTGCAAGTTACAGGTTAAGCCAGTTTTCAGGTTAGAATATTTCCTGCTGGTATGGACGTGGTCATTTTAGTCATCATACTATGACGGCTGAGCTGCGTGTCCAGCTGCGGTGAGTGGGCCACTTGCCTCTTTCACGTAAGGAAGGCTTCCTCTTCACGCATTTGTCAGTGGTCAAGAAAGTTAAAACAAGAAGGCAGGAGAATGTCGCTGTCCTCCCAGCACCCGGTTTGGGACGGTCTGGGAGGGTGTGATGGAGTGCAGTGTTCTGTATGTTGATGTGTGTTGACGGATTTCTCTGTCCTCCCGGCACCCGGCTTGGGACGGTCTGGGAGGGTGTGATGGAGTATGGTGTTCTGTATATTGATGTGTGTTGATGGATTTTTCTTTCCTCCCGGCACCCGGCTTCGGATGGTCTGGGAGGGTGTGATGGAGTGCAGTGTTCTGTATGTTGATGTGTGTTGATGGATTTCTCTGAGTGGCGATTTCAGGGATGCTTATTTCTGTCCAGTGAATCTCAGACATGGGGAGCCTAATCTTCACATTTGGTGACTCTCCCTGGCAGCTTCTCACGTGAAAGCTGATTGTTAGCTGCTGGTGCCTCCCTCCCCGGCCCTCTGCTCACCACCTGCCCTCACGGGTGAGCCGCTGCACTTCTCGGGCTCGTTGGCCTGCAGTCAGCTCTCGGCTCGGTGCTGTGGAGGTGTTTTGCTTTTGCCAGGAAAGTGCATCCTCCACACCTTCCCTCCTGGTCGACTCTTAGTCACCCGGCTGGTGTGTAAAGCACAGAGTGCTCTGAACAGTGTTCCAAGTGTGTCCCAAGTTAAAACGTTGTGGTTAGCCAACTCCAGTTCAAATTCCTTCCCTACTTCATGTAAGATATGTGAGCTCTCCAGCCTCAATTTCTTCAACTGGGAAATGAAAATAACAGGGATGTCCCTTTCAAACAATGGTGAGTTTTAAATGTGATCATACATCTGGGAGTCTTAAAATAGTACGTGGCACACAGTGATTCATCAGAAAATGTGAGGATTTTACTGATGGGGTAATTGGGCACTGGATAGCTAAGACTTACTAGTTTCGAGATAAGTTAGTAGCATAATAATAATAACTATTACTATTATTTGAGACGGAGTCTTACTCTGTTGCTGAGGCTGGAGTGCAGTGGTGCCATCTCGGCTCACTGCAATCTCCGCTTCCTGGGTTCAAGCAATTCTCCTGCCTCAGCCTCCCAAGTAGCTGAGACTACAGGCGCCCGCTACCACGCCTGGCTAATTTTTGTATTTTTAGTAGAGACAGGGTTTCACCATGTTGGCCAGGCTGGTCTTGAACTCCTGACCTCAGGTGATTCACCCACCTGGGCCTCCCAAAGTGTGGGGATTACAGGCGTGAGCCACCGCCCCAGCCCATAATCAGAATTAGAATGTAGCTATTTAAAATTTTATCCCAGTGTTTTAAAGTATGTTTAGAGTATTAGTACCACCCAAATAAATAATCATTCATTCTTTTATTCAGTTGGTAATAATGTGAATGTTTAGTGAGTACTAAGCTCTTACTGTGTACCCTAGTATGAAGAGAATAAAAGGATGCACAATAAATATACATCCCCTAATCAGAGACAGTTTCAAATTTTAGTTTATAATTTGTAGGTGTTCCTCCTCACAGCTATATATTAGAATCATATGAGAATGAGTGAGGAAAGCCAAAAAAACAAAAGGATCATCGAGAAGCATAAAACAAAAAGATTAGGAGCGGTGAGAGGCAGGACCCAGGCTTGGTATTGTTATGTTTTAAATAATTTTCTAAAGTTTTGAATTGTAAAAAAAGCATGCATGGAACTGACCATCATAGCCATGTTAAGTGTACAGTTCAGCAGTATTGAGCACCTCCACATTGTCGTGCAGCGGAACTCCAGAAATTCTCCGTCTTGCAAAACTCAGCCTCTGGGCCGTTAAACTAGGTGTCCCCACCTCCCCTCCCCCAGGCCCTGGTGACCACCGTTCTGCTTTCTCTGTCTGTGATTTTGACCACTTTAGATACGTCATTTCAGTGGACTCATCCTGTGTCGTTTTGTGGCGGAATCACGTTCTGTTGTGTGTATACACCACGTTTTTCTTGTCCGTTCACCTGTGATGGACTCTTGGGCGTCTGCCGTAGGCCGCTGTGAATGCTGGCGGCGGTGATCGTGTGCTGACGTCTCCTCCACGTACTGAGTTCGTGTCTTTTGGATGCGCGCCCAGAGGTGGCACTGCTGGATCCTGTGCTGGGTCATACCTATGTTTAATTCTCTGAGGAACCTCCGTGCTGTCTCCATAGCAGCCGTGTCGTTTCACACTTGCACCAACAGTGCACAGGGCTCCGGTTCCCCACGTCCTCACCGGGTAACTGGGGTTCCGGCTCCCCACGTCCTCCCCGGGTAACTGGGGTTCCGGTTCCCCACGTCCTCACCGGGTAACTGGGGTTCCGGCTCCCCGCGTCCTCCCCGGGTAACTGGGGCTCTGGTTCCCCACGTCCTCACCGGCACTTGGCACTGTCTAGTGTTTTGGTAGCAGCCATCCTGCTCCGTGTAGGTAGTATCTCATTGTGGGGTTTTGTTGTTGTTTTTTAGAGACAGCACCTCGCTCTCTTACCCAGGCTGGAGTGCAGTGGCACAACCATACCTCACTGCAGCTTCGACCTCCTGGGCTCAAGCGATCCTCCCACCTCAGTCTCCCCAGTAGCTGGGATCACAGGCGTGCACCACCATGCCTGGCTAATTAAAAAAAAAAAAAAAAAAAGACAACTTTTTTTGGAGAGGGAGGGTCTCATTAGGTTGCTCAGGCTGGTATTGAACTCAAGTGATCCTCCTACGTTGACCTCCCTAAGTGCTGGGATTACAGCTGTGAGCTGCTGTGCCTGGCCTCATTGTGGTTTTAATTTGAGCACTTTTCATCTCCTTATTAGACCTTCTTGCTACAAATGTCTATTGAGGTTCTTTGCCTATTTTAAAATCGGGTAATTGATTTTTTTCTGTCATTGGCTTGCATTGGCATAGTTTTTTTTTTTTTAACTTCCTAAGTGGTACTGACGTGTGGCCGGGGTGAAAACCTCTGGCCTAGGTATGGAACAGGTAGAGGGTGTTACCGAGATGATGAGTAGGAGTGTTCAGAAGGTGGTAGGGATCACCCGTCTGCTCCGGAGGGATCGCTTGTTGAGATGAGATGAACGCTGCACTTGTGGACATGCAGACGTCTTGCAAACAAGTGGGGTCAGGATGTGGTACTCAGGTGCAGCCTCAGGGCCAGGGTGGATTCGGGAGCGTAAGGGAAGGGACTGTTGCTGGAAAGAAAAGTAGGTATTGAAGGAGGTGGAGGCAAAACAGTCCCTGCACCTCTCCACCTGCAGACTCAGCTGCCGCCACTGCAGCCTCCCGGAGCTTGGCGTCCACGGGTAAGGACCTCCCTCAGCTTGTGGGCAACATGTCTTCAGCCAGCGTGCCAAGAAACTGCAAAGGCAAAATAGTGTTTTTGGCAGTGTTTCAAAGAAACAGAGAGTGCATTATGTGCACATTCAATAGCCCTACTGTAGCTTTTTAGCAAATTACAAAAAGTAACACAGGGCCTGGTATGGTGGCTCATGCTTGTAATCCCTGCACTTTGGGAGGCCAAGGCCGGCGGATCACTTGAGGTCAGGAGTTCGAGACCGGCCTGGCCAACATGGGGAAACCCCATCTCTACTAAAAGTACAAAAATTAGCCAGGCATTGTGGTGCACGCCTGTAATCCCAGCTACTCGGGAGGCTGAGGCAGGAGAATTGCTTGAACCTGGGAGGCGGTGGTTGCAGTGTTCAGAGATCACGCCATTGCACTCCATTCGGACGGACAGAGTGTAAGACTCCATCTCAAAAAAAAAACAAAACAAAACGAAGGAACACAGGATTGTATGCAGAAAGAAAGGGTAAGGCAAAATTGAAGGGATGGGATGAATTTGAGCATCCCTCATTCCAAAATCCCAAATCCAAAATGCCCAAAAATCTGAAACTTTTCAAGCACCAGCATGATGCCACAAGTGGAAAATTCCATTCATAAGCTGTTGACACAAACTTTCATGCATAAAATTATTTAAAATATTGTATAAAATTACCATCAGGCTGTGTGTATGAGGTGTGTGTGAAACACAAATGAATTTTGTGTTTAGATTTGGGTCTCATCACAAGGTATCTCATGATGCATATGCAAATGTCCCAAAATCCAAAGCACATCTGGTCCCAAGCATTTTGGATAAGGGCTACTCAACCTGTATTTATAGACAGAAGCTAGAAGGCATTTGTGGGACTCTCAAACTAAGATGGGTCTTCATTACCTTCTAACTTTGGCGATCATGTAGTAGATATATTTATTCTGAGAAACAATCATAAATATAAATGCATTTCTTTCATTTCTTTTTATTGAGATGGGATCTTGCTCTGTTGTGCAGGCTGGAGAGCAATAGCATGATCTCAGCTTACTGCAGCCTCCGCCTCCTGGGCTCAAGCAATCCTCCCATCTCAGCCTCCAGAGTAGCTGAGACTGTAGGTATGCGCTCCCACACCCAGCCAATTTTTGTATTCTTTGTAGAGACAGGGTTCTGCTCTGTCACCCAGGCTGGTCTCAGACTCCTGGACTCATGCGATCCATTCGCCGAGGCCTCCAAAAGTGCTGGGATTACAAGCGTGAGCCACCACGCCCGGCCTGAATGCAATTTTTACATTATAGTCATTTATGCTTCTTCCTGTTAATCCGAAATAAGCAATTGTGTTTTTGCTAGCCAGCTACAGAGATAATGTAAAAAATGTTTTAAAACCATATTATCAAGCAGAAAATGGTGCTTGTAGATCAATATCTTCAACAGTTTCCCATTAAAATTTCAGTATGTGGTCGGATCTAACTACTGGAGGAGCTTCGAGGTCATGCCAGTGTCCTTAACACTCGCGTTTGTTAAAGACAGCCACTGCCGCCCTTTGCGGCTATGTGCCTCACCTCTTCCACATCACGGAGCACACACAGAATGTTGCCATTTGAGCCATGCACTGGGTCACGGGTGGGCTGGGCGTCAGGGTGCCCACAGCTGGAGTGACCTACAGAGCCCAGCTCTGCTGGGGCCCCAGGGCAGGTGGCTGCAGCGTCCCCAGCGGCCTCCCTGGCGTGCCACAGCATGAGGCTGTCTGCTCTGGTGGATGCCGTGGGCCATGGATGCGCCTCCATCTCCGCACAGTGCAGCCGGTCTAGCTCCCTAAGCCGCCAGGCTCTGTGCCCAACTCAAGCAGCAGCCAAGTGGAGAGAGCTGGAATGTGTCATCCCTGGTCCCAGCCTTCTATTTCTTAATAGAAATTAAGAACTTCTGCCACGCTTAAAAGAATAAGGGAAACTTTCATTTCGTAGCATTCTAACTTTTATTTTAAAAGTCTTTCACTATTGAATGACTTTCCTGAATTAACTACATTCTCAAAAATATTCCCAGCATTGGTCAAAGGCTTAAGGAATTTTTTACTAAAAGTTGCAACTTGTTGAGTATTAAAAGTCTTACAGATAAAAATAAGCAAAGGAGATTTACAGAACTCAGAAAAGAAGAGAAGACACAGATATGCTTTGGGGAAAGTACTGAACCTAGATATTAATCAGAGAAAAGCTGGGAACGTTGATTCCTAGGAATGTGGATACTGTGTTAGGAAGAGAAAGGGAAGGAGAGTCTCCATCCTCCCACGTGGGGACACGTCTGCTGAAGGATGCGGGGTTGAATCCCCTTCAGCCTCTCGTGAATTTCTGTCTTAGGGAAGGAGAATCTCCATCCTCCCACGTGGGGACACGCCTGCTGAAGGATGCGGGGTTGAATCCCCTTCAGCCTCTCGTGAATTTCTGTCTTAGGGAAGGAGAGTCTCCATCCTCCCATGTGGGGACACGCCTGCTGAAGGACGCGGGGTTGAATCCCCCTTCAGCCTCTCGTGAATTTCTGTCTTAGGGAAGGAGAGTCTCCATCCTCCCACGTGGGGACATGCCTGCTGAAGGAAGCGGGGTTGAATCCCCCTTCAGCCTCTCGTGAATTTCTGTCTTAGGGAAGGAGAGTCTCCATCCTCCCACGTGGGGACACGCCTGCTGAAGGATGCGGGGTTGAGTCCCCTTCAGCCTCTCGTGAATTTCTGTCTTAGGGAAGGAGAGTCTCCATCCTCCCACGTGGGGACACGCCTGCTGAAGGATGCGGGGTTGAGTCCCCTTCAGCCTCTCGTGAATTTCTGTCTTAGGGAAGGAGAGTCTCCATCCTCCCACGTGGGGACACGCCTGCTGAAGGATGCGGGGTTGAGTCCCCTTCAGCCTCTCGTGAATTTCTGTCTTAGGGAAGGAGAGTCTCCATCCTCCCACGTGGGGACACGCCTGCTGAAGGATGCGGGTTTGAATCCCCTTCAGCCTCTCGTGAATTTCTGTCTTAGGGAAGGAGAGTCTCCATCCTCCCACGTGGGGACACGCCTGCTGAAGGACGCGGGGTTGAATCCCTCTTCAGCCTCTCGTGAATTTCTGTCTTAGGGAAGGAGAGTCTCCATCCTCCCACGTGGGGACACGCCTGCTGAAGGATGCGGGTTTGAATCCCCTTCAGCCTCTCGTGAATTTCTGTCTTAGGGAAGGAGAGTCTCCATCCTCCCACGTGGGGACACGCCTGCTGAAGGACGCGGGGTTGAATCCCCCTTCAGCCTCTCGTGAATTTCTCAGTCTTTCAGTCCACTTTGCTCACTAGTGTTTACTGCACTAGGTTTTCGTTTGGGAGAATAACAAAGCCTCCTTTGAGTTCGGGGAAGGTTGGAAGTGGAAGCTGCCTGTTTGGGAGAGATGACTTCTGACCTCTTCTGGGTCACGTAGCTTCCCCCTGCCTTTTTATAACAAGTAGAATTGTTATGATAATTACCGTCATCATGATATTTTTATTTATCATTATCCTCTCCTTCATCAAACATTTATAGAGCAATTAATTCTGTGCCATTCTAACTTCATCGGTGTAATGTCATCATGAGGTACAATAGCATTATTATTCCCACTTTAGAGATGGGAATTGAGGCATAACACGTAGACGGCTGCCCACTGTGGAGGAGCTGAACCTTGGCGGTGGGGCCGCAGGGTCTCTCTGCTCCCTGTGGGACCGCCCTTTTCTCACTGTTGTGAGCAGGGCTGTTCCTTTCCAGCAAGATGAACACCGGTGTAAGCGCGTCTTCGTGTCCTTCCATGGATGTTTGTAGAGGTGGAGCTACTGTGTCGAAAGGCATGTGTCTTGGTATTGTTTGTTTACTGCTAAATTGCCACCGTACGTTTTTCTTCCATGAACAGCCTGCGAATACACCCTGCCATTTGTTTATTGGGCTGTTCATTTTTTTCTCTTGATTTGTGAGAGCTCTTTTTATATTAAATAAATTAGCCCTTGCCAGGTACAGTGTGGCTGATGCCTGTAAACCCAGCACTTTGGGAGGCTGAGTTGGGTGGATTGTTTGAGGCCAGCAATTTGAGACCAGCCTGGCCAACATGGTGAAACCCCATCTCTATTAAAAATACAAAAATTAGCCGGATGTGGTGACGCGCACCTGTAATCCCAGCTACTAGGGAGGCTGAGGCATGAGAATCACTTGAACCCGGAAGGTGGAGGTTGCAGTGAGCCGAGATCGCACCAGTGCACTTCAGCCTGGGCGACAGTGAGGCTCCATCTCAAAAACAAAACAAAACAAAACAAAAAAAAAAACAGACATTGGCCCTTTGACTGATATGCATACTGCAGATAATCCCCCCCCCCTTTTTTTGAGACAGGGTCTTACTCTGTCACCCAGGCTGGAGTGCAGTGCTGTGATCCCGCGTCACTGCAGCCTGGTTCCAGTGATTCTCCCGCCTCAGAGTGCTGGGACTACAGGCATCAGCCACTGTGACTGGCCTCCCAGTTTTTCATTTGTCTTTTGACATTATGGTATACACATACACACATGCGTGTGTGTAAATACACAAATATATATGTCATTGCATCTTTGTAAATAACGATGTGGCTAAGTCGTTCATCTTTTCCTGAGCCCTGGAGTGCCCCATGCTTTTAAGGGACCCCTTCCCCCTTTCCACAGGTATAAGCCTTTCAGGAATTGGTCTAGTATTGGTCATTCATTTGTTAGGAAATTAGGATGTTTCCTTTCTTAGGGCCTCTCACTGTAAACCCTGTGTCTGATTATGTCATAAATGGCCTGCCTCGTTTCAAGGTGGGGGACGTCTGGCAGCAGAGAAGTCACAACAGTGACGGCGGCTGTGTCAGGTGGGGATGTACATGGAGAAGAAAATGGGGCAGGACAGTGGGGCTCGGGGCCGGGAGGAGGGCAGCCTTTTTCTGTGCTGCAGTCAGGAAGGCCTCCTGCGAGGACCTGTTTGAGCACAGGAGTGACATGCAGCGCCATTCCCAAAGTCTCCTGGGTTCCCGGGGGTGGAGAGTGCAGCTCAGGAGAATCCTCCCGGCGGGCGCCCCTGTGTGGAGCGGGTACCCCTGTGCCTGGTGGGCGCCCCTGTGCGGAGCGGGCTGTGAGGGACGGGGGCTCCTCTTTCTGTCCCCACCCCCAGCCTGCTGCCATCGTCTTCAGCACTGAATACGCGTCCGTCTGACGGGTTGTGTATTTCTATGTGAGAAAATTAATGAGGAATTTTACTGAGAGTTGTTCTGACCATACAAACTTAATTGCCCTTTCAGTGGAATGAACCACACATTTCTACAACACAGAATACCGTAATGTAGTTTAATAGCCTGGAATAGCAGTAGGATGCCAAGAATTTACTTTCCACCGCCGATAACCACAGTGTCCTTGCTGGCCATCCTACAATTGCTAAAGAGAATGTAGTTGTCAGTGTAGCATCGGGACTTTCCAGGAAAGTCAGCCAGGATGCACCCACCTGGGAGTGGCTTCCGCCTGGCCTCCAGCAGCTGCCGAAGGAGCCGTGTCCTTTGGAGTTAATGGAGGGACTGGCTGTGTATTCAATCACATATGCTACATGGTCTACACATCCTGCCCACAGGTGAGTTAACAGGTCATCTTTTCATCTTTCACTCTAAGTCTTGGGGCAGGAGGTAGAAGTCAGTGACATCAGGCCCAGGGTAAATGAGTCAGTGTTCCCAATGACATATACGGTGGCTTACAGTTACCCCGGCCCAGACTTTTTTCTCTCTGTCCCTCCGTCCCTTTGTACCTGCGTGTTATGTGGATGGCGTGCATGTGTCTGCACAGCTGCGTGATGTTCCCCTGTGGACTCAACCTCCCCCGCCCCTGGCCGCCCCACATCATGGACAGCTGGGCTCCAATCTTCTGCTTTTATAAATAGTGCTGCAGATGCCTTGTGAGTACATCAGCTATATTTCTGCGAGGACAGCTTTGGGATCGCTTTGGAGAAGGGAGATTTCTGAGAAGGGGGGTACGTTTGCGGTTTGCTCTGTCAGTGCCGTAGGAGGATGCCTGTTCTCCACCTACCTCGCCAGCAGCCTGCGCTGCCCGGCTTGCCAGCTTCTGGGCCTGCCTACCGCTGCTGGATGAGATGCCACGTCCTGTTGTGGTTTTATCTTGTACTTCTCCTGCTAACAGGCAGGTTGAGAATCTTTTTATGTGTTTAAGTCCATTTGCTGTTCTTTTCTCTTTTTTGAAAAAGAACAGCTTGTTTATATCTTTTGCCCATCTTTCATTTGGGTTGTGTCTTGAGGAGCTCTTTATATACTTCTTTATTCTTGATATTTTTGTGTGCCTGATTCCTGACATATTTATTATTAATAATAATGGAGCAATAAAGTGAGTCACATAAAAAAAATAATGGAGACAGTGATTCCCAGGCCAAGAGACACATAAATTATTTAACTGCAGTCAAACAGGCTTATGTTAGAAGCGCTTTTTCCAAAATGCAATGTAGAGTTATTTAAATTTAAAAACATGCTGAGGAATTAAAGAAAGAAGCCATCTATGTTCTTCCTGGGGCATCATTTGAGCTCATTACGTGGACACCGCTGCCTCTGAAGCTGGTTCTGCCACACGCCTGACAGGCCGATCACAGCCTGACCTTGACCAGGCAGCATCCAGGGCGTCGCTGTCTCACCGTGGTCCCCAGTGTTTTGGGATTGAGGAGGGGTTCGGCTTCACTCTCTTCAGCGCCTG
This sequence comes from Homo sapiens, assembly GCF_000001405.40. Classification (NCBI taxonomy): domain Eukaryota; kingdom Metazoa; phylum Chordata; class Mammalia; order Primates; family Hominidae; genus Homo; species Homo sapiens. Next base: position 112,754,112 of record NC_000013.11, read on the forward strand.
GGGCCTTCATCCTGAGCCGCAGTTGGAGCCACGGTCCCTGCTGCTGAGATGTGAGAAAGGCCTGCGCTGGGGTCTGGGAAATTCGTTTTCTCGCAGAAGGCAGAGAAGGCCGTGGAATAACAGGGCCGGGTTCTCACTGGCGGGACTGTTCACCTCTGCAATCTGCCCCTTAGTGCCTCGGCTGATTCTTGGTCTTTGGAGACCTGGTCCCCAGTCCCACCTCTGCATATGCCTCCAGATAACGCTCGCCATGTTTGGGGTGTATGAGCATGCTCCTTGCGTTCACTGTCACCCAGGCATCCCTCCCAGCGGCCCTGTGAGGCAGGTGCCACCCCACAGCCCTGCTCTCCCGCCGAGGAAACTGAGTACTGGGCTAATTCACCTGCCAAAGCTGCATGCTTGGAAAGTGGTGCTTAGAGCCAGGCAGGACTCACTGCGGCTCCTGTGCTCCACGCTGCCCCCCCGAGAGGCAGAACTTTCTCAGGCCACCTTCAGGGCCTCCTGGAGAGGTTGAGCCCCAGACTCCTGGGAAGCTGTTCCCCCACGTTCTGTACTCCACTCACAGGTGGACCCATCGCCTCCAAAGCCTGTGGGTCTCATTGGCTGGAATGTCTCACACTGCAGGGCACCTGGCCACCCAGGGGCGTGTCACAAATGCGGGCGGGGGGCAGGGCTCCACCCCACAAGCCTGCTCAGGAGGCCTCTCCACGATCCACAATCGACCACCTGTCCATGGAGCTCCGGGAATGCTGGCCCGGCCCCACTGCAGGGCTTCCCCAGCCCTCCTAGACACCCTGCACTTGCCCCTCCCGAGCGCGTGTGCCTGACCTGCTCCGCGGTGGGCGCAGAGCTCCTGCCGAGGGCTGGATGGCGCGGACCTGGGCATCGTGGCCTCTGCAGTGCCAGCTGTGCCCTAGTAGCCAGGGCGCCGTCGTCAGTCCATGGCTCAGGAGGACCACTGTGGGCCGATGAAATGCGACTGTGGACGAGGAAATTGTACTTTCCGAACATTTTCACGTGTCCCCAAACAGTTACTTTTCTTTTGATTTTTTTCAACCATTTAAGGACGTAAAAGCATTCTCAGTTCATGGACCACACAGACAGGCTGCAGGCTGCACGTGGACTGGGGGCGGGTCTGTGGGCCTCTGCTTCACAGGTCAGAGGTCGCTGGGTTTTCGTGTCTTCTGCTTTCCATTGCACAGTCCCACCCTCTCCTTGGATCCTAGAACTCTGCCCAGCTTGGACAGTCTCTCTACACCCAGAGACCGGTTTTCCGCTTCTTGTCTGCGTCCCTTGTAGCAGTCACCCACAGGGCGCTTGCCAGAGGACGGCCCCGAACTGCCTATGGGATCCCTCCAGGTCCTCTCAGAGCCTCCGTTTCTTGCATGTAAAATTGACACAAGAAGAGCCTCCCTGCAGGACTGCAGCCAAGGTTAGCCAGAACCATTTCCAGTCACGGAACCGTCACTCAGAGCAGCTCCCAGAACCATTTCCAATCATGGAAGCGTCACTCAGAGCGGCTCCTAGAACCATTTCCAGTCAGGGAAGCATCAATCAGAGCGGCTCCCAGAACCATTTCCGGTCACGGAACCATCACTCAGAGCGGCTCCCAGAACCATTTCCGGTCACGGAAGCGGCACTCAGAGCGGCTCCCAGAACCATTTCCGGTCACGGAAGCGGCACTCAGAGCGGCTCCCAGAACCATTTCCCGTCACGGAAGCGGCACTCAGAGCGGCTCCCAGAACCATTTCCGGTCACGGAAGCGGCACTCAGAGCGGCTCCCAGAACCATTTCCCGTCACGGAAGCGGCACTCAGAGCGGCTCCCAGAACCATTTCCGGTCACGGAAGCGGCACTCAGAGCGGCTCCCAGAACCATTTCCGGTCACGGAAACGGCACTCAGAGCGGCTCCCAGAACCATTTCCGGTCACGGAAGCGTCACTCAGAGCAGATTCTAGAATCATTTCCAGTCATGGAAGCATTACTTAGAGCAGCGTAAATTTCTTAGCAACCCTGGTGTTGACATATGTTGATTATAATGATATCCTTACAACATTAAACTACAAAGCCAAAACCAAAATACAAATTAAATAAAACTTAGTCTGTGAAACAGGTTAGATTCCAGGCAGGGTCTACGATTCTGGCTGGCTGTGCGAATCGACCTCTGACCCCAAATAACTAAGGGTCATGTCCATCGTTGCGGTGCCTTCAGGAAAGGGGAAAGTGTTTTTCCTGGCAGTTCTTTCTCTCTAGACCCTGCAGGCCACCTCTCTCACCTGCGTGTTGGGCTTCAGGATCAGGGTCCCCTTCCAGTCCAGGAGAGGCACCTGTATCTGCCTTCTGCCCAGAGTGTGTGTGCTTGTTGAGTCTGACCACTCACTGGGGCGCTCTCTTGGTAACAGGGTCCCTGTCACCTAGACCTTACCTCCCAGGGTCTAGCGGATGGCGGGGCAGGTGGGGGACGGCACGAAAAACAGCAGACACGATTTCAGACCGCTGGTGGCGGCTGAGCTCAGGTGGGCCTCACCTGGAGAGCCTGGACGGTGTCAGAGGTGCTTCTTGGCTGGTGGCTGAGGCTTCCCAGATGCCTCTTTGCCTTTCTTCTGGGGCACGGCCCTCTGCACCCCAGGGCAGCCTGTGTGGTGTCTGACGATTTCCACAGCAGCCAGAGCAGCTTGTGGCAGCCGGGGCCTGCTCCCAGCGAGGGGTCTGCTCCCAGCACGGGGCCTGCTCCCAGCGCGGGGTCTGCTCCCAGCACGTGGTCTGCTCCCAGCACGGGGCCTGCTCCCAGCGCGGGGCCTGCTCCTAACGCATCCACTACATCTAGTAATTTACTAGTTGAAATTGTTACATACTAGTTACATCGTTTACAAAATGATCATATTTGAAGAATTAGCTTTCTGTGGATTTAGTCCACATTGATGTGAGCACCTACTGTACATGAGATAGCATGCTAAGTGCTTTTTATTTATTTAGGCAAAAGATAAAAAGTTACTGCTGCTACAATCTGTAGTGTTACTGGTGGAGCTATGCAAGCTCGTGGATTTAGGGAGTCCAGCCTACGAGAATGGCCGCCTGTGACAGAAAGCAGGGGCGAGCGTCTGGGAATAGAGCTGTGCTCATGGCAGAACAAAGACGTGCTGTGTTTCTGGCCTTTGTGTTCTCTCCAGTGGTGAACAAACATAGGAAGCTTTCATCTTCAGAGTAAACAGAAATTCCAAACCCATTTCACGCAGCTTTTTCTAGAAGGCAATGTGTTTAATCCACTTGTTTTCCGAGTCTCTTAGTGTCATCACGACTTCCTCTTATGTCGGTGTTAATTACTGTCACAGGTATTTGCGAAAACTACAAGGTCTATTCAGGTCAAGACTAGCTTCTCTATTTCCACATTTTACTTTGTGTTTCCACAACTGGGCTGTTTTAGACCTCTGCAGAGGAGAACTGATTTGAATCGGGAAAAGCAGGAGGTCCCCTCACGGAGGTGGACAGGACGCCCACTCCTTTCCCAGGCTGGCCTCCTTGTCTCATCCCTCAAGGGAAGGGCCAGGGGCACGGACCAGCAGGCCAGTTGTTCAGTGTTCAGGAATCTCAGGAGACATTGTTAAACATTAAATTACAAAAACAATTAAGTTGTATTAAAAAGAAAAGTCTTTAAAAATACCTACTCAAAACGTCTTTCTTCCTGATTGTCTTGCTGAGTGTTTCGCTGCAGTCTGTGCTTCCAAGGATGGCGTCATGTGTGTGCGGCAGAAAGGCGAGGTTCTGGCAAGAGTGAGTGGCTTTAGGTCTGCACGCTGTGTTAGGGGAGCCAGGGGCCAGCGTGGTGGGGTTCCCAGAGAGCTGCTTCTGAACTTCCAGAAGCTTCCAGGGAGTCCACGCCACATGCACGAGTGCGGGACACATGCTACTCAGGTTCCATCCAAGTCTCAACCTTTGTTTTTACACTAAAGACATTTTTGTTGTTGTTTTTGAGACAGAGTCTTGCTCTGTTGCCAGGCTGGAGTGCAGTGGCACGATCTCGGCTCATTGCAACCTACACTTCCCAGGTTCAAGCAATTCTCCTGCCTCAACCTCCCAACTAGCTGGGATTACAGGCACGCACCACCATGCCTGGCTAGTT